>NC_000016.10:67895833-68198863 GCF_000001405.40 Homo sapiens | reverse complement strand
TGTTGGCCAGGATGGTCTCGACCTCCTGACCTCATGATCTGCCCGCCTTGGCCTCCCATAGTGCTGGGATTACAGGCGTGAGCCAACACGCCCAGCTATGCTCAGCTAATTTTTAAATTTTTGGTAGAGACAGGGTATATTGCCCAGGCTGGTCTAGAACTCCTGGGCTCAAGCGATCCTCCCATCTTGGCCTCACGAAGTGCTGGGATTACAAGGCATGAACCACTGCACCTGGCCAGAATCTATAATCTTAAGATTACCCTGGTTCCTCTCACAATCAAGGCTCTATGGAGAAAATGGCATTTTCTTTCATGTATTCTTTGTTTGACACCAGTTCTAAAACCTCAACACACTGACTAGAAACTTGATTACAGATTCTAGAAAAACTCCTAGAGTCAGAAAACAGGTTTTAGTCTTTATTCTGCCATAATTCAAGTGTCTTATCCTGGATGAACACCTTAGGCTCTGTGTAAAATTCAGATGTTTTATCCATAAAATGAGAGCTATATTAGAATATTTTCCAGCTCTATAACTACTTTATTTTTGAGACAAGGGTCTCATTCTGTCACCTGGGCTGGAGTGTAGTAGCATGATCACCACTCACTGAAGCCTCGACCTCCTGGGCTCAAGCAATCTTCCCACTTCAGCCTCCCAAGTAGCTGGTATTACAGGCACGTGCTACCCTGCCCAGGTAACTTTTGTAATTTTTCCAGACAGGGTTTTGCCATGTTGTCCAGGCTATTCTCAAACTCCTGGGCTCAAGTGATCTGCCTGCCTGGGCCTCCCAAAGTGGTGGGACTACAAGCGTGAGCCACCATGCTCAGTCTATAACTCCCGAAATTCTGAGCTGAGTTACATTACTATCTTCTCCAGTAAATGTCATTGAATTTATAATAAAAAATTGATGTTAATGTCCACATTTCTAAAAGTAACAGTCAACTAATACATGAATGATGCCTAAGAGATTCCATGTTACTTAAAAACTTCAAAAATTAAAGAAAATGTGTTTTGATCTTTGATTTGGTTAAAAGAGGATATATAAATTTGAATATAAAACAGAATTAACAAAAGTTATTAGGATAAGTATCTTTAAGTAGTATAGCAAAAATTTTTTTAAATTACCGTGTCCTGTGGTTGTAGAGTGGAAATTACTTTGGACTTAACAGTTAACATAATATGAAAAAGTTAAAACAAATTGAGCTTCGGCTAACTACAAAGTTCATTTTAGTCACTTTCAATCCTTTCTGGTATGTTCTATGACTCACTTAAAATACTCAGAGACAGGGTCTTGCTATGTTGTCCACGCTAGCCTCAAACTAGGCTCAAGTGATCTTCCTGCCTTAGCCTTCCTCAGTAACTGGGATTACAGGCACACACCACCACGCCTGGCTCTATGACTTTTAAAGTTAACTATTAGCAGGGCATGATGGCATGTGCCTGTGGTCCCAGTTACTCAGCAGGCTGAAGCAGGAGGAATGCTTCAGCCCAGGAAGTTGAGGATGCAGTGAGCTGTGTTCACAGCACTGCACTCCAGCCTGGGTGACAGAGTGAGATGCCATCTTCAAGAATAATAAAATGAAATAAAGTAAAATAAAATAAAATATAATAAAGCTAACCAGAAAGGGGACATTTGGCCAGATATGATGGCTCCCAGAACTTTGAGAGGCCAAGGTGGGAGAATTGCTTGAGGCCATGAGTTCTAGACCAGCCTGGGCAGTTTAGCAAGATTTCATCTCTACAAAAAATAAAAAAAAATTAAAAACGAGATATTCCAGTGCTATGGAGTTCAAGGTCTATGGGTTTTTATTTATTTATTTATTTATTTATTTTCTTGAGATGGACTTTCACTCTTGTTGCCCAGGCTGGATTGCAATGGCGCAATCTCGGCTCACCGCAACCTCAGCCTCCCAGGTTCAAGCGACTCTCCTGCCTCAGCCTCCCAAGTAGCTGGGATTACAGGGATGCGCCACCACACCAGGCTAATTTTGTATTTTTGGTAGAGACGGGGTTTCTCCATGTTGGTCAGGCTGGTGGAGAACTCCTGACCTCAGGTGATCTGCCCACCTCGGCCTCCCAAAGTGCTGAGATACAGGAGTGAGCCACTGCGCCCAGCCATTTTAATTTTCATTTTATGGATTTACATTAAAAGTTGTTTTTTTTTCTTTTTTGAGATGGAGTCTCTCACTCTGTCACCCAGGCTGGAGCGCAGTGGTGCGATCTCAGCTCACTGCAACCTCCACCTCCCGGGTTCAAGCAATTCTCCCTGCCTCAGCCTCCAGAATAGCTGGGATTACAAGCTCCCACCACCACGCCCAGCTAATTTGAATTTACATTAAAAGTTTGCAGAACTTTTTTTTCTAGGCATCTAAAAATTCTACCTTCAAAGGCAAATCCAAATATCATAATAAATGAGTCAAATTAAAAATATCAAAAATTCATTTTAGGCTGGGCATGGTGGCTCATGCCTGTAATCCCAGCACTTTGGGAGGCTGAGGCAGGCAGATCACCTGAGGTCAGGAGTTCGAGACCAGCCTGGCCAACATGGCGAAACCCCGTCTCTACTAAAAAATACAAAAATTAGCTGGGCGTGGTGGTACACGCCTGTAGTCCCAGCTACTCGGGGGGCTGAGGAAGGAGAACCTCTTGAACCTGGTAGGTAGAGGTTGCAGTGAGCTGTGATTGCGCCACTGCACTCCAGCCTGGGTGATAGAGACTCCATATCAATAAATAAAAATAAAAATAAATTCATTTTGGAGCTTAAATTAAGCATCAAAAATTCAATTTGCAAAAATTATACAGCCAATAATCTAAGGTTTTCAGAAGTGCGTTTTAACAAAAATTGGTCAGGTGTGGTGGCACATGCCTGTAGTCCCAGCTACTCAGGAGGCTGAAGTGGGAGGATTGATCCCTTTAGCCAAGGAAATCGAGGCTGCAGTGAGCCAAGATTGCACTACTGCACTTCAGACCGGATGACAGGGTGAGACTACCATCACAAAAAAATAAAAAGAGTGCGTTTCAGTTTTTTCTGTCCTTTTATTTATTTTATTTTATTTTTTGAGACGGAGTCTTGCACTGTTGCCCAGGCTGGAGTGTAGTGGCCCAATCTCGGCTCACTGCAAGCTCCGCCTCTTGGGTTCACGCCATTCTCCTGCCTCAGCCTCCCAAGTAGCTGGGACTACAGGCGACCACCACCACGCCCGGCTAGTTTTTTGTACTTTTAGTAGAGACGGGGTTTCACCGTGTTAGCCAGGATGATCTCTATCTCCTGACCTCGTGATCCGCCCACCTCAGCCTCCCAAAGTGCTGGGATTACAGGCATGAGCCACTGCGCCCAGCCTGTCCATTTTTTTTTCAATTTTAGAGACAGGGTCTCACTATATTGGCAAGACTGGACTCGAACTCCTGAGTCCAGGTGATCCTTCCATCTCACATTCCCAAGTGGCCAGGACTACAGGTGCACACCATTGTGTACTGCTCTTCCCCCTCTGTAATTACTGCTTGGCAGCACTGAGCTTCTATTAAGTCCCCTGAGGGGTGGCAATGAGCAAATGTGATAGCTAGTCTCTGGGGGGCTACAATCTAGGAACATTCTTTCTTGCTTCTTTTTTGAGACAGAGTATCGTTCTTGTCGCCCAAGCTGGAGTACAATGGCGCGATCTCAGCTCACTGCAACCTCCGCCTCCTAGGTTCAAGCAATTCTCTTGTCTCAGCCTCCCAAGTAGCTGGGATTACAGGCACCCACCACCACGCTGGCTTTTTTTTTTTGTATTTGTAGTAGAGACAGGGTTTCACCATGTTGACCAGACTGGTCTCCAACTCCTGACCTTAGGTGATCCACCCACCTCAGCCTCCCAAAGTGCTGAGTTTATAGGCATGAGCCACGGCACCTGGCTCCTTTCTTGCTTGTATGCCCTACTATAATAAAGGGAGCAAAAATAAAATTGCTTTTACAGTTGCCCTCACAGACCTCACCTTTCCAGATCTTCTGTTTTTGCAACAAATCTTAATATATTCAAATAATGAAATACATTTTCCCAAAATCTTTCTAGAGATCTGATTTGTTGCCTATCCGACCCTCTACCCCCAAATCTCTCAACCTGTGGTAAATTAGAAAGAGCAGGTTCTAGCTTTGGGCTCTTTTTAGAAGGAAAAAATATCTTCATTGGTTAAAAAAAATGAGCTGAAGTGCTCTTAAAGTCTCAATAAATCTCCTATCTTCAGTTATATCACAAATGAGTGACTCAAGGTCTCAGTCCTTGTTTCAGGGTAAAAAGCAATGTGAAGAGTTAGTCTAAAACTGCTAAAAGAAACAGGCAACATTTTTAAAGCCAATATTTGCGTAAGCCTTTATTTCAAATCTGTTTTGCATAAAAGTAGCAGCCTGCTCTCTACCTTTTGGTTTCATCATTTAGTAGGGAGTGACACTTATGCCAGCTGTGCACAGAGAACAGCAGCAAAATGCTTAAATACCAGAGTGCTCAAGTACACCAAACAGTGTAACAGATCAGATGCAGTTGTGAACATGGGTTAACGCAGTGAAATTGTGCACATGCATTTCTGGAGAATATTCTCCAGGAATTAGAAAAACCTTGAGGGATTCCGTTTAGTAGAGAGTTCTGTTCTAACCACCATGGCCTGCTGTTTCTGAGAGGCAGCTGTAGTGCCACAAGAAAAAGACTGGATTGAACCAGTCTCAGTTCTGCTGCTTACTAGTTGTGTGATTTTTCAAAAGTCCAACTCTATAAATGTCACTATCTACCTCAGAGTTTGAGGAATGGTAACGATTAGATTAGATAATAAATAGAAAAATGCTATGCAATTTTAGGTGTTGCTCTAGTTTACACATATACCTTCTGTTTACACACAAATGACCTGGCATGTCCCCTCATGGCTTTAAAACCATCCTGTACCATACCAATCACCCCCATCCCCCACCCCGGACCCCATACCTCACCCCACCACAGACATATCCTTCCCTGACAAACATACCCTTCTTCTCTATTTCTGCTGTGTTATCTGACTTGCCTCTGATGTTCATTTACTGAAAACATACTCAGGTGGCCCTTGAACAACACAGCTTTGAGCTGTCTGGGTCCACTTATACACAGCTTTTTTCAACCAAACATGGATCTAAAAAAGAATATTCTCGAATGTGAAATCTGCATATGTGGAGGGCTTTTTAATTTTTTTTAGAGACAGGGTCTCACTTTCCTGCTACCCAGGCTGGAGTGCAATAGTATGCGATCAGCTCACTGCAGCCTAGAACTCCTGGACTCAAGCGATCCTCCCACTTCAGTCTTCCTAGTAGCTAGGACTACAGGCACACACCACCACACCCAGCTAATTTTTGTAGGGTTTTTTGGTAGAAATGAGGTCTCATTATGTTGCCCAGGCTGGTCTCAAACTCCTAGTCTCAAGTAATCCTCCTACCTTGGCCTCCCAAAGCACTGAGACCACAGCTGCTTTTCTTACATGTGGGTTCCACAGGGTGACTGTGAAACTTGAGCATGCATGATTTGGTTGTACACAGGCGGTCCTAAAATCAATCCCCTGAGTACACTGAGAAATGATTATGTCCATACCATACAACCCCCCCATACCAAAATCCATGAATGCGCAAGTCCCTTATATAAAACAGTGTACTATTTGCACATAATCTATCCACATACCCCCTTTAAATCATATCTACATTATTTATAATACCAAATACAATGTAAATGCTAATGGGAACAGTTGTAATATTATATTGTTTAGGGAATAAGACAAGAAAAAAAAAAGTCTGTTTGTACACGTTCAATACAGATGCAACCATCCATTTTCTTCCCCCTAGATATTTTCAATCCACAGATGGTTGAATCCAAGGTGTGGAACCCATGCATACAGAAAGCCAACTGTACTCATCCTCCAAAACTTGGCTCAAATGTCACCTACTCACAGAAGACTTGCTGAATCCTTCCTGTGAAATCTGTTACATATCTCTGCTGATCTTTTTTTTAAATTTGAGGCAGGGTCTCACTCTGTCACCCAAGCTGGAGTGCAATGGCATGATCACAGCTCACTGCAGCCTCAACCTCTCCAGCTCAGGTGATCCTCCCACCTCAGCCTCCTGGCTAGCTAGGACTACAGGGCCACATCACTATGCCTGGCTAATTTTTTGTATTTTGTTTTGTAGACATGGGGTTCTGCCATGTTGCTCAGGCTGGTCTTGAAGTTCTGGGCTCAAGAGATCTACCCGCCTCAGCCTTCCAAAGTGCTGGGATTATAGGTGTGAGCCACTGAGCCTGGCCGAGAATTCTATCTTAATACATCCTTCGCATTCCCAGCATCTAGCTTCATCTTGCAAAAGGACAGCATTCAGCAATATTTATGGAACTAATGGCCTTGAATTCCATTCTCTAGACACTGTGATCTCACTATATATTCTGGAAGAAAAGATCTCGTATTCAGCAACAGATATTAGTGGTAAAACAGATGCTAAGGCATGGATTTTCATATCTACCCTCAAAGTTCTCTCTCTCTCTCTCTCTCTCTATATATATATATACACATACATATATATATATACACACATACATATATATATACACATACATATATATATACACATACATATATATATATATATATATATATTTTTTTTTTTTTTTTTTTTTCCCGAGACGGAGTCTTGCTCTGCCGCCCAGGCTGGAGTGCAATGGCGCGATCTTAGCTCCCTGCAACTGCCACCTCCCGGGTTCAAGTGATTCTCCTGTCTCAGCCTCCCGAGTAGCTGGGATTATAGTCACACACCACCATGCCTGGCTAATTTTTTGTATTTTTAGTAGAGACAGCGTTACACCATGTTGGCCAGGCTGGTCTTGAACTCCTGACCTTGTGATCCACCCGCCTCAGCCTTCCAAAGTGCTGGGATACAGGCGTGAGCCGTGGTACCTGGCAAAGTTATATATTAACATATATTTCTAATAACAACTTATTTAAAAGCCCAACCATATGCCAATAAGCAATCCATAGAAACTTTTTCATGACACTTGGGAGAATAAAGTCCCTGAATCTTCACTACTTCAAGAACATATCAGAGATGAACTTACCATCATCTAAAGTGATGTCCTGCAGACCAATGGTTGCAAAGTTAGGCTCTCGATCTTCTGGTTCAGGTTTAATGCTCACAGTTGCCCCATCAGGTGGAAATGACGCTGGATCACACAAACTGTGACATATTAAGGATGAAGGTGCAGAAAGACCCCCCTGGCCCGTACTTTGTGCTTGAGTTGAGTGCTGTCCAGAATGCATTCTGGTGGCTGGAGACGGTGATGAGGCAGTTCCTGAGCTAGGAGATTGGTAAGGCATAGGCTGAAGCTGAGGAGATGGTGGCCCAGAAAGCGGTGAACTAGCCAAGGGATGAGAAGCTGCTGGGGAAGCTGTTGTAGCAGACCCTGAATGTGAAGGACCATATGTAATAGGTTGTAACTGAGACGAAGGCTGACCTGTAATCTGGTCAGCCACTGGAGAAGAAAGAGATCTTTGTCCTGTATTTGAACAATGATATCCCATTGATTGCAGATGAGGCAGGGTATGCACAGAATGAGGTGTATGGGCTAAGAGATGTCCTGTTGAGCCTGAATTTGAAGAATGAAATGGTATGGATGACAGTGGTTGACAGCCAAGATTCACTAAACCAGAAAGAGTTGCATCCTGCTGAAACAAAACTGAATCAAATTCTTGACTAGAGGCAGCATTAATAGGAAGACAAGTTGGTCCATTGTACACAACATTAGTTTGCATAGGCTGATAGGAAGACCCCACAGGAGGTGTTGGTGTGACTTGAAAAGGCTGGTGTACAATTGGAGAAGGAATCATATGCTGTTCTTTACTAACACTCTCATCTCTACACTGCAACTGTGGCAGATGGGATGAGGTCACCATGGATGCATATGTTTGTGGGATGGAGCAAATCAAACTTCTCTGTCCTGACAGTACACTGTCATGTGAACACCCTGAATCAGAGGAAGGCCTCTGGGTCTGAGCAGGATGAGGCACAGGCAAAGATGGAACTGAAGACAAATCAATCTCTTCTCTGTGTTCTTGCTTCATCAAAACTGAAAAGAAAATGATTAAAGCAAATATTATTATACAATACATAAAATTATCATGACAGGCCTTCATGCTAGGTTACACAACTACAGCGTAAGCTGAGGGGCAAACTCAAATGCCAAGGAAGGCAGTTCATATAAAATATCGTGTATGTCTGTGTGTACGTGTAGACATATATATATGTATACACATACACGTTTTGCTTCTGTATAATATGAATATCTTTGGGAAGAGGCACAAGAAACTATGTTAGAGTCACTGCTGGGAAGGAAAATTAGGTGACTAAGCGACAGAATTAGGAAGTTTACTTTTTACTATATACTTTTTTATGTCTTTTGAATGTTTTTCACTGTGTATTTATTACCTATTCAAAATTAAGTAACTAAAACAAAAAACAAAGCCCTAGGGCCTAATTAAGTATTGACTTGGGGATCCCTGATCCGAAGCCTACCAAGTCATCTGGTTTTACATGTTGCATCATATACCAGAAATCATGACTCTGACATTCATAGAACTTCTGCTTTACAATGGTTCTCACATGCATCTCACTTGATCCTCTGCCATCATGTGGGGATCAAAACAAGTACTAAAATCCACAAAAAAACTAACAAATACATTCTGCAAAGTTGCAGGATACAAAATCAACATACAAAAATAGTAAGTTATATTTCTATAAACTAGCAATAAACATCTGAATAAAAATTCAGAAAACAATTTCTTTTTTTTGTTTTTGGGAAACAGGGTCTCACTCTGTCGGCCAGGCTGGAGTGCCATCGTGCAATCTCGGCGTACTGCAACAAGGGATCCTCCCACCTCAGCCTCCTGAGTAGCTGGAATACAGGCGTGCGCCACCATGCTCATGTTTATTTTTTGTGGAGACAAAGTCTTACTGTGTTGCCCAGGCTGGTCTCGGACTTCCACACTCAAGCAATCCTCCCACCTCAACCTCCCAAAGTGCTGGGATTATAGGCATAAGCCACTGTGCATAGCCAACAATTTCATTTATAATAACATCAAAAAATAATAAAATACTCAGAAATGATTTAACCATGGAAGGCAGGACTTATAACTGAAAACTACAAAACACTGCTGAAAGAAATTAAAGAAGCTCTAAATAAATGGAAAGACTTTCCAGGTTCATGGATTGAAGACTTAATATTGCTAAGACGACAACACTCTCCAAAGTGATCTTTTTTTAAAAAAAATGTCCTTGAGTCATATAAAGTGATCTTCAGATTCAATGTAATCCCTATCAAAGTCTCAGTGACAGTTTTTGCAGAAATAGAAAAACTCATTCTAAAATACACATGGAATCTCAAGAGATCTCAAATAGCCAACACAATCTTTTTTCCCATGTGTCCAAGGCATAAACCAGGTATGGGCACAGACCAAAAGCCAAGCTGGAATAAATAAGGCATTGATTTGTCCCTGGCTTATATGAGATAGGCAGCACCAACCAGACATCACTCTACCCAAGTCAAGGACAACCAATATCATCTTGAAAAAGAACAGAGTTGGAGGAAATCAGGACTTCCTGATTTAAAAACTTACTACACAAAGCTACAATAATTAAAACAGTGTGATATTAACATAAGGATAGACATAATCAATGTGATGGAATAGAGTCCAGAAATAAAATCTCACACATTTGTCAACTAATTTTCAAAAACAAGGGTGCCAAAACCATTCAATGGGGGAAAGAACAGTCTTTTCAACAAATGGTGCTGAGAAAACTAGATATCAACATGTAAAAGAATGAAGTTGGGGCTGGGCGCAGTGGCTCACACCTGTAATCCCAGCACTTTGGGAGGCTGAGGTGGGAGGATCACTTGAGGTCAGGAATTCGAGACCAGCCTGGCCAACATGATGAAACCCTGTCTCTACTAAAAACACAAAATTAGCCAGGCGTGGTGGTGCACACCTGTAATCCCAGCTACTTGGGAGGCTGAGGCAGGAGAATCACTTGAACCCGGGAGGCAGAGGTTGCAGTGAAACGAGATAGTACCATTGCATTCCAGCCTGGGCAACAAGAGTGAAATTCTGTCTCAAACAAAAATAAAATTTAAAAACCCTAAAAGAACCAGCCATTTGCAATTAATGATCATCCCTTCACTGGATATTGATATTGGTTGGATCCCTATTGCAAGGGGATTGCCAAAAAGGTAATAAATTCAGAAATACCTTAATAAAAAACAAGCAACTATTGATGGCAGTGGTTGCCCATCTAGAGTGGCCACTGCCATGACCCTGGCTGCAGTGGGCGAGGTGCAGCCAAGACTGCGTGCTCCACAGAGCTGGTGGGAGCTGGGAACAGGTGGAAGCCCCGCCACCTTCTGAATTGGCAGGGCGGGAGCCTTGCACTTCCTGGGTGCAGTTGTGGCCACCCAGCTGCAGCTGCTGACCCGGGCATCCCTGCGCTCTTGGCGGGGGGAGAGGGGCGGTAGCAGGAAGAAGCCCCACCATCCTGGGTGCAGCTACAGCCACTCAAACGATGGCTGCTGACCTAGGCATCTCTGCCTAGGAAGAGAGACCCAGGAAGCCCCCCTCCCGCAACAGCTCAGAGATGCTTGCTCCCAGTGTCTGGCCCCTCCCTGCTCCTGGTGCCCATTTCAATCTTGGAGCGAGGTTGAGGCTGAGTCTGGGTGATGTTGCAACCCAGCCGGGTGTGTATATGCTTGGGGCAGTGCTGACACACCAGACCCCTGCCGCCTCAGCCCCCTCCAGACTTTGGGCACTGATGAGCATGGGAGGGAGGTCGAGGTAGGGCTGAGGGCAGCTCAGCCCTGGTTTGCAGGCGCCCCTTGACAGAAACAACCTGGGCACCATGAACAGCAACAGGAGGCAGACAGGTTCCTGGGCGGAAAGAGGTGGGTTGCCAGTGAAGCCCCACCTTCAGGGTGGAGAAGGCCTGAAGTCTGGGGGCTGGGCTGCCAGTCCCACAGACCAGAGTGCGAACTTACGGTGCTTTTTCTGGGCCCACCCATGGCCCCCCCATGGACCAGTCAGCATGCACTTTCTCTCCTCTGAAGCCCATATAAAACCTGGACTCATCCATACTCAAAAAGAGAAAACAGGATGACCAGCTGTGGAGAGGAGCTACCCACCCCAGGGTCTCCTCTCTGCTGAGGGCTGAGAAGACAACAGGACAACCTGCCTGTGGAGAGGAGCTACCCATTCTAGAGTTTCCTCTCTGCTGAGGGCTGAACACTTGGGACACCCTGGCTGCAGAGAGGAGCTACCCTCTGTGGGTCTTCTCTGAGCTCTTCTATTGCTCAAAAAAGCTCCTCTTCATCCCGCTCACCCTCCATTTGTCCGTGTACCTCATTCTTCCTGGGCACAGGACAAGAACTCAGTGGGGCTGAAAGAGTTGTAATACAAACAGGGTTGAAACAGGCCCCCTGCTCGCTATGTTGGCAGCAACAAGGAGAGAAGAGCTGCGGCCTTCAGGAAGCCCAGACCTAGGAGCTCTCTGAGCCAGGGCTGTGACACCCTCTTTGGGGCTCTGAGGTTCCTGGCATCTCAAGTTTCTAGGAGCCACCATGTTCCCCAGTGCCAGCCATGGAAGCTGCCTGCGGTATCCCTGGTCCAGCTGCAGCCTCACAGGGCGCCACCACCCATGCTGGTGCCTAGAGCTGCCAGACCCTCCATAGCCAGCGTGCCTGGCTGTGAGCAGTGGCTGGACCCCACGCTCACTCACTCACACACCCCTTCCCACTCTGCTCACCCTTTGCAGGCATGGGATCCAGGCCAGTTGCACGAGCCGAATGCAGCTTGCCAGGCCAAGTGGCCCCAGAGGGCTGTGGGCAAAGGTGCCACTAGCCACAGGGGTTTTCGGCTGGCAAAGTGACACCTCAAGGATCCCATAACAATATGACTATCTAAAAATTGTATAAGTAAAATTTTAAAAGGAGTTATTCGCCATAAACAAAATAAAATCTCTAAATAAAGTATTCATACAAATTAATGAGACAAACAAAATAACACTAACATAACAGAGATCAGGTCATACAACAAAATACTAAGAAGTTATTACAATTCTGTAAAATTCTCTGTTGATGATGAAAAATTAAAGTGTTCAGTTACAAAACTATATATGGGCTAGTCCCATTTCCATTTTTTAAAAATTTTGTTTATATGTGGATCAAAGGAATCTGGAAGAACAGAATGATAGTCTCAGAATAGAAGAGAATTTGAATGTTTTTTTTGTTGTTGTTTTGTTTTTGTTTTTGTTTTGAGATGGAGTCTTGTTCTGTCACCCAGGCTGGAGTGCAGTGGTGTGATCTCAGCTCACTGCAAGCTCCGCCTCCTGGGTTCACGCCATTCTCCTGCCTCAGCCTCCCCAGCAGCTGGGACTACAGGCTCACGACACCACGCCCGGCTCATTTTTTTGTATTTTTAGTAGAGACAGGGTTTCACCCCATGTTAGCCAGGATGATCTTGATCTCCTGACCTCGTGATCCACCCAAAGTGCTGGGATTACAGGCGTGAGCTACAGCGCCTGGCCAAGAATTTGAATGTTTTAATATAGTCTTTCCACCTGTCTTTTTTTTTTTTTAATTACAGTAATGTACTGACTTTTGTAAAAATTTTATTCAAAATGTCATTTTAGAAAAAAATGAAAAAAGCTAAATGCTACAGAGATAGTAACCAACCAGAACAAGTACTACACAAGCATTCCTGTGTGTCTATTCTTCTGTTAGTGTATGTCACCTGATTTGTCATCTATCAACCATAAGGCCAGTGATGAGTTACAGTGCAACCCAATGTTTTCTTTCCATTCCAGAGCTCTACTGATTTCCATTCCCAAATGTAATATCCTCTAGGATTCTGCCTTTTTATTGTCCTCCCAATTCATGGGCTGAAAGGCGGCAAATTCTCCTGGTTTGCCTTTTTTTTTTTTTTTTTTTTTTGAGACGGAGTCTCGCTCTGTCGCCCAGGCTGGAGTGCGGTGGTGCGATCTCGGCTCACTGAAAGCTCCACCTCCCGGGTTCATGCCATTCTCCTGCCTCAGCCTCCCGAGTAGCTAGGACTACAGGCACCTGCCACAATGCCCGGCTGATTTTTTGTATTTTTAGTAGAGACGGGGTTTCACCGTGGTCTCAATCTCCTGACCTCATGATCCGCCCACCTCGGCCTCCCAAAGTAGCGGGGCCACAGGTGTGAGCCACCGCGCCCGGCCCCTGGTTTGCCTTTCAATTACTACCATTATAAGGTAGTAAGTAATCAAACCCCCTAATCTGTTGACTGATTTTGCTTTTCCTTATTGCAATCTGGAAAGCCCTCTTCTTTCTCATTCAGGTTAGAGTCTACAATCCCTCATCTCAACAGTATTTGATAACCTCTTTGGACAGGACATACCCCATTCTGGAGGAGATGCATACCTTACCACCCGCCTTGAAGAATTTGAGTGCTACTTAAGAAAGTTTAACAGCAGGTCAACTTGTTACCAAGGGGTATGAAAAACAAAAAGGGAGGAAAAAGAAAATTAAACCCCTGGGCCAGGCGCGGTGGCTCACACCTGCAATCCCAGCGCTTTGGAAGGCCAAGGCAAGCGGATTGCCTGAGGTCAGGAGTTCGAGACCAGCCTGGCCAACGTGGTGAAACCCCGTCTCCACTAAAAATACAAAAATTAGCCAGGGTACCTGTAATCCCAGCTACTTGGGAGGCTGAGGCAGGAAAATCATATGAACTTGAACCCTGGAGGCGGAGGTTGCAGTGAGCCAAGATCACACCACTGTACTCAAGCCTGAGCAACAGGGTAAGACTCTCTCTCAAAAAAAAAAAATAAATAAATAAACCCCTAATTATAGAATTAATTATAATAGTATCTGTAAATTGATGATCAACATCAATGGTGCCCTTCAATCAAGTCTACAATGCTACTAGGTTTCTGTAGAGAACTTTCTCTCTCTTTACAAAAACTATTTGTGTGTTTTTTGTTTGTTTGTTTGTTTGTTTGTTTGTTTTTTGAGACAGAGTCTCGCTCTGTTGCCCAGGCTGGAGTGCAGTGGCGCGATCTTGGCTCACTGCAAGCTCTGCCTCCTGGGTTCACGCCATTCTCCTGCCTCAGCCTCCTGAGTAGCTGGGACTACAGGCGCCCGCCACCACGCCCGGCTAATTTTTTGTATTTTTTAGTAGAGACGGGGTTTCACCATGTTAGCCAGGATGGTCTCGATCTCCTGACCTCGTGATCCACCCACCTCAACCTCCCAAAGTGCTGGGATTACAAAGTGTGAGCCACAGCGCCCGGCCTACAGAAACTATTTCAAACATTCTCCATGATTGTCCAACTGTGAAATCACCCAAACTTCCCTCTGCTCCACAACAGGACACTTCATGCCATTTTTTGCGGAAAAAACCTAAAGCTATCATATGGAAGCTCCTTAAACTCTCCATTACTAAATCTACAAACTTTTTTCATCTACATCCATCTTAATCCATCTTCTTTATCTTCTTTCCCTTCTGTTCCTTCTCCCCTCTAAGGCCCATTTTAAATCCTATCCCCTCTCATCTGTCCCCAAAACCTGATATTCTTTATCATCACTGATGTTCTGTCTGTATATTCAAAACACTCTTGGTGTTTGAATCACCTTCTTGGACTTATCTCATGTAAATCTCACTCCTCAGAGTCACTAATTTCAGAAAAGATTAAACTGGTTCTTGACACTTTATAAAGAAAAGAAATATGAGGAAAATGATTTTGAAACACAAGTCTGATCATGTTACCTTTCTGTTAAAGCTCATTTCTTTTTTTTTTTTTTTTTTTTTGTGACGGAGTTTCGCTCGTTTCCCAGGCTGGAGTGCAATGGTGCGATCTCGGCTCACCGCAACCTCCACTCCTGGGTTCAAGCAATTCTCCTGCCTCAGCCTCCTGAGTAGCTGGGACGACAGGAATGCACCACCACACCCGGCTAATTCTGTATTTTTAGTAAAGATGAAGTTTTTCCATCCATGTTGGTCAGGCTGGTCTCAAACTCCCAACCTCAGGTGATCCTCCCGCCTCGGCCTCCCTAAGTGCTGGGATTACAGGCATGAGCCACTGCGCCTGGCCACACTGCCTTTTTATGGTGCTAAGGGTACAAGGAGAGTTCATGACCCAGAACCACACACATACTCACGAACACCTGCCCCTCTGTAATGCTGGGAATTTTTGATTAAAACCCTTCTGAAAAAAGACCTTAAACCTACCGTCCATCTTCTAATTTCCTTATAATAAATCATTACAAAATAACAACTGAGACCACATCTAATATTTAAAGTCAACAAAAACTTTAGAGTGGGCATCTGTTGGTGTTTTCATTGTTTATAAGCACTCTACCTTAAACACTGTAATATAGGATTCGTTAAATAACTTTTTATTCATTAGGAAAGAAAGCTCTATAGTAAACCATCATGACTCCTCGTACCTGGTGTATAAGTAAAACGTTGAGACTGGCTTTTTTTCCTCTTGCCATTGCAAAGATAAAAGTGCACCTGCACTGCAGCTGTAACTGCTGGGTTATGATATGGAGGAACTTCAAGGACAATGTGAGCCTAAGGATGGAAAGCAAGATTGTGTTACACTCAGAACTAAAAATGAAATGCACCTGTTAAACACATCACAACTCATGAGTCTTAACTACAAGGCTCCAGCATAGATAATTATGCACATCAGCTAGTCATATACATCATCTGGAGATTTACTAAAGGGATACTTCAGTCTTGAAAGAGTAAGTCTTTTAATCAATAAAAGAGAAATTGCTTTTTACTCACCCAATTGGGTTTCTGGTTGTAGCAGAAGTAAAAAGTCTTACATACTATGTAGTGAGATGTTTTACTCTACTGAATATTACATGTTACTATGTATCTTAACAGTAAATTCATTCTGATTTTTAATTAGGTTTAATGGTTCCCAAGTAGCATTATAGTTTAGATTTCTTATTTTAAATTTTATATTCAAAATGTTCTAAACTGGAGCCAGGTGTGATAGCTCATACTTGTAATCCCAGCACTTTGGGAGGCTGAGGTGGGCGGATCACTTGAGGTCAGGAGTTTGAGACCAGCCTGGCCAACATGTTAAAACCCTATCTCTACTAAAAATACAAATTAGCCAGGCATGATATTGCACGCCTGTAGTCCCAGCTACTCAGGAGTCTGAGGCAGGAGAATCGCTTGAACCCGGGAGGCAGAGGCTGCAGTGAGCCGAGACTACACCACTGCACTCCAGCCTGCACGACAGAGCTAGACTCCATCTAAAAATAAATAAATAAAAATTAAAAAAATAAAATAATCCAAATGTTCTAAACTGGCATTAAACAAAATGTGTTATCTATATCAAAAATAATTTTACAAAACCAAGGTGAAAATCTTTAGCCCCAAACCAAATACAATCCTCAACCTAACTGCTCCAAATCTTTGGAAAGCACTGTGGGAAGTGGTATTCCCTAGCCCAGAAAATGCTCTGTCTCCATTCCAACCACCATAACAAGACCAAAACTTTCAATGTAGAATCCTAGAAAGCTTAACTAAATAGCTGAAGAGTTAGAAATATGTGTTAAGTACACAATTCCTAAGGACTTGTCTTGCTCCTAACTTTTACCCACTACATATGTTCTTTCTCATTTTTCCATGAAGGCCTATACATATGTTCTTTATTGAATTTGTTTTTATTCCTAAATGAGTTCAGAGAAATTAATGATAATTTCAATAAGAACCTTCTGATGATCTTTCATTTCTAGTTTCTCCTTCCCTATATACAATAAGGAGAAAAGAAGACACTAACTGGTTATCTTTTCTAAACTTTAATTTAATTTACTTTAATACTAGGTAAATATTTTACTTCCAAACCGCTAGAAATTTTACTTTTTTAGACAGGGTCTCACTCTGTCACTCAGGCTGCAGTGCAGTGGCATGATCATGGCTCACTGCAGCCTTGACCTCCCAGGCTCAGGTGATCCTCCCACCTCAGCCTCCCAAGTGGCTGGCACTACAGGCGCACCTCACCACGCATGGCTAATTTTTTGTATTTTAGAGACAGGGTTTTACCATGTTGCTCGGGCTTGTCTCAACTCCTGGGCTCAAACAATCCTCCTGCTTCAGACTCCCAAAGTGCTGGGATTACAGGCATGAGCCACCATGCCCAGCCTAATTTTACTTTTTTATTAATCAATATACAAAAGAGTCATCCATACCATAAAGCAGCATTATTCAATTTTCTATTCAGTGTCTTAAATATTTCTTAAGAATTAAGGTAAATTTCTTACCCCTTGACATTTTTCCCTGATTATCTTCCCTTCTACCTCCCACTGAGGTCGTCCATCTATTGAAAGAAAGAGTTTATAGTTAAAAGCAATTCATATCAGAAAGCATACAGACAAAATCTAATGCATGGATAGTATCACAAATTTATTAACAAAGGGGATCTTTTTTCCACTGACTTCCATTATGAAAATAAAATATAAATATGTACAAATGGGGAAAATACAAGGAGAAAGATCTTGGGCTGCCCAGGTTAGCAGATCCCACTGAGTTCATTCTAACCATCTACCCAAGTGATGTTTAAAAGCCCTCTGAGAGATACCATCTCACACCGGTTAGAATGGCGATCATTAAAAAGTCAGGAAACAACAGGTGCTGGAGAGGATGTGGAGAAATAGGAACACTTTTACACTGTTGGTGGGACTGTAAACTACTTCAACCATTGTGGAAGACAGTGTGGCGATTCCTCAAAGATCTAGAACTAGAAATACCATTTGACCCAACCATCCCATTGCTGGGTATATACCCAAAGGATTATAAATCATGCTGCTATAAAGACACATGCACACATATGTTTATTGTGGCACTATTCACAACAGCAAAGACTTGGAACCAACCCAAATGTCCATGAATGATAGACTGGATTAAGAAAATGTGGCACATATACCCCATGGAATACTATGCAGCCATAAAAAATGATGAGTTAATGTCCTTTGTAGGGACATGGATGAAGCTGGAAACCATCATTCTCAGCAAACTATCACAAGGACAAAAAACCAAACACCGCATGTTCTCACTCATAGGTGGGAATTGAACAATGAGAACACACTTGAGACACAGGAATGGGGAATATCACACACTGGGGCCTGTCGTGGGGTGGGGGAAAGTGGAAGGGATAGCATTAGGAGATATATCTAATGTAAACGACAAGTTAATGGGTGCAGCACACCAACATGGCACATCTACACCTATGTAACAAACCTGCAAGTTGTGCATATGTACCCTAGAACTTAAAGTATAATTTAAAAAAAATAAAAATAAAAAACAAATAAAAGCCCTCTGAGAACACCGCCATCAAGTGGTGGCCAACTTTTGCTTGTACAACTAAAATGACAGGAAACTCACTTCCTCACCAGGTAACTCATTCCATCTTGGATAATAAATGCTGCTAGAAAGCTCCTCGTGATAAATGAAATGTCTCTTTATGGTATCCAACAACTAGGCTAAACATTATTCCTTGCCGTCACAAAATAAAATCTTGATTGCTTCTCTGTGAGATTATATTTCAGATGTTGAAAAGCTGTTATATCTGCTTGTGTCTCCTCTCCTACTGGCTAGCATCCCCAGTTCTGTGCCTATTCCTTACATAATATTTTAGACTTCATGGTCTCTGCTTAAACGTGCTCCTCCAAATTCACAAGGCCCAGGACTGAATAACCTAGGTGAGAAATGACCAAGCATGGTACAGAATGACTGAGGCTCTAACCACCGTACACGGAAATGCTGTGTCTTTGTTAATGAAAGCTTTCTTGGGGTGCAGGCGGGGAAGCTTTCTTGGGAGCACCATATGCTGACTCTCACAATAAGTATGTGACCAAGGGTCTATACATTTCCTACTGCCATGTTCCCATACTGTGCACTTAATGCAGCTGAGTTGGTATTTTTCTCCCAGCCCTTTGGAACATTACTTACTCCCAGCAGGGAGACTTCATTTTGTTGGATCCCTTGACTTGTCAAAATATTTTTTAGATACTGATGGTCCTAAAAAATGTTTCCTAGGCTTTCCAGATTTCTGTCACCTGAAGATTTGGCCAACACATTTTCTGTCTCTTCATCCTAAGTGAACTACTCATTTGGAGACAGCCTTATCTGCTACTAAAGCTCTCCGACTGATGTACAATTATTCCAAAGCATTCTTTTTGTGTCATGGGCATTCACCCAGTGACTAAGCCACACACAGCTTGCATCACTTCTTCATCTGGTCTGTGAAGTTATCATGAAATATTTCATCAAATGCTTTCCAGGTTGTAACTATCATTTTCCAGTCCAGTAACTAGACAATGGTTACTTCTGCTGCACAAGAGATACTACAGGCAAGTGCTACACCTACTTAAAATTACAGCTCAGTTCAGCAACCATTTGCTGGATCCTTATGTGCCAGACACTTCATGTTACTGAGATAACTGAGACAGGATGCCCTGCCTTCAGCCTGTGGATGAAAGGCAAACGCAAACAGTTGATTATAATAAAATGTGTTGGGTACAATAATTAATAAAGGTACACTCTGAATAAACCAAGAACACAGGGATCAGGGTCTTCAACCTAATCTTGGGGAGGGGTAGTGAGAGAAGGAAGGCTTCCTGGAAGAGCTCTTGAACTGAGACTTAACATGAGACAGAACTCATAATATGAGGAAAGGGTAATTATAGACAGAAGAGACAGCATGAGCACAGGCAAGATGACATGAACCCCTAAGATATAGAGACTTAACAAGCAGCTGTGATGCTGTATAAAGTATGAGGCAAGGAGCAGTAAGAAAGAGGGTTGGAAAGACTGGCAGCAGATTATGGCCTGAATGCCATAATAAGGAGCCTAGAAAATGAAGGGGATCACTGAAGGTGCTTTTAAAATGGGAGTTACATGTTTACAACTGCAATCTCCTCTAAAACCAGTAACTGCCACCATTTAACATGATTCAACTTCAGTCAAAAGCTCTTAAATGTGAAGCTCTGGGCCAAATAAATGAATTCAATAATACCTATTAATTGTATTCATGCACAGATGAATTTTTACAGTGGAAAGGAAGGGACAGCTCTGAGACACCGTCTCTTCCTCCTGCTCCTTATTCACCTAAAATGTGACACCTACAGAAAGACCTTTCTTGATGACTTGATACAAACAGTTCACAATTCAGTCTCTATCACTATACCCTCTTCATACAATTTTATCTGGAATAATCTTGTTCATTTATTTGTTTATAGGTGCTTCCCCCACTACAATGTAAGCTCTATCAGAGCACACAACCTGAAGGTTGTATTCAACATTATGTCCCCAATGCCTAGACTAGTGTCTATATCACATAGCACTGCTACATAAATAATTGATGAATTAATAAATTATGAAACAGAACTGATGTTTTTTGAAGACAGGCAGGGTATGGGTCAGGGTTGAAGGGAAGTTAATTTTAAAGGAGAATAAGACAGCCACATACTTCCAGCTCAAAGAGAAGATGCTGATATTATTAATCAAGTTAAGAAACCCAGAGAGAAAAACTAGTTTGTAAAGTCAGATATGTTTTCATATTTTAAGTATCAGTGAGACATTTATGAAGCAATATCCAGTGGGTATTTTAAATTTCAGGTTAAAGTTTAAGAGAAACATGTTGCTACAGAGAGAGATTTGGGAGCTAATAAAATTTCTCAAAAAGAAGGAAAACAATGAGAAGAAAAATAAGTAGAAAACCTTAGAAAACATCTATATTTAAGAGCCAGAAAAATTCGTATAAAAAAACAAACAAGAATAAAGATGTGTGAGAACCAGATAACAACAAAGCCAAGGGGGAAAAGTGTTAAGAAGGAGAGTAAGTAGCTGGCTGTCAAATTTTTAGGTGATTATGATTTCAATGAAGTGAAAGACAAAAGATTAAAGAGTAGCAGGTAAGGAAATGAAAGCATATGATACTACTTTTTTGAGAGGGTGGATGCTAAGCGATAGAGAAATGAAACAAAAGCTTAAGAGGATGACAGATTTAAGAGAAAGGGAATATTTAGGATGAGAAGACATAAACATAATTAAACTCCAAGAAGAAGGATCCAGTAGAAAAAGATAGAGAAATTATAAAAGAGAGGTGATGGGGGCACCGTATAGCCTTTAATACTTAAGTTTTAAAAAGACAAAAGAATGAAAACATTAAAATTTTAATTAAGAAAAAACATAATAAAAAAAGTAAAAAGAAGTTAAATATAGAAATCAGTGAAACAGAAAGGCACACTGAAAGGTTTGATAAAGCCAAGAACTATGGAAAGACTGGTAAAAAATCCAGAAATGGCATAAATAAATAACAGGAATAAAAGAGTGGGGGGATATAACTCCAGATGCAAAAAGAGAATACTGTGAGTTAATTAATGTCAATAGATTTGAAAATGTAGGGGAAAGGAATAAAGTCCTAGAAAAATATATATGACCAGGCGGGCACATAGGCTCACGCCTGTAATCCAAGGACTTTGGGAGGCCAAGACGGGCGGATCACCTGAGATCAGGAGTTCAAGACCAGCCTGGCCAACATGGTGAAACCCCATCTCTATTTAAAAAAATACAAAAATTAGCCAGGCGTGGAGGCAGGTGCCTGTAATCCCAGCTATTTGGGAGACTGAGGCAGGAGAATCACTTGAACCCGGGAGGCAGAGGCTGCAGTGAGCCAAGACCACACCACGGCATTGCATGCAGCCTGGGAAACAAGAGCGAAACTCCATCCCAAAATTAAAAAAACAAAAAAAAAAAAAAGAAAAGAAAAGAAAGAAAGAAAAATATATATGACCAGAACAAACTCAAGAAGAAACAAATCTGACTAGTCCTACAACCACAAATAGAAATATATCACAAGTTAATGGCTCCCCACAAAGACAGTCCCCTGTCCAGAAGGTTTTGGAGGTGAGCTCTGTCACATGTGCAAGGGAACATGAGAGTACTCAACAGATACTGTTAATGAATGGAAAAAGAAGAAGCACTTCCCCCAAATCACTCTGATATCCGGAATATATAAAGAATTCCTTAAGTCACTAAGAAAATGAAAAATGATCCAATGGAGAAAACAGGCAAAGACACAGTTATTGCATAGTAAATGAAATATTAATGGTCCATAACAACCTCAACAGCTATCAGGGAAATTCAAACCCAAATTTCAAAATACCATTTCACCTCTAGTGGATTAAAAAAATTTAAGAATTTTAATATTCTTGCCTATGCCTACCAGGTACAGCAGTGCCAAAAACTGGACAATATCGAAATATCCAGTAAGAGAAAGGATAATAAATTGTGGTACATTCATACAACGAAAAACTTTATAGTAGTGAAAGGTCTTCAGTTACATGGATCAGTCTTAAAACATTAAGACCTCTGAAAATACAATTTTTCAAAGAATAGAGGCAATATCGTACAAAGTCCAAAAACAGAAAAAAAAAAAAAAGATGTTGAGCATTTAGGTTGTTTCCATTTTTTGGCAATTATAAATAGTTTTATATGGTTGAAAAGCAAGGGTTACAGCCGGGTGCGGTAGCTCACGCCTCTAATTCCAGCACTTTGGGAGGCCGAGACGGGTGGATCGTGAGGTCAGGAGTTAGAGACCAGCCTGGCCAATATGGTGAAACCCCATTTCTACTAAAAATCCAAAACTTAGCTGGGCATGGTGGTGGGCGCCTGTAATCCCAGCTACTCGGGAGGCTGAGGCAGGAGAATTGCTTGAACACGGAGGTGGAGGTTGCAGTGAGCTGAGATAGTGCCACCGCACTCCAGCCGGGGTAACAGAGCGAGGCTCCGTCTCAAAAAAAAGAAAAGCAAGGGTCAATTCAGATGATGGTTCCATTTGAGAAGGGGGACCCAGGGGCTTTCAAAGGTAAATGTATTTCTTAAACTTGGTAGTAGGTTTAAGTATTTGTTATATTATATTATTCTTATAAAAACAGTCTTTCATGACTGGCGCGTAGATCCTAGCACTTTGGGAGGCTGAGGTGGGCAGATCACTTGAGGTCAAGAGTTTAAGAACCAGCCTAGCCAAGGTGGCAAAATCCCGTGTCTACCAAAAATACAAAAATTAGCCAGGTGTGGTGGCGTGTGCCGGTAATCCCAGCTACTCGGGAGGCTGAGGCAGGAGAATCGCTTTAACCTAGGAGGCGGAGGTTGCAGTGAGCCAAGATTGTGCCATTGCACTCCAGCCTAGCCAACAGAACAAGTCACTGTCTCAAAAAAAAAAAGTCTTTCATAAGTTTTAAACATTTTTAAAACTGAGAGGAAACAACTGATGTAAAAGTGTTTTAAATATGCACAAGAAGGAATAAAATCAAACACCCTGATAAACACTGAATTCTTCTACTTTAAAAATAATTGAGGTATAATTCACATACTATAAAATCCATCCTTTTAAAGTATACTACTCAGAGGGTTGGGGGATATTCACAGAGCAGTACAACCATCACCACTATCTAATTCCAGAAGATTTCCATCACTCCAAAAGGAAACCCAGTTCCCATCAGCAGTCACTCACTACTGACAACTTCCTCCAACCACTGGTAAGCACTAATCTACTTTTGGTTTCTGGATTGCCTATACTGGACATTTTATACAAATGGAGTCATATACTATGTGTCCTTTTATGCTGGCTTCCTTCACTTAGCCTATTTTCAGGGTTTATCCATGCTGTAGCATGTATGAGTACTTCATTAATTTTTATAACCAAGTAATATTCCATTGTATGGATATATCACATTTTGTTTATCCATTCATCAGTTGGTGAGCATTTAGGTTGTTTCCATTTTTTGGCAATTATAAATAAAGTTGCTATAAATATTTGTCTCTAAGTTCATGTACGGACACGTATTTCTAACCCTTTCAAGTAAACACTTAGGAGTAGAGTTGCTGGGGGAATTCTACTTTTCAGACATCTTAAATTATTATTATTACATTATTATTTAGAAACAAGGTTTCACTCTGTTGCCCAGGCTGAGGAGTGAAGTGCCACAATCAGAGCTCACTGTAACCTAGAACTTCTGGGCCTAAGTGATCCTCCTGCCTCAGCCTTCTGAGTAGCTGGAACTACAGGCACATGCCACCATGCCCAGCTCCTTAAAGATAATTTAACATTTATATGAAAATTTAATAAATGTTTGGTTTAAAATAAAATCAAGTGCAAAATGACACCCATAGCTTTATGAAAACTACTTTGTAATTTTTGTTACAGAAACATCTAAATAATTTATTTTACCCTTTGCCCCTTAGTTTGAAGTCAATCAACTCATATATTACTTACCTTGTCCTTTTTCAAGAAAAATGATTTTGGATTCTGGAAGAAAATTAGATCCAGTCACAACCATTTCATGACCTCCATTTACAGAACAACTGTTGATACTGTACTTCTCAATATGAGGAAGTTCTTGAGCAGACCGCTGGGCTGTTTTAAATTTTTTTAAAGAGTTGAGAAAAAACAAAATATTAGTTAAAAATCTTTGATACATAAATGACAAACTCAAGCTACAAAAAGAAAATAAAGAGAAGCAAATTTTGGGATTCATTTAGGCTTTTAAAATTCAAGACAATGGCAACAAAACACACTAAAAGAACTAAGCTGTTTATAAAACAAAATAGATATATTAATGTGATTTCTAAGTATATTTATTTAAGAAAGGGTCTCACTCTGTTGCCCAAATTGGAGCACAGTGATGTGATCCTAGCTCCCTGCAGCCTCCAGTTCCTGGGCTCAAGTGATGCTCCCATCTCAGTCTCCCAAGTAGCTGGGGTTACAGATGCATGACACCATGCTCAGCTAATTTTTTTTTTTAATAGCAACATGGTCTCACTTTGTCGTCCAGCCTGGTCTCAAACTCCTGGCTTCAAACAATCCTCCTGCCTTGGCCTCCCAAAGTGCTGGCATTATAGGCTTGAGCCACCACACCCAGCCAATTATTTTCTTAGACTACAACTATAAAGAAACTAATAAAACTTCATTAATATCTTCAACTTCATACTGACTCCAACACATTTACCTCATCTGCTTTTCTTTTTGCTTAAATGTTTAATATGTTTCTTCTATGCAACTATCCGTTAAAATCTATAAATCTAATTACAAAAAGCATGTAAGTCCAAAGATGTATAATTATATTGCGTGCAATGAAGAGAAGACAAGTTCTAGGAAACTACTACTAGACAAACACCAAGTAAGCCTTTCTTTTTAAATTCATTTTATTTATTTATTTTTTTTGAGACAGAGTCTTGCTGTGTCGCCCAGGCTGGAGTGCAGTGGTGTGATCTCGGCTCACCGCAACCTCTGCCTCCCAGGTTCAAGTGATTCTCCTGCCTCAGTCTCCTGAGTAGCTGGGATTACAGGCATGTGCCACCATACCCGGCTAATTTTTTTATTTCTGGTAGAGACGGGGTTTCACCATGTTGGTCAGGCTGTTCTCAAACTCCAGACTTCAGGTGATCTGCCCGCCTCAGCCTCCCAAAGTGCTGGGATTACAGGTGTGAGCCACCGCGCCCGGCCTATATTTTTATTTTTTTTAAAGACAGAGACTTGCTCTGTTGCCCAGGTTATTTATTGCCCAGTGTGGCATGATCAGCTCACTGCAGCATCAAACTCCTGGGCTCAAGCAATACTCCCACCTCAGCCTCCCAAGTAGCTGGGACTACAAGCATGTGCCACCGTGCCTGGCTGATTTTTAATATTTTATTTTTGTAGAGATAGGGTCTCACTTTGTTGCCCAGGCTGTTCTCGAACTCCTGGGCTCAAGTGATCCTCCCACATTGGCCTCCCAAAGTGCTGGGATTACAGGTGTGAGCCACTGGGCCCAGATATTTACATTATCAACTTCTATAAACAGTGCTTACGGTGCCACCTTTCTCTGATAATGACTGGTTCCAAGTTGCTACATTTTCTGGAGATTCTATTTCTGGCATTTCTTTCTTTTAATTGCTTGAGTTTCAAACTGTAGATTATACTTCTTTTCATTGTGTAGGTTCTCTAACGGTTGTTTTTGTTTGTTGGATTTCAGAAACGGTCATGCACTGTCACCAAGGATGAAGTGCAATGGCATGATCACAGCTCTGCAGCCTCAACCTTCTGTGCTCAAGTGATCTTCAGATCTCACCCTCCCTAGGAGCTGGGACTATAGGAATGCATTACCATACACAACTAAAAAAAAATTTTTTTTGTAGAGACAGGGTCTTATTATGTTACCCACGCTGGTCTCCAACTCCTGGGCTCAAGCAGTCCTTCTGGACATAAGCAGTACTCCTGCCTAGGCCTCCCAAAGAGTTGGGATTACAGGTGTGAGTCGGCATACCTGACCTCTAATGGTTTTTTCTTGCCAAATACCTAGATACCTAGGTTTCTCTCTGAATTAAAACAAATTTTAAAAGTGTTGATTATATCTCTTCACATTTGGAAAACAGGTCCACTTTTACTTCTAGTATGTGGGTGGGAAAACTGGTGGGTTTGAAGATCAGCTGTGTTTTCTTTGGCTAGCAGAGTATTTTAAGGAAATTTAAAATGCAATGCCATTAGGAAAGCATCCATTCCCAGCTCACAACAGCTCTCAAGTACTTAATACCTAGCCACAAAAGTACATAAATTGGGACGCCAGCCCGATTCAAAGAGAGTATTATAATCAATTCTTTCATAGAAGATGCCTACGTGGGCCAGGCGCGGTGGCTCACGCCTGTAATCCCAGCACTTTGGGAGGCTGAGGTGGGCGGATAACGAGGTCAGGAGTTCGAGCCAATGAGCCCAACCTGAACACACTTTTGCTGTTACTTAGAACGTACCTGTAGTCACCAACATGGTGAAAACCCGTCTCTACTAAAAATACAAAAATTAGCCAGGTGTGGTGGTGCACGCCTGTAATCCTGGCTACTCTGGAGGTTGAGGTAGAAGAATCACTTGAACCCAGGAGGCGGAGGTTGCAGTAAGCCGAGATCGCGCCACTGCACTCCACCCCTGGGCGAAACAGCGAGACTCCATCATAAAAAAAAGAAAAGAAAAAAGATGTGTATGCAGCCAGGCGTGGTGGCTCACGTCTGTAATCCCAGCACTTTGGAAGGCAGAGGCAGGTGGATCACCTGAGGTCAGGAATTTGAGACTAGCCTGGCCAACATGGTGAAACCCCATCTTTATTTAAAAATAAAAAAATTAGTCGGGCACAGTGGTGCATGCCTGTAATCTCAGCTATTTGGGAGGCTGAAGCAGGAGAATCTCTTGAACCTGGGAGGCGAAGATTGCAGCTAGCCAAGATCATGCCATTGCACTCCAGCCTGGGCAACAGAGTGAGACTCTGTCTCAAGAAAAAAAAAAAAAAAGATAGGTATGGGATTTAGGATCAGTTATTACTTGGGATGTACCAAGCACCAACCTAGATCTCAGAAAATACTCATGTCTCTACTGTTCTAAATAGGACATAGAGAAGGGTCCGGAAAACAAACACTGATTACAGGTACATTCTAAGTAACAGCAAAGTGTGCACAGGCTGGGTGCGTTGGCTCACACCTATAATCCCAGCACTTTAGGAGACCAAGGCCGGCAGATCATCTGAGGTCAGGAGTTCAAGATCAACCTGGCCAACATGGTGAAACCCCATCTCTATTGAAAAATACAAAAATTAGCCAGGCGTGGTGGTAGGCACCTGTAATCACAGCTATTCGGGAGGCTGAGCCGGGGGAATTGTTTGAACCCAGGAGGCAGAGGTTGCAGTGAGCTGAGATCGTGCCACTGTACTCCAGCCTGGGCGACAGAGCAAGACTCCATCTCAAAAAAATAAAATAAAAATGTGTTCAACAGATGGCATAAACATGCCAAAAAACTACTTGCGTGATGAAAATAATATTTTTGAAGAATATTTAATAACAGAAGAAAACATCTATGATAGTATAAGTGAAAACTGCAAAACGATATAAAACTGTATCAGATAAGCCCAATTAAAAAACATTGTGTGTGTATGTGTGTTTACAAAAAGACATACAAATACAATAAAAGAAAATCGAGGCCGGGCGCAGTGGCTTACGCCTGTAATCCCAGCACTTTGGGAGGCTGAGGTGGGCAGATTACTTGAAGTCAGGAGTTCAAGACCACTGTGACCAACATGGTAAAACCCCATCTCTACTAAAAATACAAAAATCAGCTGTGTGTGGTGGTGGGCACCTGTAATCCCAGCTACTTGGGAGGCTGAGGCACAATAATTACTTGAACCTGGGAGGCAGGGGTTGCAGTCAGCCGAGATTGCGCCACTGCACTCCAGCCTGGACCACACAGGGAGACTCCGTCTCAAAAAAAAAAAAAAAAGAACAGCCAGAAAAGGTTAATACTGACTATATATAAATAGTAATATTACAAAATAATTTAATATTATACTATTCTTTGTACCATTTTGTGCTTTTTTTTTTTTTTTTTGAGACAGAATCTCGTTGTTGCCAGGATGAAGTACAACGGCATGATCTCGGCTCACTGCAACCCAGCCTCCCAGGTTCAAGTGATTCCTTTGCCTCAACCTCCCAAGTAGCTGGGACTACAGGCACACGCCACCACGCCCATCTAATTTTTGTATTTTTAGTAGAGATGGGGTTTCATCGTGTTGGCCAGGATGGTGTCGATCTCTTGACGTCGTGATCTGCCCACCTCGGCCTCTCAAAGTGCTGGGATTACAGGCGTGAGCCACCATGCCCAGCCCCATTTTGCATTTTCTATATTCTCAATAATCACGTTAATTTTATTTTTATTTTTTATTTATTTTTGAGATGGAGTCTCACTCTGTCGCCCAGGCTGGAGTGCAGTGGTGCTCCTAGAATTTCTCTACATCCCACCTTTCTCCCCACTCCATCCATTTCCTTTCTTTCTTTTGAGATGGAGTTTCGTTCGTTGCCCAGTCTGGAGTGCAATGGCGTGATCTCAGCTCACTGCAACCTCCGCCTCCTGGGTTCAAGCGGTTCTCCTGCCTCAGCCTCTGGAGTAGCTGGGATTACAGGCACGTGCCACCATGCCCAGCTAATTTTTGTATTTTTCGCAGAGACAGGGTTTCACCATGTTGGCCAGGCTGGTCTCAAACTCCTGACCTCAGGTGATCCACCTGCCTTGGCCTCCCAAAGTGCTGGGATTACAGTTATGAGCCACGGCGCCTGGCCAATTTTATTTTTAAAAAAAGAAAAAAAATTAAGAATCATTTTAGCGTAACTTCATCTCAAACACTCAAACTACTCTATGAACTTAAATTATTTAAATTACTTTGCCAGCCGAGCATGGTGGCTCAAGCCTGTAATCCCAGCACTTTGAGAGGCCAAGGTGGGCAGATCACTTAAGTCCAGGAGTTCAAGATCAACCTGGGCAACATGGGGAAAAATGCAAAAATCAGTCAGTTGTGGTGGCTTGTGCCTGTAGTCCCAGCTACTTGGGAGGCTGAGGTGGGAGGATTGCTTAAGCCTGGGAGGCGGAGGCTGCAGTGAACCAAGATCATGCCATTGCACTCCAGCCTGGGCAAAAGAGTGAGACCCTGCTCAAATAAATGAATTAATAACTTTACTTTAAAATAGAGTGATCTATGCTTACCTGGGCATAGAACCCTCTGGCAGGATAATTAAGAAGCTGGCAATGGTAGCTGTTTCTAAGCAAGAGAACTGGTTGACTTGGAAATTTATCTTGTACTCTATATTTCTGAATTTTGTAGCATATACCTATATTACCCATTAAAAAGTTAATATAGGCTGAATGTGGTAGCTCATGCCTATAATCCCAGAACTTTGGGAGGCTGAGATGGGAGGATCACTTGTGCCCAGGAGTTCGAGACCAGCTTGAGAAACACAGTGAGACCCTATCTATACAAAGAATATATTTTTTAAATTTTAAAAATACAAAAATTAGTTCTACAGCTAATTCACCACAGATTTACTCAGTGATTCCCAGAGTCAACTGGCAAATGATAAAGTATCACTCCAATTCAGCGAACAGCAAAAGAAGGCATGAAAGATTTTATAGCAGATGTGGCCCCAAATTAAGAATACAGGGCTGGGTGCGGTGGCTCACGCCTGTAATCTCAGCACTTTGGGAGGGCAAGGTGGGCAGATCACGAGGTCAGGAGTTCGAGACTAGCCTGGTGAATATGGTGAAACCCCGTCTCTACTAAAAATACAAAAATTAGCTGGGTGTGGTGGCACACGCCTATAATCTCAGCTACTCAGGAGACTGAGGCAGGAGAATCACTTGAACATGGGAGGTGGAGGTTGCAGTGAGCCAAGATCGTGCCATTGCACTCGAGCCTGGATGAAAGAGGGAGGCTCCGTCTAAAAAATAATAATAATAATAATAATAATAATAAAAGAATACAAGCTGGGTGCAGTGGCTCACACCTGTAATCCCAGCACTTTGGGAGGCTGAGGTGGGCAGATCACTTCAAGTCAGAATTTCGAGACCAGCATGGCCAACATGGTGAAACCTCGTCTCTACTAAAAATACAAAAATTAGCCAGGTATGGTGGCATGCCCCTGTAGCCCCGGCTACTCAGGAGGCTGAGGCAGGAGAAAATCGCTTAAACTCTGGAGGTGGAGGATGCAGTGAGTTGAGATTGCGCCACCACATTCCAGCCTGGGCAAGAGAGTGAGACTCCGTCTCAAAAAACACCCAACCCCCTCACCTGAAAAAAAGAATACATGTGTTTGGCCGGGCGCAGTGGCTCACACCTGTAATCCCTGCACTTGGGAGGCCAACGCGGGTGGATCACCTGAGGTCAGGATTTCGAGGGCAGCCTGGCCAACATGATGAAACCCTGTCTCTACTAAAAATACAAAAACTTAGCCAGATATGGTGGCGGGTGCCTGTAATCCCAGCTACTTGGGAGGCTGAGGCAGGAGAATCGTTTGAACCTAGGAGGTGGAGGTTGCAGTGAGCCAAGATCACAACACTGCACTCCAACCTGGGCAAGAAGAGTAAATCTCCGTCTCAAAAAAAAAAAAAAAAAAAAAAAAAAAAAAAAAAAAAAAGAACACATACGGTTAACAGATATAAAACATTATATAATCAACAGAGTATAAGAAAACCTGTTTTCTAGGCAGCACAGCTCTATCACTAAAAAGCAAATAACCTTGAATGAGTACTAGAGATACTTGTGCCTCTGTTTTCTCCTATGCAAATAAAACATGGAATCAGAATATTCTAAATTATGTCCTAAAGATCAAGTATTAGTCTCAATATTTCAAGTCATACCAGCTAACCTGCCCAAGATCCACAGTTCCCCAGGATTGAGTACATGTCAGGCTGCAGGGTCTTTTCTTGTATCTTGGTTTTGTATGTTAGGAAAAAACATTCACTATCTCAATCAGATGTTGTAAATAATTTGAACAAAAGCTCTGTTAAGTCTTATTTAGCTAAAGTATCAGCTTACAGAAGTAAGTACCTCCTAGCATGAAGGCTGACATTTTAATGAAATAAAGACCAAGTGATACTTAAAAGCATCTGAATCATAGCTTCATGATTTGGTCCTCAGATGGCATCAGGCCCCCCATTCTCATTTACAGACAAGAAAACTGTGGTCAAGAGAGGTTGTCTGTAGTTCACAGAGCTACCTAGTCAAACTATCATGAGAAACCATTTTCTAATTCCAAGATCAGTACTCTTCCACCCAAACATGTTAGCTCATTTCCACATGAGAAAATCAAACCAGCAACCCAGATTGTATGCCTCAGTTTGCACTTCAGACGCATACATTACATTATAAGTAAAACAGAAAATAAGCTATTATACACAAGATCTTAAAACATCATCACAAGCTCACTTACAGCACTCAACGGGTATAGAGGCTATCTGCAGAGAAAGGACTTTTCCACTGGGCTGTGGGATGTGTACACGAAACACAAGTCGTACTCTAGTATTCTTTCTGCCAATATCAGTTTCTCCTTTTCGAAGTTCTATATCTGAATTGCGGAGTTTCAAAATACCTGCACAATCAATACTAAAGAGAAAAATACAAAAATTTAATTTGTTTATTGATAATCATGGTTATAAACAACTCAACTACATAGAAATTGTTAATTTGTCAGAAAAAAACTACCCAAAATTAGGTCAAAAAAGAAAGATATGTATGATTGCTATTCACTGCTAAACTGAAGTTTAGGCATTAAAAATATTTTTGTACGATAAAAGTGCAAAACTTAGCAGATTGTCTGCAAAGTTAATAATTCCTCTTCATTCCAGTACTTGCATGCCTTTCCTCCTGCCATTAAGACGTAGAGTATCTATGCCTGCTCTCCTTGAGAACTGGCCTATGACTTGCTTTGACAAATGGAGTGTGGCCAAGTGACAATATGCAAGTTATGAGCCTAGCACTGAAGAAGGCTGGTAACTTCCACTTTTGCTATTTTGGAGTCCTGAGTAAGAAGTCCAACTAGCATGGTGCAGAGAAAGGCCCAGACAATCCCTAACCACTCCAGCCACCCAGCCACCCTAGCCGTTTTGGATGTTCAACCCTAGCTGAGCTCCCACTTAATCCAGGTACTTAAGTGACCCCAGCTGACACCATGTGAATGGACCAGTTGAGCTCAGTCAACCCAAAGAATCATGCAAAATAATAGAGTGATAACTATAAGCCATTAAATTTTTGGAGTGTTAGAACCAGACAGCTGAAATAAAGTAAAGACTCTTTAATTCTACACATGTAACTACGTCAGAACAAGAAATAATTTATCAACAGCATATTTAGACTTTTATAGTGATGTATTTATTAATAAAAACAATCTATCAGGCTAAAATTCTTGAATTTCTAAGGAATGCACATGTAAGATGAAGGTTCTGCATTTAAGGTATAACATTTCATCATCTGCTAACTTTATTATTAAGTATGACTGTTTAACACACTATTGTGGCAGGAAACAACAGAAGCTACAAAATACCTTTGTTATTCACATATTGGAAGAATAAAGCAAATGGATAACTAATTATGATCAAATATACTAGTTAACCTTGCTAACAAGGCATTCGTTGTTATCTGTCCTCTTACTGGATCTATCAACAGTTCCAACCCTAATGCTTATTGCACAGAGGCTGCAGAAGTCACTTTGAAGGACAATATATTACAGAACTAGGATAGCAAGACAAGAACCGGCCGGGTGCAGTAGCTCATGCCTGTAATCCCAGCACTTTGGGAGGCCAAGGTGAGTGGATCACCTGAGGTCAGTATTTCGAGACCAGCCTAGCCAACACAGTGAAACCCTGTCTCTGCTAAAATACAAAAATTAGCCAGGCATGGTGGCGTGTGCCTGTAGTCTCAGCTACTTGGGAGGCTGAGGCAGGAAAACTGCTTGAGCCCAGGAGGCAGAGGTTGCAATGAGCTGAGATCACGCCACTGCACTCCAGCCTGGGCAACAGAGCAAGACTCCATCTCCACCAAAAAAAAAAAAAAAAAAGAAAAAGAAAAAAAAAAAGACAACCAATAAAACAGAAGGCAGAATCCCAAAAGGAATTAAGCCACTCAAAATTTTTCATCTTAAGAAAGACACAGGAGAAGAATTTTTTTTAAATGCAACAATTTTGAAAACTAAAAAAGCATTTGCCATTTATAGATAACAAATTATATAACTGATACTGAACAACTGCACTTTAGCTCAAAGCAGTATTATCAAGTTATATCAAATTAGTGATTATTCATGTTAACATGCCAACATGGGTCTTCAGGGGAAATAGCAGAGATCATCTGTGTTATTAAGTACTGAGCAAAGGCATACTAGCAGCAAACTAAGTTCCTAATAGATGTGAAATAACAGTACCAGAAAGTACATCTGAAAACTCTTAAATGCAAAAAACAAAAAAGCAAGCAAAATAAAACAAGAAAAAAACTCTTATGTAGCGGTGAAAATAAGTATTAAATTATCTTTAAAACTACATTTATTTATTTTTTTAAATTGTTTTTTAAATTTTTTTGAGACTGAGTCTTGCTCTGTCACCAGGGTGGAGTGCAGTGGCGCCATCTTGGCTCACTGCAACCTCTGCCTCCCGGGTTCAAGGGATTCTCCTGCCTCAGCCTCCCAAGTAGCTGGGATTACAGGCGTGCACCACCACGCCCGGCTAATTTTTTTGTATTTTCAGTAGAGACGGGGTTTCACCATGCTGGCCAGGATGGTCTCGATCTCCTGATCTCGTGATCCGCCCACCTCAGCCTCCCAAAGAGCTGGGATTACAGGCATGAGCCACCATGCCATTTTAAATCAAGGTGTAGCACTGCTACATCAATATTAATCCAATGTTAAAAAAACAGAGGAGCTGCAAAGAGCTAAGGCAATAAATACTGGCATCCTATATTTAAAGCATCTTGTAGGGTAGCTCTGTGACTTATGCGTTAGTGTAATGGTCTTAGAAAAGAGATTAGGCGCTCTCCCTCTCCCTCTCCCTCTCCCCACGGTCTCCCTCTCCCTCTCTTTCCACGGTCTCCCTCTGATACCGAGCCGAAGCTGGACTGTACTGCTGCCATCTCGGCTCACTGCAACCTCCCTGCCTGATTCTCCTGCCTCAGCCTGCGATTGCAGGCGCACGCCGCCACACCTGACTGGTTTTCGTATTTTTTTGGTGGAGACGGGGTTTCGCTGTGTTGGCCGGGCTGGTCTCCAGCTCCTAACCACGAGTGATCCGCCAGCCTCGGCCTCCCGAGGTGCTGGGATTGCAGACGGAGTCTGGTTCACTCAGTGCTCAATGGTGCCTAGGCTGGAGTGCAGTGGCGTGATCTCGGCTCGCTACAACCTCCACCTCCCAGCCGCCTGCCTTGGCCTCCCAAAGTGCCGAGATTGCAGCCTCTGCCCGGCCGCCACCCCGTCTGGGAAGTGAGGAGCGTCTCTGCCTGGCCGCCCATCGTCTGGGACGTGAAGAGCCCCTCTGCCTGGCTGCCCAGTCTGGAAAGTGAGGAGCGTCTCTGCCCGGCCGCCATCCCATCTAGGAAGTGAGGAGCGCCTCTTCCCGGCCGCCATCCCATCTAGGAAGTGAGGAGCGTCTCTGCCCGGCCGCCCATCGTCTGAGATGTGGGGAGCGCCTCTGCCCCACCGCCCCGTCTGGGATGTGAGGAGCGCCTCTGCCCAGCCGCGACCCCGTCTGGGAGGTGAGGAGCGTCTCTGCCCGGCCGCCCCGTCAGAGAAGTGAGGAGACCCTCCGCCCGGCAGCTGCCCCGTCTGAGAAGTGAGGAGCCCATCCGCCCGGCAGCCGCCCCGTCTGGGAAGTGAGGAGCGTCTCCGCCCGGCAGCCACCCCGTCCAGGAGGGAGGTGGGGGTCAGCCCCCACCAGGCCAGCCGCCCCGTCCGGGAGGGAAGTGGGGGGGTCAGCCCCCCGCCCAGCCAGCAGCCCCGCCCGGGAGGTGAGGGGCGCCTCTGCCCGGCCGCCCCTACTGGGAAGTGAGAAGCCCCTCTGCCCGGCCAGCCGCCCCGTCCGGGAGGGAGGTGGTGGGGTCAGCCCCCAGCCCAGCCAGCCGCCCCGCCCGGGAGGTGAGGGGCGCCTCTGCCCGGCCGCCCCTACTGGGAAGTGAGGAGCCCCTCTGCCCGGCCACCACCCCGTCTGGGAGGTGTACCCAACAGCTCATTGAGAACGGGCCATGATGACAATGGCGGTTTTGTGGAATAGAAAGGGGGGAAAGGTGGGGAAAAGATTGAGAAATCGGATGGTTGCCATGTCTGTGTAGAAAGAGGTAGACATGGGAGACTTTTCATTTTGTTCTGTACTAAGAAAAATTCTCATTCTGTTGATCTGTGACCTTACCCCCAACCCTGTGCTCTCTGAAACATGTGCTGTGTCCACTCAGGGTTAAATGGATTAAGGGCGGTGCAAGATGTGCTTTGTTAAACAGATGCTTGAAGGCAGCGTGCTCGTTGTTAAGAGTCATCACCACTCCCTAATCGCAAGTACCCAGGGACACAAACACTGCGGAAGGCGGCAGGGTCCTCTGCCTAGGAAAACCAGAGACCTTTGTTCACTTGTTTATCTGCTGACCTTCCCTCCACTATTGTCCTATGACCCTGCCAAATCCCCCTCTGCGAGAAACACCCAAGAATGATCAATTAAAAAAAAAAAAATGATCAACATGTTCTTTGATCTTTGCTTGTCTTTCTTCAGCCCTTCTCTGTCTATAAAGTCAACCTTGTCGGAACACTTATGTATTTTATGGAATGAAGTGTTGCCCAATTCCAGAATCACCAATAAAGCCAATTGAGATGTTTAAAAAAAAAAAAAAAAGAGTTTAGGCTTGAAATAACCAAGCCCATGGCTTAGTAGGCAAAACCAAGGGAGTATCTATGAATTTTTCCACACCTTATTGCCTTAAGAGAACAGTAAAGACACTTAATACATACTTAAGGTTCACTTATGCATAAATTATTTTGAACCATGGTCTTATCTATCACCTGGGAATTTTAAACCTACCATTATCTGGAACTATATTATATTCAACCACTGTACTGAATAATATAGTTACATTCAACAAGCTACTAGGATACTAGTTTATCCTAGCAATTAGCTACTGAGTAAACAGGCTCATTCATCATTAGCTACCCTGGTATCTACAGTACCTAAAAAAAGTTTCTTAGGTTTAGTAACATCCTAGTTGCCCCTTATTTAATCCTTTCTCCAATATACATAACGCTTGGGTCCTACAGAACTCCTGTTCCACAATCTACCAGTACAGAGCAGATAGAATGGTCAAGAAGTTTTAGGTATGTGTGTGGTAGGGTTGCAGGAGGAGGACTACCTGTATGTTACTAGTCATAGTGGTATTTCTGCAGCCTGGTCCTTTCTGGTCTAAAATACACAGTACATGCTAGATCTGGTTGAGGAAGGGACATAAATTATGACTATTACCCTTGTTCCATGTGCTAGTAAATGGAAGATGATGGAGGAGACAGGTAAATTTAGATCCTACTGCTCCAATGCTTTCATATTATTTGGGATATGAGCCTTTCCCAATTTCTTGATAATTTTTCATAGAAATTAATATACTCTTTTCTATTTATTGGTTTATATATTATTTTCAGAAAGGATATGAGGCATTTTACAATATAGATACAAATAAAGCCAAGAAAAAATAAATAGAAAAAATTTTAAAACACTAGGAAGTAAACTCCAAGTCTAGAGTTGTACAAATTACTATAATTACTGTAAACGGGCTTGACTATGAAGTTCTGGAAGCCAAGGCAAAAAGTAAATGTGATAAAGTTGTTATAGGCCACGTGTTGTACGGTAAAGCAAAATCTACCATGCCATCGGGAAACACTAACTTTTTTCCTTTAAGTTGAAAGGACTGTGTTTGTGTGTGCATGCACACACGCATGCAATAGTGATCAACCTAAGAGAAACTGTCTTTAATAGTGGTTTTTCAGATTATGAAGTATGTTCATGGCTATTTCTCATACTGTCCCTCAAGCCAAGTTAAGTAACAGAATAAACTTGTGATTTTTCTATTTAACTTGATTCGAATATTGTGCTTTGAATATCCAGAGGAATGAATGCAAACATGGCCTGCAAACTATCGTCTAGGGATCAATTTCCTGAGTTTTTGGAAAAAGACAGTTCAAAGGTGATTTTTAAATTTCCCTCTACAGCTGACTAATCACATATCACATGCTTCTGATGCTATATAAAAAAGTAAGATCCCAGAACAAAAGGGAAGAAGCCTACTTGTATTCTCATTCAGAGGTTGGGCATGTTAACCTTATTTGAAAATGTGTCCAATAGGATGCCTGGTGTCAATATTTTTCCTCAAGAAAGTTTTGCTCGAGTATCTGAATAAATACAGGCTGAGATTCCAAAGTTCTTTCTACATTATAGAACACAAATGTTTAAGGCCGTTGCAGTGGCTCACATCTAGATGTAATCCCAGCACTTTGGGAGGCTAAAGCGGGTGGACTGCTTGAGGCCAGGAGGTCGAGACCAGCCTGGTCAACATGGCAAAACCCTGTCTCTACTAAAAATACAAAAATTAGCCAGGAGTGGTGGTGCACGTGTGCAATCTCAGCTACTTGGGTGGCTGAAGCACGAGAATCACTTGAGCCTGGGAGGCAGAGGTTGTAGTGAGCTAAGATGGTGACACTGCACTCCAGCCTGGGCAACAAATTTAGACAGTCTAAAAAAAAAAAATTTAAGAGTAGAGATTATCAGCTAGCTGTCTGCCTTTGCTGTGAAAAAACTCTGTCATAGCCCCTATGCAATGATTTGCTGGGTTAGGTTCTTGAGTACTGTCCATCTGAACCAAAGCAGGCAAAAATTTTATTTAAATTTATATTTATTTAAAGATTTTATTTAAATTTATATTAACTTTTCTTTTCTGGTAGTAATTAACAGAATAAGGTTTTTTGTTTTTTGTTTTGAGACTAAGTCTCACTCTGTCGCCCAGGCTGGAGTGCAATGGCGCAATCTGGGGTCACTACAACCTCTGCCTCCTGGATTCAAGCGATTCTCAAGCCTCAGCCTCCTGAGCAGCTGGGACTACAGACAGGACAACTATGCCCAGCTAATTTTTCTATTTTTTAGTAGAGTTGGGGGTTTCACCATATTGGCCACGCTGGTCTCGAACTCCTGACCCTCAAGTGATCTGCCCAAAATAAGTTATGTATTGAGGCAACTCTTATTTTACCTAATAGAAACATATCAGTTTCTATGTCCTCAGGGAGTACACTCAGCTCATCTAAAAAGTTTATTTAAATATAAATTTAAATGAAGAGAGCTCAAGACTGAAATCTGATTTTTTGGGGTTTCTTTTTCTTTTTGAGTCGGAGTTTCGCTCTTGATGCAATGGAGTGATCTCAGCCCACTGCAGCCTCCACCTCTGGGGTTCAAGCAATTCTCCTGCCTCAGCCTCCTGAGTAGCTGGGATTACAGACACCCGCCACCACACCCAGGTAATTTTTTGTATTTTTAGCAGAGACGGGTTTCACCATGTTGGCCAGGCTGGTCTCAAACTCCTGGTCTCAGGTAATCCGCCCACCTCGGCCTCCCAAAGTGCTGGGATAATAGGTGTGAGCCACTGCGCCCAGCTGAAATCTGTTTTATAGGACTGTTCTTGCAATAGCCTGGGATGGATGTTATTCCTGCCTTAAGAAAGGTCTGTGGGCCAGGCTCAGTGGCTCACGCCTGTAATCCCAGCACTTCAGGAGGCCGAGGTGGGTGGATCACGAGGTCAGGAGATCAAGACCATCCTGGCTAACACGGTGAAACCCCATCTCTACTAAAAATACAAAAAAATTAGCCGGGCGTGGTGGCAGGTGCCTCTAGTCCCAGCTACTCAGGAGGCTGGGGCAGGAGAATGGCATCAACCCAGGAGGCGGAGCTTGCGTGAGCCGAGATTGCACCACTGCACTCCAACCTGGGCCACAGAGCGAGACTCCATCTTGAAAAAAATAAATAAAAATATAAAAAAAAAAAAAAAAGAAAGAAAGGTCTATAGTGTAGTTTGAAACAATTTCTGTAATAAAAATCTAAGTTTCCCATGTCTGGTTGTGCCTACTACCCACTGATAGGTGCCTGCCTACTCAATATCCTTTCTTTTCTTCTTCCTCAGTAACAGGCCCCTACATTGCTTTGTTTGTTTTTTGTTTTTAAAGATAGGATCTCACTCTTGCCCAGGCTGGAGTGTAGTGGCAGTGGCACTATCTCGACTAACTGCCACCTCTGCCTCCCGGGCAAGTGATCCTCCTACCTCAGTCTCCCAAGTAGCTGGGACTACAGACAGGCGCAACCGCACTCGGCTAATTTCTGTAATTTTAGTAGAGACAAGGTTTCGCCATGTTGCTCAGGCTGGTCTGAAATTCCTGAGCTCAGGTGATCCGCCTGCCTTGGCCTCCCAAAATACTGGGATTACAGGCATGAGCCATGGTGCTCGGCCTCCCTAAATTATTTGAGGTGACAATGTGTTCTGGTAAACATAACCATGTGTTCCTTACATATAAGCATGATCAATGAGATGTAGAGTTGTTAAGTAGGTTTTAGGAAAAGGTTCTTAAAAGAGGATTTGACTCCAATGGAAGTTCCCTTTTACCCTTCCTCCACACCTTTCTCCTTATTACCCCTCTGGTAATAAGGATGTCATGGCTAGAGCTCCAGCAGCCATTTTAGATCATAAGACAATCTTTAGGATGGAAACCACATGCTAAAGACGGCAAAGAAGAAAAAACTTGCTTGGGGCCCTAATGACTTATGCAGCTACTGTGCTAGCCCTAAAATATCTATCTGTATATTTCGTTTATGTGATAAAACACTAAACCCCTAACTGTTCAAGCCACTGCATATCAGGTTTCTATTACAGGCAACTATATATAATCCTTTTGTACAAAACTCTATTGCATTCTCATTCAGAAGTTGGCCACCTCATCTTATTTGGAAATGGGTCAAGTGGGATGCCTGGAGGTAAAGTCAAAAGTTTTCCTTAAGGAAATAGAACAATCATAATTGTATCATAATTGTTTATTTATTGTCTACCCTATTAGATAGACTGTGAGCCATTTGATGAAAGTCCAGATACAGTATTTATATCCCTATCACCTAGGATAATGGCTTGGCTGGTAATATATAGTATAAAAACACTTACTGAATTGAATTTTCCTTCTGGAAATATGCTACCACTCTTAGAAAATGTACTAAATGTACATTATTTACATAATGCCATTTAGAACAATATTTTATATTTATATTCAAAAATATATTTACTTTTTTTCTGAAAGTATAGAGAAAAAAAGAACTGCACATTTTAGGTATATTTCAAAATACCTGGCTGACATATTATTTTCAGGAAGAAGTGGAATTTCCAGAACTTTTGTACTGGCAATTATTATCTCTTGGCTTGCAGTAGCGACTGTCTTCCCAGTGATTCGATGCACCTGGTAAAATGCATGAGGTCGTAAATATCGATCATCTGCTGTCCCAATAAACATTTGTAGATTTATTGGCTTTTCGTTATAGCCCAGGAGCTAATCAGGAAAAAGAAACACAGAAAAGCACAATTCATTATCCATGCATTTTACAATATGCCAACAATAGTAAGTCTATTATATCTCTATCATATACTATTGACACACAAAATGTTATTTCAAAAAATACAACCAAAAGTAACCAGTGAGCAGCCCTCCAAATTTCCAAATTAGTTTAAGAAATAAAACACTGGAATACGTTACATAAAGGAATGTGGGTTTGGTTTTGTTTTTTTAAGATAAATATCTAGATCGACCAAAACTGTACAAAGCTTTCTGACTCTGCTGTAGAAAACACAAAAGAAATACTGATTCTGTACTCTGGGCAACATTAACCATTCAGACCAGACCTAAAGATTTGGGTATATAGGAAGGTCCTCTAACAGACTGTTAAATCGGAGACACTTTTAGTAGAAAGAGTCTGAAAACCCCTATTCCATATATTATAAACTTACAATTTTATAAGTATAAACTTACAGACCCCAAGCAGCCTAGCTAAGGCTAAAACTGAAATGAGATTTTGAGCTGCCACCAACCACAGGGAGACAAGTTTTCCAGGCTGACTCCAACCAAGTTAAATGCCTATTTAAGCAAACAATTTCAACAATCTTCGGGAAAGAGAAAGAGGGAGAGAGGGAGAGAAGGAGAAGGAGAGAGAGACAGAGACAGAGAGAGAGAATGTGTTTGTGCCTTTGTTTTCTATGCCTTTTTTTTTTTCTTTTATATTGCCTAATTGCTCTGGCTAGGACTTCTAGCATAAGGCTGAATCGCAGTAGTGAAAGCAGGCATCCTTGTCTTGTTCCTGATGTTAGAGGGAAACCTTTCAGTCTTTAACCATTAAGTATGATATTAGGTGTGAGTTTTTCAAGAATCCTCTTAATCACACTAAGTTTCCCTCTATTTTCAGTTTGCTTTGTTTTGCCTTTTTTTGAGACAGTGTCTCGCTCTGTCACCCAGGCTGGAGTATAGTGGTACGATCTCTGCTCAGTGCAACCTCTGCCTCCTGGGTTCAAGCGATTTTCCTGCCTCAGCCTCCCGAGTAGCTGGGATTACAGGCACCCACCAACATGCCCGGCTAATTTTTGTATTTTTAGTACAGATGGGGTTTCACCATGCTGGCCAGGGCGATCTGAACTCCTGACCTCAGGTGATCTGCCCGCCTCGACCTCCCAAAGTGCTGAGATTACAGGTGTGAGTGACTGTGCCCGGCTGTTTTGCTTTTTTTAAATCATGAAAGGCTGCTGAATTTTGTCAAAGGTTTTTTTCTCTATCAACTGAGATGACCACATGGTTTTTCTCTTCATTCTACTAATGTAGTAAATTACACAGATTAATTTTCATATGTTGAACCACTCTTGCTTTCCTGGGATAGATCCCACTTGATCATGGTGTATAAACTTTTGTAGTGTGCTGATGGATTTGGTTGCTAAGCATTTTGTTGAAGATTGTTGCATGTATATTCATGAAGGATATCGGTTTGCAGTTTTCTTCTCTTGTATCTTTGTCCCCATCATTATCCATTTGTTTTTGTTTTTGTTGTTGTTGTTGTTTTTGAGACGAAGTCTCGCTCTTGTCCCCCAGGCTGGAGTGCAGTGACACGATCTCAGCCCACTGCAACCTCTGCCCCCCAGGGTCAAGCGATTCTCCTGCCTCAGCCTCCCGAGAAGCTGGGATTGATTACAGACTCCTGCCACCACACTCGGCTAATTTTTGTATTTTTAGTAGAGACGAGATTTCACCATGTTGGCCAGGCTGGTCTCAAACTCCTGACCTCAGGCGATCCACCCCTCTCCCAAAGTGCTGGGATTACAGGCATGAGTCAATGCACCCAGCCAATCCATTTGACTTAAAATAAAAAACTGTCTCTGCCCTAATGAAAGTCCTCCATCTCTTCATGTATACGGAATCCACCTTTTCCTCAAGGTAATTCAGGATTTTTATTATAGTAATTCTAAAGTATCTTTCCAATATCTAATCTAAGCCTTCTCTCAGTCTGCTACCATTGAGTGTTTTCTCTCTTTAATGTGGGCCACATTTTCTTGTGTGTGTGTGTATGGTTGTTTATTGTTTTAATGGACATTTAGTATAAAAAAAGTCTAGAGACTCAAGCAGAAAATATTTACCTACAGAAAGGGGCATGCTATTTCTTTTGTAAGGTCACAGCTCTTAAACTGTGTCTGAAGCTATAGTCTGATTCAGTATAGCACTGGCTTTAAAGGCCTGGCGGGTGGAATGTCTCTCTCTTCTGCCTGGCGAGGGAATCTGAGAGCTGGCCAGATTCCAGAGATCTACCTATGCTTCATAACCAAGTCTCCGGTCCTTGAAACTGTTGGAAGACCTTCCTCTGATTTACCACCTGGCTGATAATTTTTTAATCTATGAGGAGTTCTCTATGCTCTTCAGTCTTGCTCTTTATTTCTGAGCCTCAGGGCATCTCTTCAGCTATGTTACTAGATCTTGGGTCTTTTGAGATTGGCTTGGAGAGACTTCTTTCAGCTCTCCTGATAATACTTCAGTCTTTGTAAATGACAGCCTAAGTGCCTAAGGGTTTCTGCCTTCAGTAGGTAAAACTATGAAGTGAGGGGGGTCTCAGTTCTCCTGCCATGCCTCCTCTTCCTTGGTATAGTAGCCTCCTTGTATTTGGTGGAGTCTTACAGGTGAGTTTTATTCCCGCCTACTTGTCCAGCCTTGGCTTTACAGTGGAACTTGTAACCAGCGAACTTCATAATTTATTGGTTATCCTCCCTGTACCCAGAAGAAGACATTAAGACTTTTGCCTATTATTAGGTAATACAATTTTACCCAGGATAGTTTTCAGTCCTGTAACATTTATAAAGAAGCAATTAAAGCCTGGACTATTGCAATAGCCTTATAACTGCTCTCTGTCTTCCCTCTTGTTGCCCTATAGTCCATTCTCTATCCAAGAGTCAGAATAAACTTGTTAACATGAATTGGATAACTTTGGCTCCCCTGCTCAGAACTCTCTAATGGCTTCCCTCCACATTTAGAACTAATTCAAATTCCCTATGATGGTTTACACAGCATAAGGTGATTAGGGCCCTGGCTGAACTGTTGGCCTTACCCTTTCCACAGTCTGCTCTAGCCTTGCTGGCCTTATTGCATGAACCACTCAAGCTCACTCCTAATGTCAGGGCTTTCACACTTAATATTTTATCCCTCTGAAATATCATTCCCTCTGATCTTCATGTTACTTGACTTGATTCAGATACGTAAAGGTCAGTTCCCTGAGAGGAGACTGCAATATTTAAAATATAATATCTGAGTCTCCTTATCTTGTGCTTGTCTACATCCTATACTAAGAATAAATTCCTGCCCTTTCAGGAGCTTCAGGTAAGCATATGATAAAAATCAATTAAGCCTCTATGAAAGAGAACGGATGAAATCATGGAAACAAGTTAAGAGGGCTGAGGCACTTAAATCATGGGTGCTGAAAGTTTAAACTAGGGTGGAGGCAGGATCATAAATAGAAAATAGAAATGGAAAGGGATGAATGCAATAAATCTTTCCTAGAAGGCCCTAAAGAGATTTTCGTAACTAACTATACACAGAATGATAGAGGGATCCAATAAGTCAGATCTGAGCTTCAGTACCCAGGAGAATGATGGTATCACTAGGAAACAAAGTATAAGGCTGGCCATCATGGCTCACACCAGTAATCTCAACACTTTGGGAGGCTGAGGCGGGAGGACTGCTTGAGGCCAGGAGTTCAAGACCAGCAACACAATGAGACCCCCATCTCCACATTACACACACACACGCACACACTAGCTGAGCATGGTGGTGTGCTCCTGTAGTCCTAGCTACTTAGAAGGCTGAGGTGGGAGGGCTGCCTGATCCCAGGAGTTCAAGGTTACAGTGAGCTATGATTATGCCACTAAACTCCAGCCTGGGTGACAGAGTGTGAGACCTTGTCTCTTAAAAAAATAATAATGTGGGCCGGGCACGGTGGCTCACACCTGTAATCCCAAGCACTTTGGGAGGCCAAGGCAGGCAGATCACGAGGTCAGGAGATCGAGACCATCCTGGCTAACACGGTGAAACTCCATCTCTACTAAAAACACAAAAAATTAGCCGGGCATGGTGGCAGGTGCCTGTAGTCCCAGCTACTTGGGAGGCTGAGGCAGGAGAATGGAGTGAACCCAGGAGGTGGAGCTTGCAGTGAGCTGAGATCGGGCCACTGTACTCCAGCTTGGGCGACAGAGCGAGACTCTGTCTCAAAAAATAAAAATAATAATAATAATGTGAAGAAGTCACTGATTTTGGAAAAAGATTAATGTTGTCAATGCTGGTCACACTGTAGTCGAGGTAACAGTGAGACATCTATATGGAAATGTGAGGCTACATAAGATGTATATGCTTTTAGCCTAGCCATAATGCTGTAGCACAATAAACACAATGCTTTGCTATCTAACTTTTTCTTTTTTGGGGGATGGAGTCTCACTCTGTCACCCAGGCTGGAGTGCAATGGCGCAATCCTGGCTCACTGCAACCTCTGCCTCCTGGGTTCAAGCGATTCTCCTGACTCAGCCTTCCAAGTAGCTGGGACTACAGGTGTGCACCATCATCCCCGGCTAAATTTTTGCATTTTTAGTAGAGACGGGGTTTCACCATGTTGGCCATGCTGGTCTTGAACTTCTGGCCTCAGGTGATCCACCTGCCCTGGCCTCAGGTGATCCACCTGCCTTGGCTTCCCAAAGTGCTGAGATTACAGGCGTGAGCCACGGTACCCAGTTTGCTATCTAATTTGATAACAAGATAACACACAGTCCACTGTGCCTCAAAAGAATGACATTCGATATCTGCTTTTTCTTGTTTTGACATGATGAGTATGTACTGATTATTATTTTTTTAAAGTCCCAATGCAGCAATACTTGTGGCACTTGAAACACTATTGAGTTTTAACTGCATCACTGTGATTTATACTGCCCTGAGCGGTAGTGTGAAGTGATGAGAGTGCCACTTATGTTCTCTTGTCTTACTCAACTCTGTCACTGTAACACAAAAGTAACCAGTCAATACATAAATGAAAAACAATCATTATGGATGGTTACTTTGGAATTCCACATAAGTTTCACATCAGAAAATAGTATTCTTTTGATTTTTTCTCCACCCATGTAAAAATGTATAAAAACCACTCCTAGTTCACAAGCTGTACAAAAACAGGTAGAGCCAGACGTGAAGGCATGCACCTGTAGTCCCAGCTACCTGAAAGACTGAGGCAGGAGGATCATTCCTGCCTCTGAGGCCAGTTCAAGGCTGCAGTGAGCTATGATTGCACGACTACACTCCAGCCTGGGTGACAGAGCAAGGCTCTTTCTCTTTAAAAACAAAACACCAGGTGTAGGGCCCATTTTGGCCTATAAAAGCCATAGTTTGATAACCCCTGGTCTAGAATGGTATTTCCTTCTCTTCCGAGCAAATGCTTTAATACCCAGTAGAATGGTACTTTTTTTTTTTTTTTTTTTTTTTGAGACAGAGTCTCGCTCTGTTGCCCAGGCTGCAGTGCTGTGGCGTGATCTTGGCTCACTGCAACATTTGCTTCCCCAGTTCAAGCGATTCTCCTGTCTCAGCCTCCCTAGTAGCTGGGACTGCAGGCACATACTACCATGCCCAGCTAATTTTTTTTTTTTTTTTTTTTGGTATCTTTAGTAGAGATGGCGTTTCACCATGTTGGCCAGGCTGGTCTTGAACTCCTGACCTCAAGTGATCCGTCCACCTTGGCCTCTCAAAGTGCTGGGATTATAGGCGTGAGCCACTGCACCCAGCCTTTTTTTTTTTTTTTTGAAACGGAGCCTCACTTACTTAGGTTAGAGTGCAGTGGCGCCATCCAGGCTCACTGGAACCTCTGCCTCCCGGGTTCAAGTGATTCTCCTGCCTCAGCCTTCCAAGTAACTGGGATTACAGGTGCCTGCCACCACGCCCAGCTAACTTTTGTATTTTTAGTAGAGACGGGGTTTCACCATGTCAGCCAGGCTCGTCTCGAACTTCTGGCCTCCGGTGATCCACCTGCCTCGGCCTCCCAAAGTGCTGGGATTACAGGCGTGAGCCACTGTGCCCGACTTAGAATGGTATTTCTTAACTTGGACAGTATCACCCTCTGCAGGGGAGGGTGGTGGTGGAGCAGAGGCATTTTTTAAATGTTGTGAAGATGCGTTTAGTTGTCAACATGATAAGTGGGGTGCACTACAGATACTTAAGGAGAAAGGGCCAGAGATTCAACTTTATCTCAATACATGGGATAACTATAGTTCTTCAAAGTGAATAGTCTACATCTCACAGAATTTGAGAATATCCCATCAGACATTCATGTATAAGGAAAATGTTTATAAACTTAGAACTCCTTAGTATATATTAATACCCCCAAAAGATGCAATTTTAAGATACATGAATTTTTCATGAGTACAACTTACCATGTAAAGAGTTCATCATTTCAAAAAATCATGTCATTGTCAGTAATGCCACTCAGGGAATTTAGGGTGATGATCAACACGCCTGCCTTTGTACCTGGCAACACTCACACTGATAGTGCAGGTGTTAAGTGTCCAACTACTTCACTGTGTCTTCTATAGTCATTATCAAGCATGTGTAAGCGTCCAACTACTTCACTGTGTCTTCTATAGTCATTATCAAGGCTTTTCACTTTGAAACTTTTTTTTTTTTAAGATGGGGTCCCACTGTTTTGCTTAAGCTGGTCTTGAACTCCTTGACTCAAACGTCCTCCTGCCTCAGCCACCCAAGTAGCTGTGATTACAGGTGTGAGCTACAATGCCCAGCCATACTTTTAAACTACTGTATTAGTCCATTCTCATACTGCTATAAGAAACTGCCCGAGACTGGGTAATTTATAAAGGAAAGAGGTTTAATTGACTCACAGTCCCCCATGGCTGGGGGGGCCTCAGGAAATTTACAGTCATGGTTGAAGGTAAAGGGGAACCAAGGCACCTTCTTCACAAGGTGGCAGGAGGGAGAATGAATACAGGAAAAACTACCAAACACTTACAAAGCCATCAGATCTCATGAGAACTCACTATCAAGAGAACAGCATGGGGAAGCCACCCCAGTGATTCAATTACCCCCATCTGGCCTCTCCCTTCACACGTGGGAATTATGGGGATTACAATTCAAGATGAGATTTTGGGTGGAGACATAGCCAAACCACATCAACTATAATTTAGTTTATATATTTATTTTTCTCTTAATAGTACTGCATTATAACTGATATTCTTAAAATTATACGTGTAGTCAATTATATCACTTTTTTTTTTTGATTCAGGGTCTCGTTATGTCACCTAAGCTACAGTGCAATGGCACAATCATAGCTCAACACAACCCTGAGTTTCTGGGCTCAAAGGATCCTTCCACTTCAGTCTCTAGAGTAGCTAGGACATCAGGAGTGTGCCACCAAACCTAGCTTTTTTTTTTTTTTTTTTTTTTTAGATATAGAAGTCCCACTAGGTTGCCCTGGCTGGTCTTAAACTCTTGGTTTCAAGTGATCCTCCTGCCTTGGCCTTCCAAAATGCTGGTATTACGGGCATGAGCCACTGTGCCTGGCCTAATTGTATTATCTTTAAATCTCCATTTCAAGTTAATAAAGTAGCATTACAAAATGGATGTGGGGCTTTTTTTGAGAGTGGGGCTGGGTCTGATAGAGCTGAGAGACACTGATCTAGAAGACTTGTAACCAAAGAGGCACAAAGACCTCAGGATATAACCACCAAAGGTTTATAATAATGTTTTGCAACGGGCAAGATTCTTTATTATAATTCATACTGCAGAAACAATTCCAGATTCAAGGAAGATGACAAATCGTAATTCCAACTACCCTTCTCAAAGGATATAAGTAGAGCATATAAAGCAGGGAAAAACAGCTAATAAATAAATGGAAAAATGCTCAATCTTATTAAATATCAAATAAATAAGAAAACTACTTCTAACCTATCAAAAAAGCAAAGAACAGAGAAGTGGTAATAGTCTACACAGACAACTTTTCCCCTTTGTGGCTGTTTATATGATTTGCTCATTTTCTGTTTCTATTTTAGTATTATTAATTTTACAAGCCCTTTAGATATACTAAGCATATTAACCCTTTGTCTGCCTTACAAGTTATAAATATGGTTTTGTTTTCCATTTATCACCAATTCTGGATCAATTTCTGCTCCTCAGAAGGGAACCATTTGTAACCCTTTTCACTGTTTCTTTTGGAACTTACTTCCATATTTCTAAGGAACATGTTAATACTGCTATTTCCTAATGTTTTTCAAGGTTAGATATATTATCTTTTGAACTTTCAGTGTTTGCATTATAACTGGATACATGTTACTTGCAGCTCAGCCTTGTAGTGTATTTTAATTATATTTCCTTTTTCATACAACTTATTTGGTTACAGTTAATAATTGCCTTTTATATTAGGATTAAGTTTGGCTGCATAAACAAAAATCCAAAGTAACAGTAATTTAAACATGTTAAAAGTAAAGTTTATTTCTTAGAATCTACAGGTCTCTTCTACTGGACCAGTGAGTTTGCCTAAAACACATCCTGCAGTCTTCTGCCTAGGGAGCATAGTAAACCTATTGCAAGCATTGTGGGAACTAATAAAATGGTCAGAGGTCTCACTCTTCAGTATGCAGACTTCCATTATGCCTTCCCTTCCGCCCCCACCCCATTTTAAGAACAGATCATTAAGCCTAGCCTTTAGCTCTCCTAGAATCTAGAACCTCCACTTCATTCTCTCTATAGAATCACCAGATTCTCTCAGGGTAAGACAGGCATTATCACTAGGCTGTACCACACAGGAAAGAAACATCTGGGAAATTTAAGTCCTTTTTAAATTCAATTTAATTTTTTTTTCTTTTAAGATGGAGTCTCGCTGTGTTGCCCAGGCTGGAGTGCAGTGGTGCTGCAACCTCCACCTCCCAGGTTCAAGCAATTCTTCTGCCTCAGCCTCCTGAGTAGCTGGAACTACAGGCATGAGCCACCATGCCCGGCTAATTTTTTTGTATTTTTAGTAGAGACAGGGTTTCACCATGTTGGCCAGGTGGTCCCAAACTCCTGTCCTCAAATGATCCACCCGCCTCAACCTCCTAAGGTGCTAGGATTACAGGTGTGAACCACCGTGCCCGGTCTTAACTCCTTCTTTTATAGACTTTTTATCCAATCTTCTTGTTTTCAGTCTCACCTCACATCCCACTTTCAGAGATATCCAGTACGTCAAATTCCTGAACCTTTCCAGAGTTCTCAGATGCAAAATGACTTGTGCTGCTTGCTTATTGGTTCTTTCTCACCTGCCAGCAGGCTTAAGCTACAGCTGTCTTATGTTTAGTGAAAGTAAACCTGTTCAATTTATTACATTTATGTTTCCATTTTCTGTAAATATTTTAATTTTTATGTAGTCAAGAAATCTATCAGTATTCTCATTTGTAATTTTTTTACACATTTTAGTGTAAAATTAATAAATTTCAAAGCTTTAATTATGGAAACTATTCCATAAAACTATAAAATGTCAATATCATCACAATAACAAAAATAAAGCCTAGGTCAGGCACGGTGGCTCACACCTGTAATCCCAGCACTTTGGGAGGCCTAGGCAGGTGGATCACCCGAGGTCGGGAGTTCGAGACCAGCCTGACCAACATGGAGAAACCCCATCTCTACTAAAAATACAAAATTAGCCGGGCATGGTGGCGAATGCCTCTAATCCCAGCTACTCAGGAAGACTGAGGCAGGAGAATCGCTTGAACCCAGGAGGCGGAGGTTGCAGTGAGCCGAGATCGCGCCATTGCACTCCAGCCTGGAGTGCAAAACAAGAGCAAAACTCCATCTCTAAATAAATAAATAAATAAATCCTAAATAAATCAATAGCTAAAAGGAAACTGGAAAAGTTTGGGCATATATTTTATGTGTATCTGTGCAAAAACAAATTTCAGCCATTACTCTTTTGGTTTATCTGGCGGCAGATGGGGTAAGTAATAATGCCACGTGAGATTCATCCAGATTTATACCCAGAGGTAAAAAAAAATGAAGGTAGAGAGTGGTTATAGTTCACTGCATCCAAAAACTCCTGTGGACTATATGTCTTTTTTTTTTTTTTTTTTTCAGTTCACAGATAATCTGAAGCTAACAATGATTAGGCAACTTCCTCACATTCATCTATTCAGTGATTAGTCATTCCTTTTTGGTATACCTGTTGCTCTTTCATGTTTAATCATAAATTTAACAAATTATTCTACATGACCAACTGTTCATCAAGTGGAGAAATAAACAGCAACAACTTTACCACTTGCCTGTGAGCACTGTGAAGAGGACAGTATCCATCTTGTTATCTCCAGAGCCTAGCAGAGCGCCTAGCACATTACAGGCATTCAATCATTGTTGAAAGAATAAATTTTAGAATAACAGAGTACAATTTGGTGAAGCAAAATAACTCATGAAGTTAGTCAATACATTATTTCTAAAAGAACTGTAGGCAATTTGCTCTTATATAGAAAAAGAAAAAACCAACAAAAAAATTATAGGCATTAAAGTAGCTCGTCAAAATGAGGTAGTTAAATCTAAAATAGAGAATATAAATAAAAAAGTTTGCTATTACCTATTAAGTTATCCAGATATCAAATAACATACTGGCAAGTACTCTATACCAAAGAATCCTAGTCATATTAGATGGCTGACATGTATAAGAGCTTCACAAAGTCATAAGCCACTTGCTTTTTATACTTTGATAAAATAAACTGATGTTGGGGGAAGGTAATCACTCATATAAGATTTCAAAGGGAATATATTTCATAACACATATTTTGACCAACATCTGTTCCAGATGTATAATACCATAAGAAAAATAGGGCTATGCCTTTCTATCTGAGAGACTTTTAAAGGAAGATCAAATAAACTAATTAGACTATTATCCCATCTGATTTCCAGAGAAGCATTTATGTTGTAGGCAATAAATAAATTACTACTACTGTTAACACTAGTCTCTAAAAACTTTCACCAGTATCAGTAATCTCTTCAGTCCACCCTCTGCTTCGCAGAAGAAAGTAAGCCAAGTTGTTTGTTATGTTTCTGTATCGTTTCCATAGCAAAGGTCTGTGCCTGCTTAATTTAACTAAAGCTGGAGGGTTAAAGCCTGAAGGTCACTACAGGACAGACTACAGCAACTTCAATAAGAGCAGTTCCATTATCAGTTCTGCTGATTAGTTGGGGGAATGGGCTCTAAATATATTAGACCCATGACAACACATTGTAGAAATACTAAAAATACAAAATTAAATTTCTATAATATAAATTGCTTAAAATGAAAGTATGCATAAAAATGAAAAAATAATACAAACTTCATTTTTCAAATTTCAGTAACTTTTGGGATAAGATTCAAAATATGTATACCTTAATAAAACTTACCACTGTATAATATATAAGCTTTTTAAAAAAAATCCTTTTTTTTTTTCTTTTGGGAGACAAGGTCTTGCTATGTTGCCCAGGCTGGCCTTAAACTCCTGGGCTCAAGCAGTGATCCTCTTGCCTCAGTCTCCCAAGTAACTGGGATTACAGAATCACATCACTACACCTGGCTAAAACTTTTATTCTTCTTAAATAATTAGACTCATAGGAAGTTGCAAAAATAGTATGTATATGTACTACAGGTTGAATATCCCTAATCTGAAAATCCAGAATGCTCCAAAATCTGAAACTTTCTGAGCACTGATATGACACCCAAAGTAAATGCTCACTGGAACATTTTGGAATTCAAATTTTTGAATCAGGGATGCTCAACCAGTATGTATTCTGGAAATATTCCAAAATTTGAAAAAATCCAAAATCTAAGACACTTCTGACTTCTGATCCCAAGCAGACAAGGGATACTATAGCCCCATGTACCCTGCACCTAGTTTCCCCCAACTATAATACAGTACATATACCCACAATATTGAACTGTAGTTAGCACAGTATCAAAACCAGGACATTGACACTGATACAATACTGCTAACTAGACTACAGGTCTTATTCAGTTGTCATTGTTCTACATGCATTCATTTGTATGTGTGTATATAGTTTTATGCAATTTTATCCCATATATAGATTCAAATAACTACTACCCCAGTCAAGATATGAAGAAATTCTCTTGGGCCACCCCTTCATATTTGCACCCCTCAACCTGACCCTGTTTCCTGGCACCAATCTATTGTCCATCTCTACAGTTCTGTCATTTTGAAAATATTACATAAATAGAATCATATAGTATATTGACTTTTTTCCACTCAGCATAAGTCTATGGAGAACTGTCCAAGTTGTTGCATGTATCAACAGTTTATTCTTTTATATTGCTGAGTGGTAGTACATTGTATGGATACACCAGAGTTTATTCGTGTATTTGGTTTGTTTATAACCTTGGGCTATTAAAAATAAAGTGCAGCAGGGCGTGGAGGCTCATGCCTGTAATCCTAGCACTTTGGAAGGCTGAAGTGGATGAATCGCTTGAGCTCAGGAGTTCAAAACCAGCCTGCCTGGACAAGATGGTGAAACCCCATCTCTACAAAAAACATAAAAATAGCTGGGCATGGTGGCGCACACCTGTAGTCCCATATACTAGGAAGACTGAGATTGGAGGACGGCTTGGGCCTGTGAGTCTGAGGTTGCAGTGAGCTGAGATCGCATCACTGCACTCCAGCCTGGGTGATGTGCAATCTGCAGAGCCAGACCCTATCACAAAAAAAAAAAAAAAAAGAGAGAGAGAAAGAAAAGTTGGTTGTTAGGCCAGGCATAGTGGGTCAAGCTTGTGATCCCACGGCAGGGAGGCCAAGGTGGGAGGATCACTTGAGGCTAGGAGTTGTAGACCAGCCTGGGCAACATAGTGAGATTGCCATCTCTACGAAAAAAATTTTTAAAAATCAGGTTGAGGCAGCCATGTGCGGTGGCTCATACCTGTAATCCCAGCACTTTGGGAGGCTGAGGCCAGTGGATCACCTGAGGTCAAGAGTTCCGGACCAGCCTGGCCAACATGTTGAAACTCTGTTTCTACTAAAAATGTAAAAATCAGCTGGGCGTGGTGGCAGGCACCTGTAATCCCAGCTACTCGTAAGACTGAGGCAGGAGAATCTCTTGAACCTGGGAGGCGGAGGTGGCAGTGAGCTGAGATGGAGTCTCTGCACTCCAGGCTAGGTGACAGAGCAAGACTCCATCTAAAAAATAAAAAAAATAAAAAAATGAAGTTGAGGCTAGGCGCAGTGGCTCACGCCTGTAATCTCAGCACTTTAGGAGGGCAAGGTGGATGGATCGCTTGAGCTCAGGAGTTCAAGACCAGTCTGGATAACATGGTGAACCACTGTGTCTACAAAAAAAAATAATGATGATGATAATGATAATACATAGTTGTTACGAATATTATTAGTATACCTATTGTGTAAACATAAGTTTTTTTTTTTCTGTTATAAATGCCCCAGAGTGAGATTGGTGGGGCATAAGGGAAGCTTAGTTTTTTAAGAACCTAACAAACTATATTCCAGAGTGGCTGTATCATTTTAACTCTCACTAGCAGTTTATGAAGCATCCAGTTTCTGTGCATCCTTGACAACAGTTAGTATTATATTTTTTATTTTAGCTGTTCTAATAGGTATGTAATGATAACTCAATGTGGTTTTAATTTGCATTTCCCTAATGGCTGGTGATGTCTGTTCATGTCTTTGGCATCTTTTCTAACTGAACTGTTTTTATTGTTGAGTTTTGAGAGTTCTTTATACATTCTATGATCTTTGACAGATATATGCTTTGCACATGTTTTCTCCCTGTCTGTAGCTTGTCTTTTCATCCTTTTAATAGCATCTTTCACGGAGCTAAAGTTTTTAATTTTGATGAAATCCAATTTATCAATTTTTTTCTTTTAGGTATGGTGCTTTTGGTATTATGTTCTAGAGATCTTTGCTTAGCCTGAGATCTTAAAGATTTTCTCCTGTTTTCTTCTAAAAGTTTTATACTTTTATGCTTTATTTTTTAGGTTATTTTATTTTTTGAGATGGAGTCTCGCTCTGTTGCCCAGGATGGAGTGCAGTGGTGTGATAGCAGCTTACTGCAGCCTCCACCTCCTGGGTTCAAGCAATTCTCCTGCCTCAGCCTCCAGACTTAGCTGGGTCTAGAGGTGAGCACCACCATGCCCAGCTAATTTTTGTTATTTTTTAGTAGAGATGGGGCTTCATTATATTGGCCAGGTTGGCCTTTAACTCCTGACCTCAGGTCATCTGCCCGCCTCAGTCTCCCAGAATGCTGGGGTCACAGGTGTGAGCCACCGCTCCTGACCTGTGTTTTATAATTAAATCCACAACCCATTTTGAATTAATTTTTGAGAAAGATGTGAGGTTTGGGTTAAGGTTTATTCTTTTGCCTTATGGGTGTCCAATTGCTCCAGCACTATTTACTAAAAAGACAATATAAAACCTCTTAAAGAATACTCATCTTTGTCTATAAACAGTATGTTACATAGAGTTACTATTACCTATTTTAAATTAAAAATTGACAATTCCAGCTGATTTTCACATTTTGAAAAAAGTAACGTATCTCAAGTAATTCCTACAATGCTAATATTTTTAGATAAATAAAACCCAATTTTATAACTATATAGCCTTTCTTTCTTTCCTTTTTTTTTTTTTTTTTTTTTAGCATGGTCTTGCTGTTTCCCAGGCTACAGTGCATAACTCACTGCAGCCTCAACCTCCTGGGCTCAAGCAATCCTCCCAAGTAGCTGAGACTCAAGGTGGGTACCACCATGCCTGGTTAAATTTTTTATTTTTATTTTTTGGTAGAGACAGGTTCTCGCACTATTGCTCACGCTGGTCTCCAACTCCTGGCCTCAAGTGATCCTCCCTCCTCAGCCCCCACAAGGTACTGGGATTGCAGGTGTGAGCCACTTCATGCGGCTACTACATATTTCTTGTAATTTATTAATACAGGAAATCCTAGCCAGAACAATCAGACAAGAGAAAGAAGTAAAGGGCATTTAAGTTGGAAAAGAAGAAGTCAAACTATCTCTATTTGCCAAAGATACGATCATATACCTAGGAAACCCTAAAGACTTACCCAAAAGACTCCTAGATTTTTTTTTTTCTTTTCTGGAGACAGTCTCACTCTGTCACCCAGGCTGAAGTGCAATGGCATGATCTCAGCTCACTGCAACCTCTGGCTTCCAGGTTCAAATGAGTCTCATGCCTCAGCCTCCCAAGTAGCTGAGATTACAGGCACCCACCACCACGCCCAGCTAATTTTTGTATTTTTAGTAGAGACAGGGTTTCACCATGTTGGCCAGGCTGGTCTCTAACTCCTCCCGACCTCAAGTGATCCACCCACCTCGCCTCCCAGTGTTGGGATTACAGGCGTGAGTCACCATGCCAGGCCGACTCCTAGATTTGATAAATGAATCAGCAGCCTCAGGTTACAAAAGCAATGTACACAAATTGGTAGCACTGCTACACACCGCCACCAACAACAACCAAGCTAAGAATCAAATCAAGAACTCAATCCCTTTTACAATAGCTACAACAAAAGTAATAAAATACCTAGAAGTGTACTTACACAAGGAGGTAAAAGATCTTTACAAGAAGAACTACAAAACACTGCTGAAAAAAATCATAGATGACACAAACAAATGGAAACATCCCATGCTCACAGACTGGACGACTCAGTATCGTGAAAATGACCACACTACCCAAAGATTAATAGAACAGAGTAGACAACCTAGGAAAAAAGCCAACTACTTACAACCAGCTGATCTTTGACAAAGCATACAAAAACATAAATTGAAAAAAGGATACCCTATTCAATAAATGGTTCTGGGAAAACAGGACAGCCACACGTAGAAGAATGAAACTGGATCCCTGTCTCTCACCACATATAAAAATCAACTCAAGATGGATTAAAGACTTAAAAGACCTGAAACCATAAAAATCCTACAGGAAAACCTAGGAAAAACTTCTGGACATCACCCTAGGCAAAGAATTTATGATTAAGACCCCAAAAACAAATGTAACAAAACCAAAAATAAATAAATGGGGCCTAATTAAACTAAAAAGATTCTGCACTGTGGAAGAAATAATCATCGCAATAAACAGACAACCCACAGAATGGGAGAAAATATTAGCAAACTATACATCCAATAAAGGACTAATACCCAGAATCTACAAGGAACTCAAATCAGCAAGAAAAAAACAAATAATCCCATCAAAAAGTAGGCAAATGACATGAACAGACACTTCTCAAAAGAAGAAATACAAATGGCCCACAAACGTATGAAAAAAATGCTCAACATCACTAACCATCAGGTAAATGCAAATTAAAACCACAATGAGATACCGCCTTCCTCCAGCCAGAATGGCCGTTATTAAAAAGCCAAGAAAACAATAGATGTTGGCATCGATGTGATGAAAAGGGAACACTTGTCCACTGCTGATGGGAATGTAAATTATAAATTAAAACAATTATGGAAAACAGTATGGAGATTTCTCAAAAAACTAAAAGTAGATCTACCATTCAATCCGACCATCCCACTACCAGGTATCTATACAAAGGAAAAGAAGTCATTATGTCAAAAAGACACCTGCATACATACATTATTCACAGCACAATTAACAACTGCAAAGACATGGAACCAACCTAAATGCCCATCAGCCATGAGTAGATGAAGAAAATGTGGTATATCTACACCACGGAATGCTACTCAGCCATAAAAAAAATGAGATAATGTCTTTTGCAGCAACTTGGATGGTACTGAAGGCCATTATTCAAAGTGAAGTAACTCAGGAATGGAAAACCAAATACCACTGGAAAGTCAGTATGTTTTCACTTATAAGTGGGAGCAAAGCTATGGGTACACAAAGGCATAAAGAGTGGTATAATGGATATTGTAGACTCAGAAGAGGGTAGGATAGGAGGGGGTGAAGGACAGAAAACTACATATTAGGTACAATGTACACTACTTGGGTGAGAGGTGCACTGAAATCTCAGACTTCACCACTACACAATTCATCCATTTAACAAAAAACCACTTGTACCCCAAAAGCTACTGAAATAAAATATATAAATAATTCATTAACATACTATAGTCTCTCTGTCTTATGGGCTTCTAAACCAGCACTGTCCAAGATAACTTTCTGCAGTCACTAAAATACTCCTTTTTTTTATTTCAACAGACTTTTGGGTAAAATATCTCCAATTTAAAAAAAAAAATCCATGATCATTTTGTATTAATTTTATAAGATATAAGGTTTATGTCAAGGCTTATTTTCTTGCCTACGGATATCCAGTTGCTCTGACATCATCTGTTGAAAAGAAAATATAGTCAGTATCCACATGTGGCTACTAAACCTTGGAATGTTGTCAATGCAACTGAATAACTGAATTTTTAATTTCAGTTTAATTTAAATTGAAATATCCACGTGTAGCTAGTGGCTTCTGGATTCCACTTTTGGACAGTGCAGCTCTAAACCCTTCCCTCTACTTAATACTTTTCCCTCCTTAGTATCTACCTTTTCCCTAGATGTCTGCTTATTAATTAGCTAGACACTATCTTCAAATAAGAAGTCCCCTTTCTGGCCAGGCGCAGTGGCTCATGCCAGTAATCCCAACGTGGGCGGGTCACCTGAGGCCAGGAGTTCCGAGACCAGCCGGACCACCATGGTGAAACCCTGTCTCTACTAAAAATACAAAAAAACTAGCCAGGCGTGGTGGCATGAGCCTTGTAGTCCCAACTACTTGGGAGGCTGAGGCATGAGAATTGCTTAAACCTGGGAGGCAGAGGTTGCAGTGAGCCAAGATTGCACGACTGTACTCCAGCCTGGGTGACAGAATGAGACTCTGTCTCAAAAAATAATAATAATAAAAATTTAAAAATAAAAATCCCTCTTCTTTCTTGTGGAAATAAAAAATAAGTACCTGATTCAACTCCATCAAATTTCAGGTCTGTATTTGCTCTCACAAAGATCTGAATTTCCTCCATTAAACATTTATCATACTTTATTGGTACTACCTTATTTGCAAGTCTCAATGGACAATAAAGTTCATGGGAGTAGTCAACATGTCTGATTTCCCTCAGTGAACCCCCAGCTACATTAGCAAACTGCTTTGAATGTATTATTTGGTGACCACATTAATGAATCAGATAACTTATTTTGAAGAAAAGAAAAAGTTAATTTGTCAGTTGGCTACAAGGTAGGTGGTATTTTCCAACAGCAGCACAGCTTGCATTCCCTCATCATTTCAAAAAATATGTATTTCAGAAATTTCTTAGCTCTTTTGAAATTCTCCTTTGCAGAATAACAGGAAGATCATTATAACTGATGTTTAAGTACCCTTCTACTTTCCATTTTCACATATCACTAGCCCATTAATTCACAACTCCTTAAAATGTCAGTAACAAACCTAGCTTAATTCTAGGATGCCAATGTAGATATCTTATTCTGCTACATACTCTTCATCAGTGTTGAAGTGTTGGTCAAACTGTTCAAAGAAACCTAAGTAATGATACTAGCTAACTTTTACTGAGCATTTACAATGTGCAAGGTACCATGCCATGTTCCTCACAATGTTTCATTTACTCCTCACAACAGCTCTTAGGTAGATGATATTATATATTATTCTCATTTTATAAAGAAAAAATCCCAAGGTAAAGTTCTCTTCATAATTAACCTCTATCGCATCAATACTAATTTCCAATATAGCACTTACTATATTCTAATGTTTTGTTTATTTACTCATTGTCTCTCTCAGTATAAAGTGAGAAAGGCCCTTGAGGACTGGAGTTTTGTCTCTCTTGTTCATCTCTGCATCCCTAGCACCTACAATACTGTCTATAACGTAGTGAGCAATCAAAAAATACATATCGAATAAGTAAATGGATAGATAGGTGAATAAATTAAGCAATGAATGATTAAATAAAAGGTCTAGAAAGAAAGGTTAAGTTACTTGGTCAAGGATACAGTAAAATCCAGGATTCAACCAAAACAGTCTGGCTCTAGAGCCCGTATTAGTGACTTAGCCATGATTTATTCCTGTGTGGAGCATGTGGCATAGAAGGCACACTAACCACCAAAGATTTAAGTATAGAGTTCTATATTATACTACAGAATACAGAGTTTTGATGAGGAAAGGCTGCCCAGCCAGGGACTACTTTTCCCAGTACTTCTGCATGTAAGTAGGGCCATGTGACTACTTGTAGCCAAAAAATTGTAAGTGGTGATGATTGATAGTAATTTCCAGGTTAATGTAGTTAAGTATCTTGAGTGCTTTCCATACACCTTCTTCTTTCCCATGGACAGTAGAAGCTGTGCATCAAAGACGACATCAAAAGATGAACGTATCTTGGATTCCTGAGCAACAATTTGAAAGAAAATGCAAAATAAACTTTTAAAAAATTTTTTTGGTCTTAAACCACTGAGAATTGGGGATTATTAGTTACAGTAGTTAGGCTACCATGATTAATCCAAGGAAGGAGAGCTTGAACTATAATAATAGTAAACAAGCATTAAGATTTTTATCAGGGGCCAGGCACGGTGGCTTACACCTGTAATCCCAGCACTTTGGGAGGCTGAGGTGGTGCATTACTTGAGGTCAGGAGTTCGAGACTAGCCTGGCCAACATGACGAAACCCCATCTCTACTAAAAATACAAAAATTAACTGGGTGGGTGTGTTGGTGGGTGCCTGTAATCCTAGCTACTTGGGAGGTTGAGGCAGGAGAATCACTAGATCCCAGCAGGCAGGGGTTGCAGTGAACTGAGATGTGGGCCACTGCACTCTAGCCCGGGCAACAGCACGAGACTCTGTCTCAAAGAAAAAAAAATTTTTTTTTAAAGTAAGAGAAAGAGTATCTGACTTTAAGTCAAAGACTAGGCTTTCTAAAAGAGTTTATTTGGAGAATTAAATGAGATAACGTGAAAGTGTTTTAGAAAATGAAACATACGGCCGGGCACGGTGGCTCACGCCTGTAATCCCAGCACTTTGGGAGGCCGACCGAGGAGGGCGGATCACGAGGTCAGAAGATCGTGACCATCCTGGCTAACACGGTGAAACCCCATCTCTACTAAAAAAATACAAAAAAATTAGCTGGGCGTGGTGGCGGGCACCTGTAGTCCCAGCTACTCGGGAGGCTGAGGCAGGAGAATGGCGTGAACCCAGGAGGCGGAGCTTGCAGTGAGCGGAGATCGAGCCACTGCACTCCGGCCTGGGTGACTGAGCAAGACTGTTTCAAAAAAAAAAAAAAAGAAGGAAAATGAAATATACTAAGAAATTATGAGATAATTACAGTGTAAGAAGTAATATGGTAAAACAGAAAGAGAAACGACAGTCAAAAGACCTGGGCTTAAGACCTCTCTGCCAATTACAACATACATAACCTCAGATCACCTGTAAAATGTACAGTCATGAGCTACATAACAGTGGTTCGGTAAATGACAGACCGTATATAATGGTGGTCCCACAGGTAACAACAGAGCTGAAAAAGTCCTATTGCCTAGTGACATCTTGATGTTCCTGACTCTGTGAAGGCCTGGGCTAATGTGTGTGTTTGTGTCAGCATTTTAAACAAAAAAGTTTTAAAAGTAAATAAAAATAAAAAATAAAAAATTTGAACATAGAAAAATGTTTATGGAATAAGGATATAAAGAAATAAAATATCTTTGTACAGCTGCACAACGTGTCTGTGTTTTAAACTGTTACTACAAAAGACAAAAGATTTTTTTAAAATTCACAACTTATAAAGCGAAAAAGTTAATTATTAAAGAAAAAAATTTTTTATAAACATAGTACAGCCTAAGAGTACTGTGCTTAGAAAGTCTACAGCAGTGTACAGTAATGTCCTAGGCCTTCATATTCATTCACTATTCACTCACTGATTCACCCAGAGCAACTTCCAGTCCTACAAGCTCCATTAATGGTAAGGGCTCTATTCAGGTATACTATTTTTAATATTTTATACCATATTTTCTTAAGTAAATCTTTGTTGTTGTTGTTTTTTAAGAGACAAGCTCTCAACATGTTGCCCAGGCTAATTCTAAATCCTGGACTCAAGCAATCCTCCTGCCTCACCCTCCTAAGTAGCTGGGACTGCAAGCATGGTGCCACTGTGACTGGTTATACCACATATTAGGGTATACCATCTAGGTTTGTATAACTATACTCTATGGTGTTCATACAACAAGGAAATCGCCCAGTGATGCATTTCTCGGAACATATCCCTGGTGTTAAGTGACATATGACTGTACTTGCTTTGCCCTTTTTAAAGAACTTTTGTAAAGATTAAATGTAAACTCTGAGGCCAGGCGTGGTGGCTCACACCTATAATCCTAGCACTTTGAGAAGCCAAGGCAGGTGGATCACTTGAGCCTAGGGGTTCGAAACCAGCCTGCCCAACATGGCAAAACCTTATCTCTACAAAAAATACAAAAAGTAGCCAGGTGTGGTGGTTTGCCCCTGTAGTCCCAGCCACGGGAGAAGTTGAGGTGGAGAGGATCGCTTGAGCCCAGAAAGTGTAGGTTGCAGCGAGCTGACATTGCACTACTGCACTCCAGCATCGGCAACAGAGTGAGACAGTCTCATAAAAGAAAAAAGAAAAAAAAAGTAAACTCTGGGAAAACATTTTGTAAACTACAAAACACTACAAAAAGTAAATTATTACAATTAATAGCAGCACGAACCTACAAAATGCCACTGAAATTAGTAATTTAAGTAGCATTTTGTCTTCAAGCACTTTTTAGACAAATGTTCACAGTAAAGCAAATTCTTTCAAACTATTTTTCTTTCTTTCTTCTTTTTTTTTGAGATGGAATGTTTCACTCTTGTTGCCCAGGCTGGAGTGCAATGACGCGATCTCGGCTCACTGCAACCTCTGCCTCCCGAGTTCAAGTGATACTCTCGCCTTAGCCTCCTGAGTAGCTGGGATTACAGGCATGCACCACCATGCCCAGCTAATTTTTGTATTTTTAGTAGAGTGGGGGTTTCACGGTGTTGCCCAGGCTGGTCTCGAACTCCTGACCTTGGGTGATCCACCTGCCTCGGCCTCCCAAAGTGCTGGGATTACAGGCGTGAGCCACCGCACCCAGCCTAAACTATTTTTCTAAAACCCAAACATTATTTTAAAATATACAGATAATCTATATTAAATCATCTAAAAAAATTCAGAAAATTAAGACCTACAAAAGTCTCTTCCAATTCTAGTAACTGAAAATGAGCATTTTCACCAGGTAATTTCAATAAAAGGTATCGGCTTTAATTAAACAGACAGTTCTTCCATATTTAGATAAGAACTAAAAAGTAAAATAATCTGATTAAATATTCATTAAAGACTATTTTAAATTTATTAAAGATTAGTTTCTCAGCAACAAGTACACAATTCAGTTTCTTTTTTTTTTTTTTTTTTTTTTTTTTGAGACGGAGTCTCGCTGTGTCCCCCAGGTTGGAGTGCAGCGGCGCAATCTCAGCTCACTGCAAGCTCTGCCTCCCGGGTTCACACCATTCTCCTGCCTCAGCCTCCCGAGTAGCTGGGACTACAGGTGCCCACCAACACGCTCGGCTAATTTTTTGTATTTTTAGTAGAAACGGGGTTTCACCGTGTTAGCCAAGATGGTCTCAATCTCCTGACCTTATGATCCGTCCATCTCGGCCTCCCATATTGCTGGGATTACATGCGTGAGCCACCGCGCCCGGCCACAGTTCAGTTTCATTTGAGATTAAATTGCATCTATTTCTCACTTGTGCACTCTGAAGGCACTATGAAGTCCCCCGCCACCAACACAAAGATATCGTGGATGTGTAAAACCCCAAAAAATGAGAACCTGGAGGGAGATTCTTAACAGTGTTACATAATTCTACACTTCCTAACCATAAACGATAAAAAAAAAAGAGACTGTATCAGTCCAATTTAATAATAAAAGAACATTATCTCTATTTTACTTTAATATTAAGTTACCACATTACAGAAAACATGCAAGTGGCAGACACTGGCTGCATGGTTTGCTTCTTGTATTCTTAAAATAGAAAACAAGTCTGCAAGAAAAGCAGTTGACAACACTCAACACCTATTCATGAATTCAAAAAACAAAAATAGAAACCTCCCAACAAATTAGAATAAAAGAATATCCTTAGTCTGATAAAAGGTATCCCCCATCCCCCCAAAAAAACCCCAAAACAAACCCTAGCAAATTACTTAATGGCACAACTATGAATCCTTTTTTGCCCTGAGTTTGGGAAAAAGACAAGGATGTCCTCCATCACCACCTCTAATCAACAATGTATCAGAAATCCTAGTCAATACAATGAAGCAAGAAAAAGGGGGGAAAAAGTATAAAAATTAAGAAGGAAGAAGTAAAACTGTTATTATTCGAAGATGAGCTGGCTGGGCACAGTGGCTCACGTCTGTAATTCCAGCATTTTGGGAGGCTGAGGTGGGAGGATCAATCACTTGAAGCCAAGAGTTTCAGACAAGAAAACAAGCAAGTGGCAGACACTGGGCCTGGGTAACATAGCGAGGCCCTGTCTAAAAGAAAGATTTAAAAAATTAGCCAAGCGTGGTGGTACATGCCTGTAGTGCCAGATACTTGGGAGGCCAAGGTGGGAAGATCGCTTGAGCCCATGAGTTTGAGGTTGCAATGGGTCGTGATTGTGCCACTATCACAAAAAGTTCAAAAGATGTGAACAAACACTTCATGAAAGATATCCAAATGTCCAATAAATATGTTAAGATGTTCAATATCATTGGTAATCAAGAAATCACAAATTAAAACCACAGCCAGATACCATTATATCTTTACAATAATAGTTAAAATTAAAAGACTAACAAGTGTAACACTTGGTGACAATGTGGAGGAATAAGAACTTTTATATATGGCTGATTGGGAGTATAAATTGGCACAGCCACTTTGGAAAATCAGTAACTACACTCCCAGACATATACCCAAGTAAGTGAATGCTTTGTCCATCGAAAGTCATTTTTTTTTTTTTTAAAAAAAAGGGCACAAAGCAGCTTTATACATATTGTCCAACACTGGACACAAATCAAATGTCCATGAAAAGATAACAGATAAAGAAACACTTGCAAATTCATACACTAGAATAACACAAAGCAATGAAAAAAATAAACAACAAAAATTTGATGAATCCCACAATCATAATGTTGAATACATGATGTTAGATACAAAGCAGGACATCCATTTATATAAAATGCAGAAATAAGAAAACTAATATATGATGATGAGAATTGAGAAGCATGATTATCTTCGGTTGGGGGTATAAACTGGGAAGGGGTACAAGGGAGACTCATGAAGTGCTTAAAATATTCTACATGTTAACCTGTGTGGTATTTTTATGAGTATTTATACTTGCGTGTTAAATATTCATTGCGTTGTACAACTTAAGGTTTGTATACTTTATTGATATATTTGTTCCTCTTTTTAGTTGACATGTAATAATTATACATATTTGCGGAGTAAATAGTGATATTTTGATACATGTATATAATGTATAATAATCAAATCAGGTTAAGATATCACCTCAAACATTTATCATTTATGTTAACATTCAAAATCCTTTCTAGCTTTGTGAACATACACATAATTTTATTTTTAGACAGAGTCTCACTCTGCTGCCCAGGCTGGAGTGCAGTGGCGCAATCTCAGCTCACTGCAACCTCCACCCACGGGTTCATGTGATTCTCCTGCCTCAGCCTCCTGAGTAGCTGAGATTACAGGCATGTGCCACCACGCCCAGTTAATTTTTGTATTTTTAATAGACACAGGGTTTCACCATGTTGGCCAGGCTGTTCTCGAACTCCTGACCTCAAGTGATCTACCTGCCTCAGCCTCCCAAAGTGCTGGGATTACAGGTGTGAGCCACTGCGCCCCGCCACAATAAATTTTTATTAACTATATTCACCCTACAGTGCTACATAATACAAGTCTTATTCTTCCCCTCTAGCTGTAATTTTGTATCCATTGACCAACTTCTCCCCATCCTTACTTCCCTCAATCCTTTCTCAGCCTCTGATAACGAAAATTCTATTTCTATGAGCTCAAATTTTTTAGCCCCTTCATATAAGTGAAAACATGCAGTATTTATCTTTCTGTGCCTGACTTATTTCATTTAATATAATGTCCTCCAGGTTCATCCATGTTGCCACAAATGGCAGGATTTCATTCTTTTTTATGCCTGAATAGTATTGTATTGTGCATATATGTCACATTTTCTTTATTCATTCATCAGCTGATGGACATTTAGGTTGATTCCATATCTTGGCTACTGTGATCTCTTCAGTATACTGATTTCCTCTTCTATGGATGAATTCCCAACAGTGGAACTGCTGGATCACATGGTAGTTCTATTTTTAAATTTTTTGAGCAACCTTTAGACTGTTTTCCATCATGGCTATACTAATTTACATTCCCACTAGCAGTGTAAAGGATCTTTTATTCTTTTATTCTTGAGGGTTTTTCCTTGACTTATTACTCTTCCTGATGGATGAAAGTATGTGTGGGTTAGCAGCTCTGCTATATACTATACCAGAATCTCTTCTATTACACAGTCCTCACCCTACCCCACCCTCCATCCTCTATCACCACTCTTTGAAGTTTATAGATCAAAGTTTGTGTTCTTTTTTGCTTGTTTGGGTGTTACCCATAGATTTTTGGCTGTTTCCTCACATCCTACACACACATACATTTTGTTTATTTTGTTAATTATTGGGGGAAGATTGTGATACTACTTCATTTTACTCTCTATCTAAAAGCTATTTTTCTAATATTGAGAGAAAAATAAGCAGTACACATGAGAGCACGTCATTTAAAAGGGAAAGTGGAAGTGATACCTGATTCTCTATATTCCAACATATTTGCAGAGTTGTGCAATGTATGGAACACTATACCAGTATATGCCCACTTCTGAGACGACATTTTTTCCCATTAACAGAGGTGGTTCTTCTCCAGCAATTGAGAAGAGTTGGTAGATTTCTCCACTATTCTGAGGATTTTAAATTCTCAGAGAGAGAGAGAAAGGCATCAGTTATTCCAGACTGGTCTGAGCCTCACATATAAATGTGGTATGTTTAGGCCAGGTGCAGTGGCTCAGACCTGTAATCCCAGCACTTTGGAAGACTGAGGCAAGACGAATGCTTGACTCCAGGAGTTCAAGACCAAACTGGGCAATATAGCGAGACCCTGTTTCTACTTAAAAAAAAAAAAAAAAGTACCTTGATTGTGCTTGGTATCTGCTGGCTTGTTTCTTTTAAAATTTTGTTTTGTCTTTTAAAAGTTTTGTTGGCCAGGCACAGTGGCTCACGCCTCTAATCCCAGCACTCTGGGAGGCCGAGGTGGGTGGATCACTTGAGGTCAGGAGTTCGAGACCAGCCTGGACAACATGGTAAAACCCTGTCTCTACTATAATACAAAAAATTAGCCAGGCATGGTAGTGCGTGCCTGTAATCCCAGCTACTCAGGAGGCTGAGGCAGAAGAATCACCTGAACCCGGAAGGCAGAGGCTGCAGTGAGCCAATATCACACCGCTGTACTCCAGCTGGTGTAACAGAGTGAGACTCTGTCTCAAAAAACAAAAACAAACAAAAAAAGTTGTTGTTGTATAAGAATGTATCAATAAGCACTACCAAACACATTCTACAGATTCAATGCAATCTCTGTCAAAATACCAAGGACATTCTTCATAGAAATAGAAAAAACAATCTTAAAATTTAAATTGAACCACCAAAGACCCCAAAGAGCCAAAGCTTAACTGAACAAAAAGAACAAAACCCGAGGCATTACACTACTTGACTTCAAAATACATTACAAAATGACAGTAACAAGAACAGCACAGTATTGATATAAAAACAGACACACAGACTCATGTGACAGAATAGAGGGCACAGAAATAAATTCCTGTATTTACAGCTAACTCATTTTCGACAAAGGTGCTAATAAGAACATACATTGGGGAAAGGATATCCTCTTCAATAACTATGCTGGGAACACTGGATATCCACACGCAGAAGAATGAAATTAGAAACCCATCTTTCATCATATACAAAAAAATCAACTCAAAATGGATTAAAGACTTAAATTTAAGATCCAAAACTAAAAAACTACTAGAAGAAAACACAGGGGGAAAGCTCCATAACGCTGATCTAAGCAAAGATTTTATGAGTAATTCTACAAAATCACAGCCAATAAAAACAGAGAAATAGAACTCTATCAACTAAATAGCTTCTGTACAGCAAAGGAAATAACAGAATGAGGAGACAACCCGTAGAATGGGAGAAAATATCTTCAAACTATTCATCCAACAAAGGATTAATACTAAGAATGTACAAGGTACTCAAACAACTCAACAGCCAAAAAAACCCCAAATAATCTAAAAAGTGGGCAAAGGATCTAAAATGACATTTCTCAAAAGGAGACATACAAATGGCAAACAGGTATATAAAAAAATGCTCAACATCACTAATCATCAGGGAAATGCAAATCAAAACCACAATGAGATATAATATCACTCCGGTTAGCATGGCTACTTATCAAAATGCAAAAAAAGGAAAATTCTGGCTGGGATAAGGAGAAAAGGGAACACTGGCACACTGTTATGGAAATGTGAGTGAGTATAGCCATTACAGAAAACAGTATGGAGGTTACTCAAAAAATTAAAAACAGAACTACCATATGATCCAGCAATTCCACTACAGGGTATATATCCAAAAGAAATGAAATCAGTAGATTAAAAAGATATTTGTGCTCCTATGTTTCTTTCAGCATTATTCATAACGGCCAAGATATGGAACCAAAATAAGTGTTCGTCAGTGGATGAATGGATTTCTAAAATGTGGTATATATACACAATTGAATACTATCCCACCACAAGAAAAGAGAGAAATCAGCCAGGCCTGGCAGCTCACACCTATAATCCCAGTACTTTGGGAGGCCAAGGCAGGAGGATCACTTGAAGCCAGGAGTTTTGAGACCAGCCCGGGCAACAAATCAAGACTGTCTCCACAAATACATTAAAAAATTAGCCAGATGCAGTGGCATGCATCTGCAGTCCCAGCTACTCGGGAGGCTGAGGCAGGAGAATGCCCTGATCCTAGGAGTTTGAGACTGCAGTTAGGTATGATCATGCCACTGAATTCCAGCCTAGGTGACAGAGCAAGAGCCTAGCTCTTAAAAAAAAAAAAAAAAAAAAAAGGCGGGGAGCAGCGGGCAAGGTGGGAGGATCATTTGAGGCCAAGGGTTCAAGAACAGCCTGGGCAACATAACAAGACCTAAGATAAGCCAACATTTGAGTAATAATTAGAGTCACTTAAGTAAACAACAAAATATATGGGAAAGGAAATATATACATTTTTCTGGCATGAAGCAAGAAAGAATCTCAGATTGAAAGGGAGCATCAAAAGTACTGGGAAAGACTGATAAAGAACTGTTAACATTCAGACATACTCTGGTTAAGTCAACTATTTCAAGTATAATGAAATAATTCTTCAATCAGTAAGTTAGAAAACAAAAAGTCATTTACAAGAAGAAAATAAAAACTGCTGGTACCAGAAGTTGTAGTCTCCCCTTAACGAGAGACTCAGCTGTTTTGTCTTTGTTTTTGAGAAGTGCCTTGCTCTGTCACCCAAGCTGGAGTGCAGTGGTGTGATCATAGCTCACTGCAGCCTCAAATTCCTGGGCTCAAATGATCCTTCCACTTCAGCTTCTGAAAGAGCTGGGACTACAGGCGCATGCTACTTATTGTACTTGGCTATTTTTCAAATTTTTTGTAGAAACTGGGTTGGTCTCTGTTGCCCAGGCTGGAGTGCAGTGGCACAATCGTAGCTCACAGCAGCCTCAAACTCCCGGCTCCAGCAATCCTACTGCCTCAGCCTCTGGAGTAGCTGGGACTACAAGGGTGTGCCACAATGTCCAGCTAATTTTATTTATTTATTTGTTGCCCAGTCTCAAACTCCTGGCCTCAAGCAATCCTCTCACCTAGCATCCCAGCCCACCATGTCACCTGGATTACAGGCATGAGCTACAGCACCAGTTCTGCTTTTGTTTTTTAAAGAGACATGTTGCCCAGGCTAGAGTGCAGTGGCTATTTACAGCCACAATCATCATACACCACAGCCCTGAATTCCTGGCCTCAAGCGATCCTTAAGCCTCAGCCTCCCCAGTAGCTGGGACTACAAGCACACACCATTGTTCCTGGCTCAGTTTTTGTTTTTGTTTTTTTAATCTTTTAAAATTATTTTTTTTAATTATGTTTTTTAACGTTGTTTTTTTCTTTTGACCACAGCACATGCATCGGTTTTTTCATTAAAGGAAAACTGTGGAAACAAATCATGTACCCTCCCAAAAGACTTGTTCATTTATACACTTGTAAATAATTTGTTGATTGCTATGAAAACTAAAAGATATAGAAAACTAAGCAATAAATCTGCTTACTTTATCAAAATGAAATAAATTCATTTAACAAAAAAATATGACTCTTACAAACAAAATGACAAAATTCTTATGTTTTGTTTTCCTGGCGTTTCTTAATAACAAATCATTAAAAAAACCCATCTAAAATGTAAATCTTTATACGTAAAGAACTATAAAACATGATCAGATAATAATCATAAAGCATAGCTCATAAAAGAGATGATAATTTGTAGATTTTATTTGTTGAAAATCACTTCAGTGTAATTAGTTTTTCCACTACAGTATTCAATAAATACCATTAAGACGAGAGAAAAATATCTACACAGTTCTAAGAGATTATCATCTACAGCCATTTCTATATTTTAGTATATAAAGGCAACAAACACATTTTCAAACATGAAAGAACCCATGGAACATAGAATCCAAAGCCCTCCTTACATAAAAACAAAAAAAAACTTAATGAAATAAAAAAGTAGTAGTAGTGAGCATTGAATCTAACTAGAAATAGAACTAAGGCTAAATAATTGGGGGAGAAGTTAGGGAGGATGTAAATTTGAAAGGAAAAATAGCATAAGCAAGAAAATTCAGGAGGTAAAGAGTAGAAAAGGGGAAGGAAGTTTAAGACAGACAATTACTTTACTTTTCAGAGTAGAAGTCAATCTATGCCATCTAAATCTGAAACAATAACTTCATCTCTCAATAATGTATTTAATCTCTTTTTTTGACCTTAGAAAGATATTTTAGGAATTCCTTTTTTTTTTTTTTTGAGACAGGGTCTCATTCTGTTCCCCAGGCTGGACTGCAGTGGCATGATCATAGCTCACTACAGCCTCAACCTCCCAGGTTCAATTGATCTTCCCATCTTAGCCTCTGGAATGGCTGGGACTATAGGCACACACCACCATGCCCAGTTAATTTTTGTATTTTTTTGTAGAGGCTTGGTCTCACTATATTGTCCAGGCTGGCTTCAAATTCCTGGGCTCAAGTGATCCACTTGCCTCAGCATCACAAAGTGCTGGGATTACAGATGTAATCTCTTTCCTTAAAAAATTCTTTCCTTAAAAAAATCCATTCATTTTTCTAGCTATCCATTCAGTCTTCCACTAAATATACACACAGAGAGTTATCTGGAATGTTAATCAAATGTTAACACTGCTTATTTCTGAGAGGGTTAGATTTTGGGTAATTTGTTGCTTATCCTTCCTATTTTTCTGATTAAATTTTACTTATTTATTTATTTAGAGACAGAGTCTAGTTCTGTCACCCAGGCTGGAGTGCAGCGACACGATCTTGGCTCACTGCAACCTCTGCCTCCCGGGTTCAAGCAATTCTCCTGCCTCAGCCTGCCGCAGAGCTGGGATTACAGGTGCCCGCCACCACGCCCTGCTCATTTTTGTATTTTTAGTAGAGACGGGATTTCACTGTGTTGGCCAGGCTGGTCTCGAACTCCTGAGCTAGTGATCCACCTGCCTCGGCCTCCCCAAGTGCTGGGATTACAAGCGTGAGCCACCGTGCCCGGCCTGTATTAAATTTTAAATGAGCATATATTTTATTCATAAATATAATACGGCCATATTTGTTTGTCAGAAAAACGGCTATTTGGCCACTGTAATCTTTCTCCAGAGTCTCCCCAGAAGGAAAGTCAGTCCAGAAAGAACATCTTTTAGCCTAGCAAATATAACTCAATGCACAAGTGTAGTCACATCAACAAGCCCCCAAAACAACAGAGGCTCTCTAGTTTTGAGTTTATGCTCTTTGCACTCTCTAGTACCTAACTGAATAGACTTGTCTAATCATCACTAGGTGTATGGTATCTGCAAAACAAGCCCCAAAAGTCTCATACCTTCACAACAGGATGTCCCCCAGTAGATGCTTTTACTGCCCCTCGGCTACCTTCAGTTTCATAATGGGCTCGATGATGAGTTTTAGGTTGCACTTCTATTTTCAGTTCACATTGTCCAAAATGAGCTGGTAAAGGCCAGTCTAGTGGAGGTAATGAAGATGTGCTACAAACAAAACACACAAAGATGCATGTCACCATGCTATTATTGCCAAGCAATGATTCAAATGGCTTCTTTGCCAGCACCAACATTTCTTCCTTTGATCTTTGAAACAATGTATTACAAAATAAAACTTCATTTAGTAAGTTACAATTCTGGTTATGGTGAGTGCTTAATAAATAATTATTTCATCTTTAGAATAAAATCTATTTTATTTCCCAAAGGTGGTACATGCTTAAAGATAAATAAATTTTAGAAAATAAAAATAAAGGCCAGGTGCGGTGGCTCATGCCTGTAATCCTAGCACTTTGGGAGGCCGAGGTGGGCAGATTACCTGAGGTCAGGAGTTCGAGACCAGCCTTGCTAGCATGGTGAAACCCCATCTCTACTAAAATTAGCTGGGCATGGTGGCACTCACCTGTAATCCCAGCTACTAGGGAGGCTAAGGAGGCAGAAATGCTTGAGCCCAGGAGACGGAGGCTGCAATGAGCCAAGATTGCGCCACTGCACTCCAGCCTGGCCAAAAGAGCGAGACTCTGTCTCAAAAAATAATAATAATAATAAAATAAAATAAAATTTAAAAATCTATCTTATCTTCATTTTGGTTTCCCATATTTTTTTGAAAAAGACAAATTCTTATAATTTATAAAACTGTAAATTTTTCTCAACTATGTGTATGAACTTAACAAAAATAACCAAAAAATAATAATTTGATTTTTTTAAAACAAAGAGGCACATTTCTGTTTATGTATATCTGTATCTCTCCACATATCCAAACATCTCTCTCTGTGTCAGGATGTCTATCTCCCTCCCTGGTACATATCTCTGGATGTCAGCCTACTGAAGTTATCACTTCCCGCACTTCCTCCCTATTGCTCCTTTCCCTACTTCCTTCCTACTGCGCCTTTCCCTGTCTCTCTGAAAAACTGCTTCCATTCAGCAATATACTGCAATTTGAAGTAAAAATTTAATTTTGGTACATGCTTGGTTGGAAAACAACCCGTCACTCCAGCAACTCTAAATGTTACTTTTTTACTTTATCAGTAAGACAATTTAAATTGCTTAAAGGCCCAAAGGATCATTTTGATATATTAAAACATGGATTATAAAAGAAAAACTTCGTATGTCTACAGGTCAAGTACAATTTCTAAATTATTTCATTGTTTCCTTCCATGTCCTCAGCCTAGCTTTAAGTCCTACTCCTGTGAATTCAAGGATATTAATTTTTATTAGTTTGAAAAAATCCAACTTCAACTCTCAGTTACTTCTGTATTTGTTTTGCAGCCTTAAGCAAACCACTAGAAAAATTAAGATAAATTTCAGAAGCAAAGGGATGGGTTCAAAGGTGTCTTCATTACCATAATTCTATTTTTCTAAAGATCAGGATTGAGAAATAAAGATTCACACTAATGAAAAAAGCATTGGCCGGGCGCAGTGGCTCACGCCTGTAATCCCAGCACTTTGGGAGGCCGAGGCGGGCAGATCACCTGAGGTCAGGAGTTCAAGACCAGCCTGGCCAACATGGTGAAACCCATTCTCTACTAAAAATACAAAAAAATTAGCCAGGCGTGGTGGCAGGTGCCTGGAATCCCAGCTACTCGGGAGGCTGAGGCAGGAGAATTGCTTAACCTGGAAGGCGGAGATGGCAGTGAGCTGAGATCATGCCACTGCACTTGAGCCTGGGCGACAGTGAGATTCCGTCTCAAAAAAAAGAGAAGGCCGGGTGGGTGCGGTGGCTCACGCCTGTAATCCCAGCACTTTGGGAGGCCGAGGTGGGAGGATCACGAGGTCAGGAGATGGAGACCATCCTGGCTAACACGGTGAAACCCCGTCTCTACTAAAAATACAAAAATTAGCCGGGCGTGGTGCCGGACGCCTGTAGTCCCAGCTACTCAGAAGGCTGAGGCAGGAGAATGGTAGGTGAACCCAGGAGGCGGAGCTTGCAGTAAGCCGAGATCGCGCCATTGCACTCCAGCCTGGGCAACAGAGCGAGACTCCATCTCTTAAAAAAAAAAAAAAAAAGAAAGAAAAGAAAAACCCCTGGCCGGGCACAGTGGCTCCTGCCTGTAATCCTGGCACTTTGCAAACTGAGGCAGGAGGATCACTTGAGGCCAGGAGTGAGATCAGCCTAAGCAACAAAGCAAGACCCCATCTCTACCAAAAAAAACAAAAAAAATTTTTTTAAATAATTGAGTGTGGTGGTATACGCCTATAGTCCCAGCCACTCAGGAGCCTGAGGTATAAGGATTGCTTGAGCTTGGGAGGTCGAACCTGCAGTGAGCTATGATTACCCCACTGCACTCCAGTCTGGGCAACAAGATGCTGTCTCAAAAAACAAAACAAAAATCCTAACAGGCACAACTCCATGTGGGAATTTAATACATAAAAGTTGTCTTTTCTAATCAGTTATAGACTAGATTGATTCTGTAAATGTAATTAATAGGTTCTTTTTTTTTTTGTAGGGGGGTGGTGCAGACAGGGTCTTGCTTTCACCCAGGCTGCAGTGCAGTGGCATAATCTCAGCTCACTGCAGCCTCCATCTCCCATCTCAGGCAATGCTCCCGCCTCAGCCTCCCTAGTACCTGGGACTATAGGTGTGTGCCACCACACCTGGCTAATTTTTGTATTTTTTGTAGAGACACGGTTTTGCCATGTCACCCAGGCTGGTCTTGAACTCTGGGGCTCAACGGCCTCCCAAAGTGTTGGGATTACAGGCATGAGACACCACGCCTGGCCCCCAAATAGTTTTCTTAGTAATTAAATTCATATTATAATCCAAGTTGTACAATAAACTTTTTTTTTTTGGTAGAAACAGGATGGAGTACAATGGCATAATCATGTTTCACTGCAGCCTTGAAGTTCTGGGCTCAAGCAATCCTTCCACCTCAGCCTCCCAAGCAGCTAGGACTACAGGCAGACATCACTATGCCTGGTTAATTTTTTTTTTTTTTTTTTTGTAGAGACAGGATCTTGCTATGTTGCCCAGGCTAGTCTCAAACTCCTGGGCTCAAGCAATCCTCCTGCCTCAGCCTCCCAAGTGTTGGGAATACAAAGCATAAGCCTCCAAACCTAGCAAGGATTTTTAAATGTAATTTATTATTATCAACAATTCATTAGCTATATATTTTAAAATTATATTTAACCTATCTAAAAATACTTTTAAGATGCAAATGAAAATAAACATTAAGTTATTTGGTAAAATTTTTTTTAAAAATAGGAAGAGGAGAAATGGTCAAACCATTATATAACCATTATATACTGATAATGTAGTTATATGCCACCAATGACCCATAAACATGAAAAATGACCAGCAGCCATTTCCATCAACTCACCGAAATATAGGGGTGTGGCCAGGCTTTGGTTTGCTCCAGGTAAAGGGTGAAGGAACTGAAAGAAACTGATCACCACATGAATCTTTCTTTAAAGGATACTGAGATCCAAGGCCATCATCTATTGAAGTCTCCCGGGCTGGTGATAAACTCCCTTGGTCATCTGAACACAGCTCTAATTTTCCTGGTAGTATGGCAGCTTGATCTTCAGAAGTTTTCCTTGTTTTGAGAGGGATGTCAGTCTCTACACAGTACTGAAATGGAAAAACTGCAGGGCCAAGGCCTGACCCACCATGGACAGAAGCATTGAGCCACGTATCTTCTGTCACACTTCCCCTGGGGGAGTGACCAGGTGAAGGAACAGGTGAGTGATGGGGTGAAAGGGACCCAGCATAACAAACTTCAGCACTGGAGTGCCTCCGTTTCCCACAGGGGGATGTGGGCCTTGATGAGGGTCCTGAGGCTGGCCTGGGGCTCAGCCAATTCTCATCAGTGACACTGGATCTAGGAGAGTGGCAAGGAGATTGCCTGGGTGATAATGAGTGTCCAAGTCCATACTGTTGATGCCAAGTTTCTTCTCCAGGGCAGCCCCCTGGAGAGCCACCAGGAGAAGTCAGAGGGGATCCAAGGGTAAATCGGGCTGCAGCTTCATTCAACTCTGAGTCCACATCATCATAAATATGTGAAAGCGATTCACAAGAAGATGCATCAGAGAACCAACTCCTAGAAGAGATGCTGCTGGCAGGACTAGGACTAAGAGAAGACTCCCGGTAGGATGGCTCAAGAGGAAGATAGAGATGATCTCTAGAAGGCCTTTCCAAAAATTCCCGTTCTGGGTCATTTATCTGTAGGTCATCTTCATGTGCATCTAATTCTTGATGACAGTTAGGAGAGATAGATGTAATTTGAATACTTGGGCACTCAAAGGGTTTGGGACCACCTAATGGGCTATATTTAGATTCAGGAATCTCACAAGTTCCTTCATAGTTTTTGTGACTTTGGAGCTGAAACGATGGTGACAAAACAGAAGAGTGAGACGGTAATCCATGATGTGGTAAGCAAAGTGGTGTGGTTAAAGTAGATGGAGGTGGATCTACATTAAAGATGTAAATGGATGCACAATCATCTGGCTCAAGATCTACGGGGAGGAAGGCAAAAAAAAAAAAACCCAACAAAACAAGAAATTAGAAAACTCAGATGTATAAATTACTAGATGAGAAAGTAAATAATAACAATCTCGAGAGAAAAAAGTGGGATATAAAATGTATGTCATTAGCTCCACTAAAGAAGTGGCATGTGTGTGTTTTTTCAATGCATCTGGTTATTTCTGCAGATATGTGTGATTATTACATATACAATTACATATGTAATTTTTCCTTTTTATGTCCACATTTTCTAAAAAGATAATCAGGAAACATTATGCCCTGAAAAAGATTTTTTTTTTTTTTTTTTGAGACAGGGTCTCACTCTCTCACCTAGACTGGAGTGCAATGGTGTGATCATAGCTCACTAAAGCCTCAACCTCCCATCCTAGGCTCAAGTGATCCTTTCCTCAGCCTCTGGAGTAGCTGGGACACAGGTACATGCCACACTCCTGGTTACTTTTTATTGTCATTTTTGGTAGACACAGGGCCTTGCTTTGTTGCCAAGGCTGGGCTCAAGCTATCCTCCCACCTTAGCCTCCCAAAGTGCTGGGATTACAGGTGTGAGGGAGCGTCTGTGCCCAGCTCAATAAATGTGTTTATTAAAAAAAAAAAAACACATCCATAATTCTAAAAAATACTCATAGCATACAGGCTGCAGTGAGCTCAGATCACGCCACTGTACTCCAGCCTGGGTGACACAGCAAGACTCCGTCTCAAAAAAAAAAAAAAAAAAAAAAGAAAAGAAAAGAAATGAGATATTCCTAGGCTGCAAAGAACAGAAAATCCAACTCAATGTAGCTGAAAAAGGGGGAGGGGACACAGGCTGAATATCCCTTATCCAAAATGCTTGAGGCCAGAAGTGCTTGGGATTTTGGATTTTTTTTTTTTGGCCCATTTACAAATACACAATGAGATATCTTGATATGGGACCCAAGTCTAAACATGAAATACACTTATGTTTCATATATACCTTATTCACATAGCCTGAAAGGTAATTTTGGACAATATTTTTTAATAATTCGGTGAATGAAAAAAAGTCTGTGTTAAGAATTCTCCACTTGTGGCATCATGTCAGAGCTAAAAAGTATAGGATATTGGAACATTCCAGATTTTGAATATGACCTGTATATATTATCCAACATAACAACCTGCATTATCAACCTGTATATATTATCCAACATAACAAGTAGTCAAAGGTAGGAGAGTTCCAAAAGTGGGTTTTTCTTTGTTTGTTTGTTTGTTTGTTTGAGATGGAGTCTTGCTCTGTCGCCCAGGCTGGAGTGCTGTGGCGCAATCTTGCCTCCTGGATTCAAGCAATTCTCCTGCCTCCTGTCTCAGTCTCCTGAGTAGCTGGGACTACAGGCACTCGCCACCATGCCTAGCTAATTTTTTTTTTTTTTTTTTTTTCTGAGACAGAGTCTCTCTCTGGCTTGAATGCAGTGGTGCGATCTTGGCTCACTGCAACCTCTGCCTCCGAAGTTCAGGCGATTCTCAAGCCTCAGCCTCCCAAGTAGCTGGAATTACAGGTGCCTGCCATGACACTCGGCTAATTTTTGTTATTTTTAGTAGAGACAGGGTTTTGCCATGTTGTCCAGGCTGGTCTCAAACTCCTGACCCCAAGCAATCTACCCTCCTTGGCCTCCCAAAGTGCCAGGATTACAAGCATGAGCCACCACACCCGGACTTTTTTTTTTTTTTTTGAGACTAGGTCTCGCTCTGTCACCCAGGCTGGAGTGCAGTGGTGCACTCATAGCTCACTGCTGCCTCAAACTTCTGGGTCAAGTGATCCTCCCACCTCAACCTTTCAAGTAGCCGAGACCACAGGTGCATGCCACCACTCCCAGCAATTTTTTTTTTTTTTTTTTGTAGAGACAGGGTCTCGTTTTGTTGCCCAGCCTAATCTTGAACTCCTGGGCTCAGGCAATCCAACTGCCCCAGCCTCCCAAAGTGCTGGGATTACAGTTCAACAATGTTCTTCAGAAATGTTTCTTTATTTCACTTTGCCATTTTTGGGGAGCTAACTTTGTGCTGTTCATTTTTCAACCACATATACCTATTCTGTCTACACTGGAAACAACATGATTCAACTTATTCATTTAACAAAAAAATTTTTTAGCAACTACTATGTAAGCAGGCATGTTCTGAATACTAAAAACACCATGGTAAACAAAACAAAATCCCCTCCTCATGGAGCTTACATTCTAGTAAAATATGTCAGGTAGTGATATTTGCTGTAAGAGAAAATAAAACGGGAAAAAATATAGAGGAGGCAAAGATGTTAATTTAATAGGAAAGTCTGGAAAGCCTTCTCTAATACTTGAGGAAATAGCAGAAGAATATTAATGTAACTGAGCTATACAGAAATTTAGGGGCATAATGCAGGCAGAGGATAATAGTAAGTGCAAAGACCTGAGGTACAGCATTGTTGAAGTGTACTGTATGAGAAAAAACAAGGCCAGTGGGACTTGAACTGAGTAAGGAGGCAGAATAATGAGAGCTACGGGTGGTCAGGGAGAGGCTAGTCAAGTAAGGCCTTACGAGATGGGAAACCACTGGAGCATTCTAAACAGAAAAGTATCATCATTTGATATATATGAACTGATATAAATTTAGGAGGCTACTGTAATCATCCAGGTGAGAAAAGATGGAATACAGGACCTAAGTGGTAGTGAGCTGTAAAAGCAGAAGCAGCATTAAGAAGTCAGATTTTGGATTAAAGTAGTGCTGACGGAACTTGTTGACTGGATGTGAAAGAACAGTCAAGGGTGACACCAAGGTTTAAAGCCTTGAACTATTATTAAAAACACAGTATTGGTCGGGCGCAGTGGCTCACACCTTTAATCCCAGCACTTTGAGAGGCCGAGGCGGGTGGATCACGAGATCAGGAGATCACGACCATGCTGGCTAACACGGTGAAACCCCATCTCTACTGAAAATACAAAAAATTAGCCGGGCGTGGTGGCAGGCGCCTGTGGTCCCAGCTGCTCGGGAGGCTGAGGTGGGAGAATGGCGTGAACCCAGGAGGCAGAGCTTGCAGTGAGCCAAGATCGCGCCATTGCACTCCAGCCTGGGCAACAGAGCGAGGCTGTCTCAAAAAACAACAACAACAATACAGTATTTCTGAAATTTTCTGAATTTCTGAAAGAACAGCAATTACTGAAATAAAGAAAGTGAGACAGACTTGAGATAAGAAACCAAAACTTCTACTTTGTACATATTAAATATGAGAGTCCAGTAAGCTTTCCAAGTGGAAATGTCAAATAGATATTTGTGCATAAGAACACAAGCTAGCTATGTAAATGTGGGAATCATTAACGTATATATGAAATTTAAAGCCATAAGACCAAAAGATCACTAAGAAATTAGTACAAATAGAGAAGAAAGTAGGCAACTGAGGCACAAGGAACTCCAAAGTTTAGGATTAGGGAGAAAAAGAAGAATGAGTTAAGAGGTTAGAAGAGACATCAGTGAAATGGAACAATAACCAAAAGAATGCAGCATCCCAGAAGCCAAGTGAAGAAGGTGCTCATTCATTCACCAACTATTAATGATGTGATTAATATTTTATAGAAACTGTTATAGATGGTAGGTACATAAAAAGTAAATAACACACATATGGTCCCCCGCCCTCATTAAGCAGTCAGTCTCAGGAGAGACTGACAAAAACACAAATTAAAAATGGTAAGTGCTACTAAGTGGTAGAAGAGAGAATCAGACAAGGAACTTGTTTTACAGAGATTACAGAGATGGCCTTTTTGAGAGGGTAGCATGTAAGCTAAAACCTGAAAGATAAATAGGAACCAGCAAGCAAAGAAAGAGAGTCAGCGGGGCTGGGGAGAGAAGGTGATAGTTGCAACACAGGAGAATAGGCATAAACAGTCTGAGTCAAATAACGCCTTGGTTTCTTTAAGAAACGCCCAAGATGGCTAGAGTTAACAACTGAAAGGGTAGAGCTAGAAGAAGCCAAGACATAGAAGAACTGTAGTAAGGGCTTTGGATTTTATTCAAAGAATAATGGAAACCATGTAAGAGTTTTAAAAAGGGGAATGACATGATTTCTATTATATATGAGAACAACTTCAACTGCTGTATCTCCAGTACCTACCAAGTAAGTCCCTGACATTTATTAGGTCTATAATAAATCATTTGTTCAAGTTGTTGGGGCCGGACATGGTGGCTCACACCTGTAATCCCAGAACTTTGGGAGGCCGAGGCAGGCAAATGGCTTGAGTTCAGGAGTTCGAGACCAGCCTGGACGATGTGGCAAAAACCCATTTCTACAAAAATAAAAATACAAAAAGTAGCCAGGCATGGTGGCACATGCCTGTACTGTAGTCCCAGCTACCTGAGAGGCTGAGGCAGGAGGGTCGTTTGAGCCTGAGATTCGGAGGTTGCTGTAAGCCAAGATAGCGCCATTGCACTCCATCCTCGGTGACAGAGCAAGACCCTGTCTAAATAAATAAATAAGGTTGTTGGAATTGCTTCCCTTAGAGAATCTATGTTACTCCTGAGTAAGGAGGCAGAATAATGAGAGCTAGGGGTGCTCAGGGAGAGGCTAGTCAAGTAAGGCCTTGCGAGATGGGAAACCAATGGAGCATTCTAAACAGAAAAGTATCACCATTTGATATATATGATCTGATATAAATTTAGGAGCAAAATCCTCAATTAGGAATTTTTGAACCATGTTTCTTGGCAATGCTATCAGCCTGTTGAATTATGATGGTAGCTAAAACTTTCTAAAACTTAGCTCACAATGTCACCTATCTAAATGGTACTCAAGTGGACAGAAGTAAAACAAGCCTCTGAACACTCAAAATATACAGCATAAAAGCTCATGTGTTTAACTCACAGAAATTTTCCTTGGCCCCTTGTTCAGATCCTCTCTACTCAATTTTAGATCCCATAATATTATATGCTTATCTAGTCCACAGATTAGAAGCAGGAAATCTAAAATGAGAGAAGATGGCTGCAAAGAAAAGGAGAGACAGGAAAAACAAGCAAACAGTTCAAAGGGTATATATAGCACCTTGAAGTCATCCAGAACAACTTGTTCTTTACTAATTTCATCTAATCGTACTGCTTATTTTCAAACTGCCTTTTTCCTTTACTTAAGAATGTACTTGATTAAATAGGAAAAATTAATTAAATCCCAACCCTTTGAGAAAAAAAAAAAAGGACAGAAAGTCACCCATAGAAGATTTTACAGTTTATTCAAATGAAATTATTGTACCAGCCCATTTCAGTTGTTGACTAATGCTGAAAACCACACCCTTCTCCCAAATAAACTGTAGATGAAGCAAACATCTTCTACGTCAGAATGATGTCTTAAAGTGCTGCAGAGACCTGCACACAAAATTTGTGGGAATGCTGCTTTATCTTTTTCCCAAGTGTCCAACCTCTGGAAATGATATAAGCAGCTACTACAATCTAACTATGACGAACAGTCCTAAGTCCAGATTTCCAAGTCTAGAATTCTCAAATTCAAGGTGCTTCAGAAATTTCACCATCTCAAGAATTACTTGTTCCATGTTCCTTCAACCACCAGAGGGACTCATGCAAGCATACAGTAATCTGGACAACCCAAGTTGTCTTATGAATGTTTTTATGTATAGTATGAAGCAGAGGTTGGCAAAATACAGTCCATGTGCCAAGTCTGGCCCACCAACAAGTGGTAGGCCACATTTAAAATCATTAGTTTGTAGGCTATAGAAAGCCTACAGATAATAGTTTGTCTTTCTATAGCCTACAAACTAATGGTTTTAAATGGTTTCAAAAAATTGTTTTTAACTGTGTCATGACAAAAAAAAGTTATGATTCAAATTCTGGTATCCATAAATAACGTTTTACTGAAACACAACCATGCTCATTCATTTATATACTATCTATGGTTATTTTCACACAAGGGTAGAACTGAGTAACTGTCAAAGGGACCACATGTACTACCCCTATTCCTTCACATTGCTGCTTGATGGACACAAATTGCAGTGACAAAGTTCTAATGAGTGCAATGCATACGTATATACTGTGACTTTAAAAAAATTTTTACTAGTGCATAACACAAAAAGAAAAGTAGACTTTGAATGTTGCCCTTTTAAAGCACAGTGGAGTGTGGTTATACTGTTATCAAATTAGATGTGCAATAACATTATGGCCATATATATGCATTACCACAGTAATGCATTCATCATAATACTCCCAACTCACAGGAAAAGAAAAAAAATTTAAAACAAACAACAACAACAAAAAAAAACAATCGGCCAGGTATGGTGGCTCACGCCTGTAATTCCAGCACTTTGGGAGGCCAAAGGGGGCAGATCACTTGAGATCAGGAGTCCAAGACCAGCCTGGCCAACATGGTGAAACCCTGTCTCTACTAAAAATACAAAAATTAGCTGGGCATGGTGCCGCGTGCCTGTAATCCCAGCTACTTGGGAGGCTGGGGCAGGGGAATCAGTTGAACCCGGGAGGCGGAGGTCGCAGTAAGCCGAGATTGCGCTACTACTGCACTCTAGCCTGTGTGACAAGAGCAAGACTCCGTCTCTCAAAAAAAACAAAAACAAAAAACAAAGAAAATAAAATGGCTCATTTGCTAGCAAAGTAAAGAAAGTCATTTACTGGGGCCGGGTGCAGCGGCTCATGCCTATAATCCCAGCAATTTGGGAAGCTGAGGCAGGTGGATCACAAGGTCAGGAGTTCGAGACCAGCCTGGACAACATGGCAAAACCTCATCTCTACTAAAATACAAAATTTAGCCAGGCATAGTGGCAGGCGCTTGTAATCCCAGCTACTTGGGAGGCTGAGGCAAGGCGAATCACTTGAAGCCGGGAGGCGGAGGTTGCAGTGAGCTGAGATTGCACCACTGCATTCCAGCCTCGGTGACAGAGTGAGACTTGGTCTCAAAAAAAAAAAAAGAAAGTCATTTACTGATGGTGAGTTATTTAAATTGTGTTTCACCGGAGAAACCACGGAAATATGTTCAGAGAAAAACTTACAAGACTATTAGCCTTTCAGCAAGAACAACTGGTAGAAAAACTGAGGACATTGGTAGCAACATTAATAGGTTAATTACAAAATAAAACAAACGATTTCCTTAAAAAGTGGTTTTCCGGCCAGGTGCGGTGGCTGACGCCTGTAATCTCAGCACTTTGGGAGGCAGAGGCAGGCGGATCACGAGATCAGGAGTTCGAGACTATCCTGGCCAACATGGTGAAACCCCGTCTCTACTAAACATACAAAAATTATCTGGGCGTGGTGGCACTTGCCTGTAATCCCAGCTACTTGGGAGGCTGAGGTAGGAGAATCATTTGAACCAGGGAGTCGGAGGTTGCAGTGAGCCAAGATTGCACCACAGCACTCCAGCCTGGCAACAAAGCAAGACTCCGTCTCAAAAAAAAAAAAAAAAAGTGCTTTTCCTTGGCCCTTGATGTGCTGCCAGATGTTACCAACATCTGCTCAGTTGTTATTTATTGAAGAGTCAATGCAGAGTTTAAAGTGACTAAACAATTAGCCTCCATGAATAGTGTGAAAGAAACAACTTCAAGAAAAAACATTTGCAAAGAAGTTAAGAAAACACTAGTTTAGGCAGGAGGAGCCAAGATGGCTGATTAGAAGCCACTCCAGTCTGCGGCTCCCACTAAGAGGAGCAAAAACGGCCAGTGAATCCTGCTCCGTCAACTGAGGTATCCAGGTTCTCTCACTGGGACTGACTAGGTGGTTGGTGTGATCCACACAGAGCTAGGAAAAGCAGGGTAGAGCGACAACCTGACCTGGTAGCCACAAAGGCGAACTCCCACACCCAGCCAAGGGAGGTGGTGAGTAACTGTGCTACCCTGCGCGGGAAACCAGACTTTTTCCACAGATCTGTACATCCCATGGATCAGGAAATCCCCTCATGAGCCCACGCCACCAAGGCCTTGGGACCCAAGCACAGAGCTGTGCAACCTGCTCAGGTTGTGGCTAGCAGCAGCAGGCTGGACACTGCCTAAGACTACCAAGTTCCCACGGAAAGGGGCAGTCGCCATCACTGCGGCTCCAGTCTGCCATTTTCCTTTGCTGGTGTTGGGGAAACTTGGCGGTTTGGACGAAGAGGAATTCCCCACAGCACAACACAGTGGCGGTGGCAGATCGTGGCCAGATTGTTTCCTTAGGTGGGACCCAGATCCTTCTCTCTTCACCAGGCAGAACCTCCTTGCAGGAACTGCAGTAACTCTAGCCAGGAGTTTATGGACAGAACTCTGATATCCCTGGGAAGGAGCCTCTACGGGTAGGGGTGGTCATGGTCTCATGGTTCAGCTGACCTAGTCTTTCCTGCCTGTTGGCAGTCCAGATGAGGGGAATTCTCCCCAGCACAGCCGAACCTGCTCAGCCAAGGGGCAGTCAGACTGCTTCTTTAAGCAGGTTCCTGATCCCATCCCTCCTGACTGGGTGAGACCTCCCAACTGGGGTCACCAGGCACCTGATACAGGAGCGTTCCAGCCAGCATCAGCTCCGTGCCTTCTGGGATGAAGCTCCCAGAGGAGGAGGCAGCCATCTTTGCTGTTCTGCAGCCTCCACTGCTTATACCTCCAGGTGCAGGAGGGGGTAGATGAATTAGGTCAGGAGTGGTCCCCTAGTAAACTGCAGCAGCCCTACCCTATGGAAGAGGGGCCTTACTATTAAAAGAAAAACAAACAGAAAGCAACAACAACAACATCAACACAAAAGATCCCACAAAAACCCTATCCAAAGGTCAGCAGCCTCAAAGATCAAAGGCAGATAAATCCACAAAGATGAGAAAGAATCAATGCAAGAACGCTGAAATCTCAAAGAGCCAGAGTGTCTCTTCTCTAAATGATTGCAACACTTCTCCATCAAGGGCAGAGAACTGGGCTGAGGCAGAGAAGAATGAATTGACAGAAGTAGGCTTCAAAAGGTAGGTAATAACAAACTTCGCTGAGCTAAAGGAGTATGTTTTAACCCAAGGCAAAGAAGCGAAAAACCATGATAAAACATTACAGGAGCTGTTAACCAGAATGGCTAGTATACAGAGGAACATAAATGACCTGATTGAGCTGAAAAACACAACAGGAGAGCTTCACAATACAACCACAAGTATCAACAGCTGAACAGACCAGGCAGAGGAAAGGATATCAGAGCTTGAAGACTATCTTGCTAAAATAAGACGGGCAAACAAGGTTAGAGAAAAAAAAAAAATGTCGGGAGGCTGAGGCAGGAGAATGGCGTGAACCCAGGAAGCGGAGCTTGCAGTGAGCCGAGATTGCGCCACTGCAGTCCGCAGTCCGGCCTGGGCGACAGAGCGAGACTCCGTCTCAAAAAAAAAAAAAAAAAAAAAAACGAAAAAGAAAAAATGAAAAGAAATGAACAAAACCTCCAAGAACTATGGGATTATTTAAAAGAATGAACCTGGCTGGGCACAGTGGCTCACGCCTATAATCCCAGCACTTTGGGAGGCCGAGGCGGGTGGATCACGAGACCAGGAGTTCAAGACCAGCCTGGTCAAGATGGTGAAACCCCATCTCTACTAAAAATACAAAAATCAGCCAGGCGTGGTGGTGTGTGCCTGTAGTCCCAGCTACTCGGGCGGCTGAGGCAGAAGGATCGCTTGAACCCAGGAGGTGGAGGTTGCAGTAAGCCAAGATCACGCCACTGCACTCCAGCCTGGGCAACACAGCAAGACTCCATCTCAAAAAAAAAAAAAAAAAAAAAAAAAAAGACTGAACCTACAACTGGGGTACCTGAAAGAGACGGGGAGATCGCATCCAAGTCGGAAAACATACTTCACGGTATCATCCATGAGAACTTCCCCAACCTAGCAAGATAGGCCACCATTCAAATTCAGGAAATTCAGAGAAACCCAGTAAGATACTCCATGAGAAGATCAATCCCAAAACACATTATCATCAGATTCTCCAAGGTTGAAATGAAGGAAAAAATGTTAAGCGCAGGGAGAGAGGACAGATCACCACAAAGGTAAGCCCATCAAACTAACAGTGGACCTCTCAGCAGAAACCCTACAAGCCAGAAGAGATTGGATGCCAATATTCAACATTCTTAGAAAAGAATTTCCAACCCAAATGTCATATCCGGACAAATTAAGCTTCGTAAGTGAAAGAGAAATAAAGTCCTTTTCAGACAAGCAAATAATGAGGGAATTCAGCACCACCAGGTCTGCTTTACAAGAATTCCTGAAGGAAGCACTAAATATGGAAAGCAAAAACCATTATCAGCCACTACAAAAACACACTCAAGTACACAGACGAATGACACTATGAAGCAACTACATTAACACGTCTGCAAAATAACCAGCCAGCATTATGATGACAGGACCAAATTCACACATAACAATATTAACCTTAAAAGTAAATGGACTAAATACCCCAATTAAAATACACAAAATGGTTAGCTGGCTAAAAAGACAAGAACCATTGGTGTGCTGTATTCAAGAGACCCATCTAACATGCAAAGACATGCACAGGCTCAAAATAAAGAGATGGAGGAAAATTTACAAAGCAAATGGAAGGCAGGAAAAAAGCAGGGGTTGCAATCCTAGTTTCTGACAAAACAGATTTTAAACCAACAAGATCAAAAAAAGACAAAGAAGGGCATACAGCATGGTAAAGGGTTCAATTCAACAAGAAGAGCTAACTATCCTAAATATATATGCACCCAATACAGGCACACTCAGTTTCATAAAACAAGTTTTTAGAAACCTACAAAGAGACTTAGACTCCCACACAACAATAGTGGGAGACTTAACACCCCACTGTCAATATCAGACAGATCATCGAGACAAAAAATTAACAAAGATATTCAGGACTTGAGTTCAGCTGTGATCAAGTAGACTTACCCAAAAACAGAATATACATTCTTCTCAGTGCCACATGGCACTTACTCTAGATTCGATCACATACTTGGAAGTAAAACACTCCTCAGCAAATGCAAAAGAAATGAAATCATAACTGTCTCTCAGACCACAGCGCAATCAAATTAGAACTCAACATTAAGAAACTCACTCAAACCCACACAACTACATGGAAATTGAACAACCTGCCCCTGAATGACTTCTGGGTAAAAAATGAAATTAAGGCAGAAATCAAGAAGTTATTTGAAACCAATGAGAACAAAGAGACAATGTACCAGAATCTCTGGGATATAGCTAAAGCAGTGTTAAGAGGGAAATTTATAGCACTAAATGCCCACATCAAAAAGCCAGAAAAAACTCAAATCGACATCCTAATATCACAACTAAAAGACTAGAGAACCAAGAGTAAACAAACCCCAAATCTAGCAGAAGACAAGACATAACCAAGATCAGAGCAGAACTGAAGGAGACAGAGACACAAAAAAACCCTTAAAAAAAAAAATCAGGCTGGGCGCGGTGGCTCACGCCTATAATCCCAGCACTTTGGGAGGCTGAGGCGGGCAGATCACAAGGTCAGGAGATCGAGACCATCCTGGCTAACACGATGAAACCCCGTCTCTACTAAAAAAAAATACAAAAAAAATTAGCCGGGTGTGGTGGTGGGCACCTGTAGTCCCAGCTACTCAGGAGGCTGAGGCAGGAGAATGGCATGAACCCGGGAGGCGGAGCTTACAGTGAGCCGAGATTGGGCCACTGTACTCCAGCCTGGGCAACAGAGCGAGACTTCGTCTCGAAAAAAAAAAAAAAAAATTCAGGCCAGGCACGGTGGCTCACACCTGTAATCCTAGCACTTTGGGAGGCCAAGGCAGGCAGATCACTTGAGGTCAGGAGCTCAAGACCAGCCTGGCTAACATGGTAAAACCCTGTCTCTACTAAAAATACAAAAATTAGCCCAGTGTGGTGGTGGGTGCCTATAATCCCACCTACTCAAGAGGCTGAAGCAGGAGAATTGCTTGAACCCAGGAGGTGGAGGTTGCAGTGAGCCAAGATCGTATCACTGCACTCCAGCCTGAGCAACAGAGTGAGACTCCATCTCAAAACAAACAAACAAACAAAAACAACTCATCCAGGAGCTTGGCTAGGCTAATGAAGAAAAGAGACAAGAATCAAATCAACACAATAAAAAATGATAAAGCAGATATCACCACTGACCCCACAGAAATACAAACCACCACAGAGAATACTATAAACACCTTTATGCAAATAAACTAGAAAACTTAGAAGACACTGATAAATTCCTGGACACATACACCCTCCTAAGACTGAACCAGAAAGAAGCTGAATACCTGAACAGACCAATAATGAGTTATGAAATTGAGGCAGTAATACATAGCCTACCAACCAAAATAAGCCCAGGACCAGAAAGATTTACAGCTGAATTCTACCAGAGGTACAAAGAGAAGCTGGTACCATTTCTTCCGAAACTATTCCAAACAACCGAAAAGGAAGGACTACTCCCTAACTCATTTTATGAGGCCAGCATTATCCTGATACCAAAACCTGAAAGAGATATAACAAAAAAAGAAAACTACAGGCCAATATCACTGATGAACATTGATCCCAAAATCCTCAAATAAATACTGGTAAACCGAATCCAGCAGCACATCAAAAAGCTTATCGACCAGGATCAAGTCAGCTTCATTCCCAGAATGCAAGGCTGGTTCAACATATTCAAATCAATAGATGTAATCCATCACATAAACAGAACTAAAGACAAAAATCACATGATTATCTCAATAGATGCAGAAAAGGCCTTCGATAAAATTCAACATCACTTCATGTTAAAAACTCTCAATAAACTAGGTATCGGAGGAACAAACCTCAAAATAATAAGAGCCATTTAAGACAAACCCACATCCAATGTCATACTGGATACGCAAAAGCTGACAGTGTTCCCCTTGAATATTGACACAAGACAAGGATGCCCCTATCTCACCACTCCTATTCAACATAGTAATGGAAATTCTGGCCAGGGCAATGAGGCAAGAGAAAGAAATACAGGGTATTCGCATAGGAAGAGAGGGAGTCAAATTGTCTTTGTTTGCAGATGGCATGATCCTCTATCTAGAAAACCCCCTAGTCTCAGCCCAAAAGCTTAAGCTGATAAGCAACTTCAGCAAAGTCTCAGGATACAAAATCAATGTGCAAAAGTCACAAGCATTCCTTTACGCCAACAAGAGACAAGCAAAGAGCCAAATCAAGAATGAACTCCCATTCACAATTGCTACAAAGAGAATAAAATACCTAGGAACACAGCTAACAAGGGAAGTGAAGGACCTCTTCAAGGAGAACTACAAACCACTGCTCAAGGAAATCGGAGAGGACACAAACATGGAAAAACATTCCATGCTCATGGATAGGAAGAATCAATATTGTGAAAACAGCCACACTGCCCAAAGCAAATTATAGATTCAATGCTACTCCCATTAAAATACTATTGACATTCTTCACAGAATTAGAAAAAACTATTTTAAAATTCATATGGAACCAAAAGAGAGCCCGTATAGCTAAAACAATCTTAAGCAAAAAGAACACAGCTAGAGGCATCACGTTACCCGACTTCAAACTATACTACAAGGCTACAGTAACCAAAACAGCATGGTACTGGTACAAAAACAGACACAAAGACCAATGAAACAGAACAGAGAACTCAGAAATAAGACCACACATGTACAACCATCTGATCTTTGACAAACCTGACAAAAACAAGCAATGGGGAAAGGATTCTCTATTTAATAAGTAGTATTGGGAGAACTGGCTAGCCATATGCAGAAAACTGAAACTGGATCCCTTCCTTACACCTTATACAAAAATTAACTCGAGATGGATTAAAGACTTCAATGTAAAACCCCAAACTATAAAAACCCTAGAAGAAAACCTAGGCAATAAATACCATTCAGGACATAGGCATGGGCAAAGATTTCTTGATGAAAATGGCAAAAGCAATTGCCAACAAAAGCAAAAACTGACAAATGGGATCTAATTAAACTAAAGAGCTTCTGCACAGCAAAAGAAACTATCATCACAGTGAACAGGCAGCCTACAGAATGGGAGAAAACTTTTGCAATTTATCCATCTGACTAAGGTCTAATATCCAGAGTCTACAAGAAACTTAAATAAATTTACAAAAAAAAAAAAAATAAACCACCCCATTAAAAAGTAGGCAAAGGACATGAACAGACATTTCTCAAAAGAAGACATTTATGCAGCCCAACAAACATAAAAAAAGCTCAACATCACTGATGATCAGAGAAATGCAAATCAAAACCACAATGAGATACCATCTCAAACCAGTCAGAAAGGAAATTATTATTATTATTATTATTATATTTTTTTGATACAGTGTCTCACTCTGTCGCCTAGGCTGGAGTGCAGTGGCATGATCTCGGCTCACTGCAACCTCTGTTTCCTGGGTTCAAGTGATTCTCCTGTCTCAGCCTCCCAAGTAGCTGGGACTACAGGCATGCACCACAATGCCCAGCTAATTTTATTATTTTTAGTAGAGATGACGTTTCATCATGTTGGCCAGGCTGGTCTTGAACTCCTGACCTCAACTGATCCGCCCGCCCCGGCCCCTCAAAGTGCTGGGATTACAGGCGTAAGCCACCACACCCGGCCCAGAATGGCAGTCATTAAAAAGTCAAGAAACAACAGATGTTGGCGAGGCTGAGATAGAAAGGCTTTTATACTCTTGGTAGGGATGTAAATTAGTTCAAACATTGTGGAAGACAGTGTAGCAATTATTCTCCCAAAGACCTAGAACCAAAAATATCATTTTACCTAGCAATCCCATTACTGGGTATATACCCAAAGGAATATAAATCATTCTATTATAAAGATACATGCATGTGTATGTTTACTGCAGCACTATTCACAATAGCAAAGACATAGAATCAACCCAAATGCCCACCAATGACAGACAAGATAAAGAAAATGTAGTACACATACACCATGGAATACTGTGCAGCCATAAAAAGAATGAGATCATGGATGGAGCTGGAAGCCATTATCCTCAGCAAACTAATGCAGGAACAGAAAACCAAACACCACATGTTCTCACTTATAAACAGTAGGTGAACAATGAGAACACATGGACACAGGGAGGGGAACAACACACACTGGGGCCTGTCTGGGGGTGGGGGTCACGAGAGAGGGAGAGCATCAGGAAAAATACCTAATGCATGCTGGGCTTAACACTTAGGTAATGGCTTGACAGGTGTGGCAAACTACCATGGCACACATTTTGCTATGTAACAAACTTCCATATCCTGCACATGTATCCAAGAACTTAAAATTAAATTAAATTAAAAAAAAAACAACAAAAAAAAAAGGCGTCCGGGTACGGTGGCTCACGTCTGTAATCCCAGCTCTTTGGGAGGCTGAGGTGGACAGATCACCTGAGGTCAGAAGTTCAAGACCAGCCCAGCCAACATGGTGAAACCCCATCTCTACTAAAAATACAAAAAAGAGGCTGGGTGTGGTGGCTCATGCCTGTAATCCCTGCACTTTGGGAGGCCGAGGCGGGCAGATCACAAGGTCAGGAGTTTGAGACCAGCCTGGACAACAGGGAGAAACCCCGTCTCTACTAAACATACAAAAATTAGCCAGGCGTGATGGTGCACACCTGTATTCTCAGCTAGTCGGGAGGCTGAGGCAGGTGAATCACTTGAGCCCAGGAGGTGGAGGTGCAGTGAGCCAAGATCACACCATTGCACTCTAACCTGGGCAACTAGAGTGAAACTCCATCTCGAAAAAAAAAAAAGAAAAAGAAAAGAAAAAAGAAAACACTACTTTAGCACAACGTAAGTGGATTTTGTTAGAATGTATTACAACTGGTGTTTGCAAAAATATATGTAAGAATACTATGATAATAAGAATACTATGAACAGGATCGGGTGCGGCGGCTCACACCTATAATCCCAGCACTCTGGGAGGCCGAAGCAGGTGGATCACTTGAGGTCAAGAGTTCAAGACCAGCCTGGCCAACATGGTGAAACCCCATTTATACTAAAATATACAAAAGTTAGCCTGGCGTGGTGGTAATCCCAGCTACTAGGGAGGCTGAGGCAGGAGAATCGCCTGAACCCAGGAAGCGGAGGCTGCAGTGAGCCAAGATTGCTCCACTGCACTCTAGTCTGAGCAACAGAGTGAGACTCTGTCTCAAAAAAAAAGAAGAAGAATACTATGAACAATCGTACACCAACAAATTAGACAATCTAGAAGGAATGAGCAAACTCCTAGATATACAGAGATTACCAAAACTGACTCAGAAGAAAAAGAAAATCTCAGACCTCTAACAAGTAAAGAGATTGAATCATAGTCAAAATTCTCCCAGGAACAGATGGCTTCACTGGTCAGTTCTAATGAACACTTAGACAAGAATTAACAGCACTACTTCTCACATTCTTCCAAAAAATAGAGGGAATGCTTCCTAACACATTCTATGAGGCCAGTATTTTCCTGATACCAAAGCAAGACACTACAGACCAATATCCCGTATGAATATAAACACAAAAATCCTCAACAAAATATACACTAGCAAACTGAATCCAAGAGCACATTAAAAAAGACCAAATGTGATTTATCCCAGGAATGCAAGGGTGGTTCAACATGTGAAAATCAACTGATATAATATACCATATTAATAGAGTGAAGAAAAAAAATCCACACAATCAGGGGCCGGGTGTACTGGTTCATGCCTGTACTTTGGGAGGCTGAGGCACGTGGATCACTTGAGGTCAGGAGTTCGAGACCAGCCTGGCAAACATTGTGAAACCCTGTCTCTACTAAAAATACAAAACTTAGCCAGGCATGGTGGCAGGCGCCTGTAATCCCACCTACTTGGGAGGCTGAGGCAGGAGAATCATTTGACCCTGGGAGGTGAAGACTGCAGTAAGCCAAGATCATACCAGTGTACTCCAGCCTGGGTGACAAAGTGAGACTCCATCTCAAAAAAAAAAAAAAAAACCCACACAGTCACCTCAACTGACAGAAAAAGCATTTGACAGAATTCAACATCTTTTTAAGACTGAAACAAACAAACAAAAACCTCAGCAAACTAGGAATAGAAGTAAACTTCCTTAACATGATCAAGAGCATTTGTGAGGCCAGGTGCGGTGGCTCACGCCTGTAATCCCAGCATTTTGGGAGGCCAAGAGGGGCGGATCATGAGGTCAGGAGATCAAGACCATCCTGGCTAACATGGTGAAGCCCTGTCTCTACTAAAAATACAAAAAATTAGCTGAGCGTGGTGGTGGGCACCTGTAATCCCAGCTACTTGGGAGGCTGAGGCAGGAGAATGGCGTGATGAACCCAGGAGGCGGAGCTTGCAGTGAGCAGAGATCGCGCCACTGCACTCCAGCCTGGGCGACAGAGCCAGACTCCATTTCAAAAAAAAAAAAAAAACCATTTGTGAAAAGCCCACAGCTAACATCATAGTGGTGTAAAACAAAAGCCTTCCCCCAAGATAAGAAGCAAGATAAGGATGCATGCTTTCACCACTACTATTCAACATTGTACTGGGAGTCCTACCCAGGGCAATCAAGGAATTAAAAGACATCCAAATTGGAAAGGAAGAAGTAAAACTATTTCTACTTGCAGAAGACATGATTCTATATAAAGTAAAACCCATAAGTTCTACAAAAAACTACAGCTAATAAATGAATTCATTAAAGGTGCAGGGTAAAACATCAACACATAAAATTCTGTTGTTTCTATATACAAGCAATAAACAATCTGAAAAGGAAATTAAGAAAATTCTATTTACAGTAACCTCCAAAAGAAATAATACTCAGGAATAAATTTAACCAAGGACATGAAAAACTTACACACTAAAAATTACAAAACATTGCTGAAATAAATTAAAGAAGACCTAAATAAGTGGTAAGACTTCTTGTGTACATGGATTGAAAAACAATGTTAACATGCAATACTCTCCAAAGTGATGTACAATGCAATCCCTACCAAAATTTCACGGGCTTTTCTAGAGAAATGGAAAAGCCAATCCTCAAATTTATACGGAAATGCAAGGGGCCCAGAATATTCTCTGAACAGCCAAAATAACACTGAAAAAGAAAACAAAGTAGGATTAACACTCCAAAACTTACTACAAAGGCACAGCAATCAAAACAGTGTGGTGCTAGCATAAGAAGAGATGTATTAATCAATGGAATGGAAATGAGAGTTCAGAAATAAACCCGAATATCTATGGCCAATTGATTTTTTACAAGGGTGCTAAGACTTTAAATGGAAAAAGAATAGTTCCTTCAACAAATGGTACTGGGAAAACTGGATTATCACATGCAAAAGAATGAAGTTGAACCCCTTCCTCATACCATATACAAAAATTAACTCAAAAAGGATCAACAACCTAAATATAAGAGCTAAAAGCATAAAACTCTTAGAAGCAAAAATAGGAGTACACTGTCAAGACTTCAGATTTGGCGATGGATTCTTAATAGTAAAAGCACAAGCAACAAAAGAACTCAATTAATACAACTTGGTAAAATTAAAAACTTTTGTGCACCAAAGGGCACCATCAAGAAAGTGAGGCCAAGCCCAGTGGCTCATGCCTGTAATCCCAACCCTTTGGGAGGCTGAGGCAGGCAGATGACTTGAGCCCAGGAATTTGAGACCAACCTGGGCAACGTGGTGAAATCTCATCTCCACAAAATAATACAAAACTTAGCTGGGCATGGTGGCATGCACCTGTAGTCCCAGCTACTTGGAAGGCTGAGGTGGGAAGCTAACTTGAGCCAAGGAGGTCAAGGCTGCCTGCCATGAGCCAACATCACACACCATGGCATTCCAGCCTGGGCAACAGAGTGAGACCTTGTCTCAGAAGAAAATAATAATAATAATAATAAAATAAAAAAAAAAGAAGAAAAAAGAAAAGTGAAAAGACAACCTACAGAATGGGAAAAAATATCTGTAAATCTTAGATCTGATAAGGCTTTAGTATCCAGAATATATAGAGTTTTTATAACTGAACAGCAAAAAGTCAAACAGCTGAATTAAAAAATGGACAAAGCACATGAATAGGCATTTCTCCAAAGAAGATATACAAATGACCAACATGCACATGAAAAGATGTTCAACATCACTGGTCATTAGGTAATGCAAATAAAAACCACAGAGAGATACCATTTCACACTCCCAGGATGGCTTTAATTTGAAAAAATAAACAAAAAGAGAAAACAAGTGTTAGTGTGGATACAGATAAATAAGAACCCTCATATATTACTAGTGGCAATGTAAAGTGATACAGCTGAGTTGCTGTAGAAAAGAGTTTGATGGTGCCTCAAAAATTTACATAGAGAATTACCATATGACAAGCAATTACATTTGTAGGTAGTCAGGTACTGCTTGATGATGTTTTGGTCAATGACAGACCACGTATGTGAAAATGGTCTCCTGAGATTACAATGGAACTGAAAAAATCAGAACACAAAGGACAAAGAGAAGAACCTAAAAGACTCAGAGGAGGGTAACAGGTTACACATGAAGAATCAAGAATCAGAATGGCATCAGACTTTTCAACAACAATGGAATAAAATGGAGAAAATGGAGAGCAATGCCTTCAAATTTATGAGAGAAAATGATATCTAACTTAGAATTCTACAACCAGCCAAAATTAAGTGTGAGGGGAGAATGAAGACTTTTTTTTTTTTTTTTTTTTTTTTTTTCCTGAGATGGAGTCTCACACTGTCACCAGGGCTGGAGTGCAGTAGTGCAATCTCGGCTCACTGCAACCTCTGCCTCCTGGGTTCAAGCGATTCTCCTGCCACAGTCTCCCAAGTAGCTGGGATTACAGCCACGCACCACCACACCCAGCTAATTTTTTTGTATTTTTAGTAGAGACGGGGTTTCACCATGTTGGCCAGGCTAGTCTCTAACTCCTAAGCTTGTGATTCACCTGCCTCAGCCTCCCAAAGTGCTGGGATTACAGGCGTGAGCCACTGCGCCTGGTGAAGACCTTTAAATATATAAGGTCACAAAAATTTACCTCCTATTACCATCAGTAAGCTACTGAAGGAAGTACTCCACCAAAATGAGTTGCAAAGAAACAAATGACAACACAATAACAGAAATGCAAAGAACTCAAGATGACAGAGAAGTGAGGTCTCACAATGACAGATGTACAACATGCTAGGTATCCACTAATCCAGATTAGTTTAGAAGGCTCTGAGAGAAAGGAAAGTCTCCAAGAAAATAAAATTGACAGACGAATTGATGTGTCAAAAATGCTGAGACTCAGGCACCTAAAAGATACTTTGGGACCGGGTGCGGTGGGTCATGCCTGTAATCCCAGCACTTTGGGAGGCAGAGGCGGGCGGATCATGAGGTCAGGGGATCAAGACCATCCTGGATAATATGGTGAAACCCCATCTCTATCAAAAATACAAAAAATTAGCCAGGCGTGGTGGCAGGCGCCTGTAGTCCCAGCTACTTGGGAGGCTGAGACAAGAGAATGGCGTGAACCCGGGAGGCGGAGCTTGCAGTGAGCCGAGATCGCGCCACTGCACTCCAGCCTGGGCAACAGAGCGAGACTCCGTCTCAAAAAAAAAAACAAAAAAAAAAACCTAAAACTATAAAACTTCCAAAAGAAAACCTAGCAGCCAGGCACAGTAGCTCACTCCTGTAATCCCAACACTTTGGGAGGCCAAGGAGGAAGGATCACTTGAGCCCTACAGTTTGAGACAAGCCTGGCCAATGCAGTGAAACCATATCTCTACGAAAAATTTAAAAATTGGCGGGGCATGGTGGTGCACACCTGTGGTTCCAGCTATTACAGAGGCTCAGGCAGGAGGAATAGCTTGAGCCCAGGAGGTTGATGCTGCAGCGAGCCATAATCATGCCACTGCACTCCATCCTGGGCAACACGAGCAAGACTGTGTCTCAAAAAAAAGAAAAGAAAAGAAAACCGAGGAGAAAATCTTTGTGAGCATGGGTTAGGCAAAGATTTCTTAGCTGTAACACCAAAAGTGCAATCCATGAAAGAAAAAATTGGTAAGGCAAACTTCATCAAAATGTAAAACTTCTACAAAAGATACTATTAATAGAATTAAAAAACAAATCACAGATTGAGAGAAACTCTCTGCAAAGCATATATTTGATAGACTTGTTTCACACACACACACACACACACACACCCCACACACACACACACACAGAACTCTCAAAATTCAACAATAAGAAAACAACCCAATCTAAAAAGGGGCAAAGACTTAGACACTAGACCAAAAATAATATACGGATGGCAAAAATCACATAAAACAATGGTCAACAGTATTAGTCATGAGAAGAATATAATTAAAACCACAATGAGGTATCACTACACACCCATCAGAATGATTAAAAAAAAAAGGTGTTAATACCAAATGCTGCCCAAGATGCAGAGAAACTGAGTAACTCATACACCTGCTGGTGGGAATGAAAACATTTGGCAGGTTTGGTTTTTTTTTTTGTTTGTTTTGTTTTGTTTTTGAAACAGAGCCTTGCTCTGTTGCTCAGGCTGGAGTACAGCGGCACAATCTTGGCACACTGCAACCTCCGCCTCCAGGGTTCAAGCGATTTCTCATGCCTCAGCCTTCCAAATAGCTGGGACTACAGCCATGCATCATCATGCCTGACTAATTTTTGTATTTTTAGTAGAGATGGGGTTTCACCATGTTGCCCAGGCTGGTCTTGAACCCCTGGCCTCAAGTGATCTGCCTACCTCGGCCTCCCAAAGTGCTGGGATTACAGGTGTGAGCCACCACACCCTGGCAGTTTCTTATAAAACTAAATTCACAGATTGGAGGTCAGGAGGCATTTGTACTTCTGGGTATTTATACCAGAAAAAAAAAGAAACAACACATATCCACATACAAATCTGTACACAAATGTTCATAGCAATTTTCATAATAGCCAATAACTGGAAATAACCCGAATGTCCTTCAATGGGTAAACAATTAAACTGTAGTACATCCATATGATGGAACACTACTCAGCAATAAAACAGAACAAACTATTAATATACTCGACAACTTGGAAGGATCGCCAGGCAATGAGTGAAGAAAAAGTCAACCTCAAATGGTCACATAGGGCCTGGCACGGTGGCTCACACCTGTAATCCCAGCACTTTGGGAGGCTGAGGTGGGAGGAGAGCTTGAGCCCAAGAGTTCAAGGCTGCAGTGAGGCATAATCATGCCACTGTACTCCAGCCTTGGCAACCTAGTGAGACCCTGTCCCCCTGCCCTGCCCTCCCCCAAAAAAGTCCCATAGTGTATGACTTAATTTATGTAGCTAACATTTTCTTGAAATAATACTTTGGAGATGTAGAATAGATTAGTGGTTGCCAGGAATTTGAGACTGGGTTGGGGAAGAGGGAGGGAAAAGGATGTGCTTATAAAGAAGTTAGTGAGATGAAACAGTTCTATATTTTTTATTATTATTATTATTATTATTATTTTATTTTGAGACAGAGTCTCACTCTGTCACCTGGGCTGGAGTGAAATGGCCCAATCTCAGCTCACTGCAACCCTCGCCTCCCAGGTTCAAGCGATTCGCCTGTCTCAGCCTTCCCAGTAGCTGAGATTACAGGCACCCACCACCATGCCCGGCTAATATATTTTTTTTTTTTTGAGGTGGGGTCTCGCTCTGTCGCCCAGGCTGGAATGCAGTGGCGCAATCTCCACTCAATGCAAGCTCCGCCTCCTGGGTTCACGCCATTCTCCTGCCTCAGCCTCCCGAGTAGCTGGGACTACAGGCGCCCATCACCACAGCCGGCTAATTTTTTGTATTTTTAGTAGAGACAGGGTTTCACCAGGTTGGCCAGGCTGGTCTCAAACTCCTGACCTCAGGTGATCCACCGGCCTCAGCCTCCCAAAGTGCTGGGACTACAGGCGTGAGCCACCACGCCTGGCCCAGTTCTGTATCTTGATCATGGTAGTAGTTACACTAATCTACATATGATAAAACTGCAGAGAACTACACACATAAACACACACAAATCAGTGCATGTAAAATTGTTCACATCTGAGTTAGTTCAGTGGATTCTACCAGTGTCATTTTCCTGGTCTCAATATTGTACTATAGTTATGCAAGATGTTATCGTTGGGAGAAACTGAGTAAAGGGTACCCAGAACCTCTTTACATTTTATTTACAACTTCCTGTGGATCTATTAATTATTTCAAAATAAAAAGCTTTTTTAAATGGGTAAAAAGCTTAAAAAGACACTTAACCAAAAAAGATAGCAAATAAGCACATAAAAAGATGTTCAAGAGCATTAGTTATTTGGAAAATATAAACTAAACCTACAGAAGATAACACTACACACCTGTTAGAATGGCTAAAATTAAAAAGACTATCTAAACCTGATGTTGGTTAGGATGTCAAAATATTCCACTGCTAGTGGGAATTTAAAATGATATAACCACTTTGGAAAACAGTTTGGCAGTTTCTTAAAAAGTTAAATGTGCTGGGCACAGTGGTTCACACCTGTAATCCCAACACTTTGGGACGCTGAGGCGGGTGGATCACGAGCTCAGGAGATTGTGACCATCCTGGTCAACATGGTGAAACTCTGTCTCTACTAAAAATACAAAAATTAGCCGGGCATGGTGGCGTGTGCCTGCAATCCCAGCTACTCGGGAGGCTGAGGCAGGAGAACAACTTGAACGAGGGAGTTGGGAGGTTGCAGTGAGCCGAGATATGCATCACAGCACTCCAGCCTGGCGACAGAGTGAGACTCCATCTAAAAAAAAAAAAAAAAAAATAATAATAATAATAATAATAATAATAATAGACAAAAAGTTAAATGTACATCTACCAAATTACCCAACCATTACATTCTTAGGTATTTACCCAAGAGAAAGGGAAAGATGTGTCCATACAAAGACAATACATGAATATTCATCGCTGCTTTATTTGTAACAGCCAAAACCTGGAAACAATCCAAAAGTCCATCAACAGGTGAATGGATAAAATAAATTGTACTATACATACATAATGGCAACTACTCCCCAATAAAAATTAATGACCTACTGATACACTCAATAACATGGACATATCTCAAAATAGCAATGACAAGAAGTCAGCACCCAACCCCCGCAAAAAAAGGGTACATGCTTTACAATTCCACTTATATAAATGTTCTAGTGAGTTCAGCGGTTGTCTGGAAAAGGGAGAAAGGTGTATGGGAGGGAGTGATTACAGAGGCACACAAACAAACTTCTTTTGGGGGTCGCGGATATGTTCACTATATCTGGTAAAAGTTTCATGGGTCTCTACATGTGTCAAAACTTAAACTGTACACTTTAAATATGTTGTTTATTAAATGTCAATTTTACCTCAATAAAGCTGTTGAAATAGATAAAACCCTCTTCTGCCTTGGCTTTCCCTACACCATTCTCTTGATTGTCTAATTTAACTCTGTGACAGTATCTTCTCAGACTTCTCTCCTTGCCATCCTTGCAATACTGTTGTTTCCAGAGTCCTGTTCTCAGCCTCCTTTTCACATTATAATCCACACTCTGTTGCAGTGACTTCATCCATGCCCATGACTTCAACTATCATCAATATCTATAGACCAATAACTTTCAAATCTCTTTTGTGCAAGTTTCTCTTTTGAGCTCTACACTTATATTTCCAATTGCCTAATAAATCTACAGATGCTTCAAACTAGACATACACAAAACTGAACTCCTTTTTACTATATACTCTCATTGCACTTTATACTTTGCACTTTGTATTTTCATGACACTAGTTACATTAATAATTACTAGACTGTGCACTTCATGAAGGCAAGGGCCATGTCTTGTTCACCACTATTTCCACAGACATTTTGTAATAGCACATTTTATTAAAATGAATCACCTTTCTCCCTCCCCACCTCCAAAGCTAATTCTCCTACCACAACTGACCCAAACTAGAAAAATAGAAATAATCCTGCCTCCTTCCCTTTCCTTACTCAATGGATACCAGGTCCTATTGATTTCTTTCCTGTAAATCTATCTGAGCACTATTCCCACTTTGTCGTCTTCACTGCTCTACCCTTATCATTTCTCAAATACATGTGTCCCCACCTCCATTCCTGTCTTCTTCAATCTATTACCCACAGTATAGTAGAGTGATGGAGCTACAAATCTGACATTTCTGCCCAATTTGAAATCCTTCAATGGCTCCCTGCTGTCTTCAAACTAAAATCCAAACTCCTCAATACAGTATAATAGTCTGTCCCTCTCCAGCCACATCTGGACACAACAGAATCCTGATCTTCCACTTTCCAAATTAAAGGACCATGCTCTTTAACCTGTCTTTGGGTGTGATAATCGGCTGGCCTGAAATGTTATGTCCTCCCTTAGCCACCTGGTGAACTCATCCCACTGGATTCTGCTCAACTGTACTCTTCTCTGACCTCTCTACTCAGAGTTAATCTGTGTCATTATATGCTCAGAGGCCCTTCTCCGTACCTCTGTTATATTAATATTGTTGTAGTCATTTATATGTCTACTCCAATAGACTGAATTATATTTAATTTGTATTACCAGTATTTGGCACATAATAATACTGACACTTAACAAAACTTAATTAAAAGATTAAATGATTTAGTATATTTACCCACTTAATGGAAGAGGACTTTCTTGAGGTCCCTTCCAGCTCAGTTACTCTAAGATCTCATACAATGTTCCCCTCTGGTTACTACTTTCTCTTCTTCTACATATTCTTCTATTTTATCCTTTAACAACAGCTAGTTTCTTTCAGATGAGCCTTCGAAAGAATGAAACAAAGCACTTTAAAAAGAATTTTTAGCGTGGGCATGGTGGCTCACACCTGTAATCCCAGTACATTGGGAGGCCAAGGTGGGAGGACTGCTCAGGCCCAGGAGTTTGAGACTGGCCTGGGCAACACAGAAAGACTCCGTCTCTATCAAAAACAATTTTTAAAAATTAGCTGGGCATGGTGGCAAGCACCTGTGGTTTGAGCTACTTGGGAGGCTGAGTTAAGACTGCAGTGATCTATGATTGAGCCACTGAACTCCAGCCTGGGCAACAAAGTGAGACCCTGTCTCAAAATAAATTTTAAGAAATAAAATAAAATAAGCATTTAAAAAACACTTTACTATCTCAATTTTGACAAATCAGATTTGACACTGTCTTTATGCTTCTGTATGTCTGCATAATCATCAGGTTCCACCTGAACCACACAACAAAAATGAATTTTGTGTCCCAGATCTCCCACCCATCAAGACACCAACCCCACTGTTATTAATCCAGGATCAATAGCCATACTTCTCTTTCTTGGCACCTCTATCAACTCCCATGCCCATCCCCAAGGACTCTGACAAAGCAAAAGAAAAAGCAAGTGCCAGAGAAAGTAACTGCATAACAAAAGTCAGGTTTACATTATAAAGTCCCTCAACTGGCTGGGCACAGGGGCTCATGCCTATAATCCCAGCACTTTGGGAGGCCGAGGCAGGCGGATCACCTGAGGTAGGGAGTTCAAGACCAGCGTGTCCAACATGGTGAAACCCTGTCTCTACTAAGAATACAAAAATTAGCCAGGCACGGTGACACACATCTGTAATCCCAGCTACTTGGGAGGCATGAGGCAGGAAAATCACTTGAACCTGGGAGGTGGAAGTTGCAGTGAGCAGAGATTGTGCCACTGTGCTCCAGCCTAGGTGACAGAGTGAGACTCTGTCTCAAAAAAAAAAAAAAAAAAAAAAATTAGCTGGGCATGTGGTGCACACCTGTAATCCCAGCTACTTCAGCTACTTGAGAGGCTGAGGCATCACAATCACCTGAACCCAGGAGGCAGAGGTTGCACTCCAGCCTGGGAAATAGAGTGAGATTCTCTCTCAAAAAAAAAAAATTTTTTTTAAGTCCCTCAGTTGCTAGAATACTGTGGATAGTAAGCACAGACAATTCTTTTGGTTGACCCCCTCCCAGCATCCATTTTCTCTTTCTTCCTCCCTAACAGATTTTCTATCCTTCTATCCACTCCTCTCCCATGCAGCCTTGTGTTTTGGGGAAGCCAACCATATCCTCAGGCCAAGGCATAGGTCTGGTTGGCTAAGAATAATTCCACTCATCTTTACCAGTAACTAATTTAGGAAAGGGAATGTAACCCAGTTTTGGTCAATGAAACGCAAGGTTAAGTTTGCTGAAGGCTTCTGGAAAAGTCCTTCGTCACTCTTAAAAAGAAAAGAGCTGTGTGAAGCCAGCATCCGTGTCTCATTCCTTCCCCTCAGCAAATATCAATCCAAATGTAACTATTTTGCATATATTTAAACTAGAAGATTAAGAGTATTTTACTATTTATTTCAAATAGTAATCGGATGATTAAAAAGTCAACAGAAGTGCTAAAACCATGATCAGCCAACATTTACTAGGTAACATGTATGACAAAAGAGCTTTCTTGCCTTTGCTCTCAAAGGGAGAGTTCTGGTGAAACTCAGAGACAACTGGGTATGTACAAGAGAGAGAGAAAATCCAAAAGAGTACTGATCTTGAGAGAGAAGAATAAATGGCAGATGGCAAATTGGTCAAAATATCAAGGAAAAAAATGTGTATCAGTCCTAGTGGCTATAGAAGGTAGTTCTCCTTGCATCCTAAATTCAATCAAATAAATAGTACTCATTTTTTTTTTTTTGAACATGTGAAAGCAAAATGTTAACCTTGAAAAATGAAACTACCCTGACTATTGAGCATTTTTAAAATTCTGAATTTTTCCTCATTCAGGTTTAGGGCAATTTTGACGACAGATCTAAACGCTTTAAACTTTAAAAGCAAAACAGCCTGCAAGATGACAAATCAGACCCTAATCAAGACAACATGGGCGGAGAGGGGGGCTGCCAAAGACAAAGGCCAATTTCTCCTTAGAGTAAACTGCCTTAAAACCTAAAATGATATCACCTCTTGACCTCCAGATCCACAAAGCAGCAAAGAGAAAAGGCCCAAAAGAGCTAAATTTGGGTCTAGCACAGTTAGCGATATAGCGATACAGTACCCTCTATTGGTCTAACTGTATCACTGCTACCCTTTAAAATTTCCTAGAGCAGGCAGGAATAAGAAGCATCCCTCAAGTAGCTATTTTGAGCCCAAAGCAGAAAATCTAGTCACAGGAACACATGTAATTTGTAAGACATGACTCATATATGTTTGATTCCATATGCCCAACATGACCCTTGCTTTCACCATAGGAAAAACTGAGTCTTTCTGTACTTAAACTCTTTCTGAGAATAGCAAGGCAAGAGGCAGGCATAGCAGAAAGGGCCCAAAATTTGAGGTCAGAAAACCAAAGTTCAAATACCAGCTAATTCCACTTTCTAGATGGTCAAATCCATCTGCATTTCTGTTTCCTTATGCGCTAAATAGAAATAATACCTCTCTCTAGGTTATCATGAGATAATGCACATAAAAATACCTTGCACATAATAGGTACTCAATAACACTGGATTAAATATTTATCTAATGTATCACAAACAAAAAGTTACAAAATGATCAAAATTATAGGTTGCGCAAAAAGAACTGTAGGATTTTTGTTGTTGTTGTTCTTGTTTTTAATCCACAAGAAGGAAATGTAGGATTTTCAAGCAAAAATTAAGCAACTTACTGGAGAAGACCAAAGGACTAGGAGTCAGAAGTCCTGGGTCTCTGTTTTGATATTAACCAGTTAAATGACCTTGGGCAGGTCAATTTGAGTCTCAATTTCCTCTCCTGTAAAATGGAAGGACTGAATTAGCTTGAAACTCTATGCTTTTTAGCAGTATCACACAATTAGCAACAGAAATGAATCTAGAATCCAGACCTCCTAGCTCAGTACTACATCAAAATTATCTGTTAAGTTGTCTCACAAAAGAAAAAGTCTTTGGTGAACACGTTGACAGCAGATCAGGAAAATGGATGGAAGGAAAGGTTTCACACTGGGACTGAAAAGAGATGAATAAAGGTGATGAGCTTGATATCTGAAGTAACAGATATAAAATGGTGGAGCACAATGAAAAACTGTGAGGAAAGGCAGGTTACAGACAAAAAGGAGTGGGAATTGAAGATAACCTCAACTATGACTTTCAGAACTGAATTAGGAGAAAATACGAAGAGAAAACTATTAATACACAAATCCAAATGGAAGGAGACCAAGACTTTGGCCACAGGGCAGAGAGAAGGGGGGAAACAAAAGTCATTTTCAGGAAGTGGCAAAATTTACCAGCCAACTAACCCAATAAAAGGATAGCAATAAGCTAAGTCAATTTTTGAAGTTTAACATATTAAAGAACTACAGACGTGGGAAATATGGTTTGAATAATAAGAACAACTCGATGCACTAACAGTTTGTTTTTGTTTTTAAGAAACAGGGTATCCTTATGTTATCCAGACTGGTCTAGAATCCCTAGGCTCAAGAGATACTTCCAAGTAGCTGGGACTACAGGCACAGGGCACTGCACCCAGCTTCGATGTACTAATTTTGTATTTTTAGTAGAGGCGGGGTTTCTCCATGTTGGTCAGGCTGGTCTCGAACTCCTGACCTCGTGATCCGCCTGCCTCAGCAACCCAAAGTGCTGGGATTACAGGCGTAAGCCACCGTGCCCAGCCTTTTATTTATTTATTTTTTTTTTTTTTGAGAGAGAGTTTTACTCTGTCCCCCAGGCTGGAGTGCAATGGTACCATCTGAGCTCACTGCAACCTCCACCTCCCAAGTTCAAGCAATTCTGCCTCAGCCTCCCAAGTAGCCGGGATTACAGCGCCCGCCACCACATCCAGCTAATTTTTTGTATTTTTAGTAAAGACAGGGTTTCATCATGTTGGCCAGGCTAGTCTCGAACTCCTGACCTCAGGTGATCCACCCGCCTCAGCCTCCCAAAGTGCTGGGATTACACAGGTGAGAGCCACCGCGCCCAGCCTCACACATGAATATTAACTAATATTAACTAGAACTGTCCCAAAGATTAAATTTCAGCTGTTGGTAAACTAGCAATTCATAGGCTGTTACTTAAATCTTAGAGCCCCAATTGCCAACAGGTGAAAGTCATACAATATAATTACGTAAACATTACTAGACATGCCAAAATATATGCAGACCCACATTATGTTTGAGTTTAAATGATGGCTCTTAAAAAAGCTTGCTCTTGCTTGTGACTCTCCCAAGCCTCCCTGAACAAACTCACTCCTCTTAAATTCCACTGTTACTTGAACCTCATATGGCATGCCTGGGCAAATTTGATGACTTGGATATTGTTTTAGAAGCCAGGCCTACTGCCAAGTCTGCTGTGTCTACTCCCCTGACCCACCAGGACAGCTTTACACAACACCTTCCTTATTTATGTTACTGCTGTGAGCAAACTACTGCTTACTATCAAATGAGGCTCAACCTACTCAGGTTTCCTATCTTTTAAGAGCAATGTGACTGCCTTCACTATATTATGGCTTCTTCAACCTCACCTCTTATTTAAAACAAAACATTACCATACTGAATTATCTACTACTCAACTAGCAATAATGAGAGGGAAATCAGTGATACAACTCATTAACTTCTCTTAAAAGGTCCCCATTTTATATATCACTATTTATGACTTTCTCTGAAGAAAAAGTAATACTACATTTTCTCACCAAAAATGTCCTTACAATTCCATTTCATTTAAAAAATAAATATAGAGCAAACTTCAAAAGCAGAATTTGGACTATGCCTTCAATAAAAACAAATACAACTTTAGGCAAAGTTTACTGGTTGCCAAAGAAAGGCAAGTCATTATTATAAGTTGATTCTACAGCTTACTTTAAATTATTATCTTGAACGCTTAAGATACAGGCCTTACTTAACCCCCACAACTTCTTGGCTATGTATATAATACCCAAGTTTTAACTTTTATAACACCTAATAAAACTACTACAGTATTACTTCTACTAATAGTTAAGAATATATGCCAAAGTATCCTTTCTGGATTGGCAAATAGGAACACCTAAGAAAGTACAGGAATAGCTCTTGCAATGATGAATGTTTTTAACAAAAACATGACATTGAAATTTTTCCTCGATTTTTCCCCATACTTGCTGAAACACATTTTTTCACTAATCTAAACCACAAAATTCTGCCAGTTACCCCCAGAAGCATCCTTCAACATCAGGAAATGTGTCAAAGAAACAGAGTTGTATTCTTCCAAATGAAATGTTAAAATATTTATTATCGACTCAGTCGTCTAATACATATTCTCACTACATTCAACTCTACAGAAAACGTTGGCCTAAGGTAAGAAAATAAAGCTACTAAGCATCCAAAACCTCCTTTACAGTTCCTAATGGGCTGTACAAACACACCATTAAATTTCTACAAGAAACCAACCAACTTCCTCCTTTTCATACTGATTTAAATATCCAATTATATACTTAAATGTTTGGCAGATCAACCAACTTTCACATTGTACTAAGAACTTAATTCAAGAAAGTGGAAAAATATAATTAAAAGTGTATTACTTTCAGTATTTGATAAAATATAAGAGGTAAGTAACATTTAAAAGACTAGAATTAAACAGATAAAAATGTCTTAAGACCAAATATTCTAACTCATGTAAGGTTTAAATTGCTGAATCTCTCATCTGCCCTAATCTCTTTTTTTCTTCTTTTTAAAATGCTACTGTTTGTAAATGCCCTACTATCTCTCAATGTTTTAATTTAGCATGTGGAGAAGGGTCTAGCAAAGAGAAGGAAGTAAAAACTAGCCTATTCGTGTGTGTGTGCGTGTGTGTGTGTGTGTGTTTTTAAAGAAATGTTGGGGGGGGGGGGTTGCGTGTTTAAAAAAATTTTAGTTACCACCACTTAAATAGGACCAGGACTGTGCTAAGTGCTTTAAATACATTATCTCATTTACACAAGATAAAACAAAAACCTTGACTAAAAATGATCAATAAAAACTGAAAAGTGAGAAAATAAAATTATCTAAGAGACAGTAAATTGGATCACATCTCCAAGCACTAAACAAAGTAAAAACATTGTAGATTAAATTCTAAGACAATTTCTAGGAATAGTTCCTCAACTTGACATATGAAAAAGTTGTGTATTAAAGGATTATCTGAAAAAAATTACACATATCTTATCATCGAGTAAACTTCTTACAAAAATACATATTGTATCTAAGATATTTCTCCCCTTTGAAAAAACAGTAGTAGATAAGATACTACACATAGTATATAGCACATTCCTTCCAGTAACTCTCATTCAGGACTAGAAAGTCAATATTTAGTAATGAACCCTGAGAATGAAACTCTGAATTTGCAAAGTACAGATTATTATAACATCAAACTTAGAGATACACAATCACTACACTAAAATAGAGTACCACAGGCTGCCCTTTATAATGGCAAACAATGTTAATGGAATACATTAAACATGTACCTATTTTAAATTTCCTATTTACTACTGAGGTATATCATCTATTTAGAGCTAGATATTAAGTAAAAGAATGTTAAAAAAAAGTTTAGTTCATTTTTAACTGCAGAAATCAGAGATAGCACTGTCATATTTAAAAAAACAAGGTAGGCTGGTCTGACGGTAGAGAGTTATTATAATGTATTAACATTAGCGTCACTAAAGTTGGTATACAACCCCCCACTACTAAATGTGACTGTCTAAAAAAATAAATAAATAAGAAAGCTGACGACTCTAGGGTCTTAAATTTTCTTTAATGGAAAAAAATCTCAAAATATCTCGCAAACAGTAGTCTTAAAAAGTCAGTCGTCAGTCACAAATGTATACAACATACAACATTATTAAGCGTTATCAAGTCCATCTCACATCATCTAATTAGCACTTTAACAAGCTTGCTTAGGACATTCACTAAATTCAGCCCTTGGCTTGTCCTCACTCTCTATCCACTTACCTCACTATTTTTCAAAAATCTTCTCACTGTATGGAAATTTAGTTGTGATACAAGTACTCCCAAACCTTCAGAGATGTAAAACCACTGCAGCCCCAAATTACCAAGATCTAATTTATGGAACTCATCAATAAAAGCCAAAGAACTGAAACAATTCTCGTCAATTTCCTCTACCACGAAAGAGCAGTGAGCAATGATTCAAAACTTAGGTGTTATTTATTCACTTATTTAACAAAATATAGGGGCTATGTGCAGTGGCTCACACCTGTAATCCCAGCATTTTGGGAAGCCAGAACAGGAGAGCCCAGGAGTTCCAGACTAGCCTGGGCAACATAGTGAGACTTCCATCTCTATTTAAAAATATATATATTGGGCAGGGTGCAGTGGCCCATGCCTGTAATCCCACCACTTTGGGAGGCTGAGGCAGGAGGATCCCTTGAGGTCAGGAGTTCCAGACCAGCCTGGCCAACATGGTGAAACTCTGTCTCTACTAAAAACACAAAACGTAGCCAGCTGTGGCAGCACACCACTGTAATCCCAACTACTCAGGAGGCAGAGGCGGGACAATCGCTTGAACCCCAGAGGTCGAGGCTGCAGTAAGCTGAAATCACGCCACTGCATCCCAGCCTGGGCGACAGGGCGAGACCCTGCCTCAAAAAAGAAAAAATATATATAAAATATATAATAAACATTATATATAATATATAAAATATATATTATATACACTACATATATTATATATAATTATATGCATTTTATATATTATATAGTATATGAGTATATAATGTATATAATACATTATATATTATATATGAAATATACATTATATATGTAAATATATATGTATTTTATATATAATATATGTTATATATTATATATATAGTGCCTACTATGTAAAGGCACTGTGCTAGCTAGGCACTGATAATATAACTGAAAAAGATACAGACACTATCCCCGACCTCAAGGAACTTCCATTCCAGTGAGGAAGAGAATCCAAAAATAAGTTCGGCAAACACACTGATATAACCCAGCAAGGATCTGAATTCTACTAACCATTTTATTCTTATTTTCCACTTTACTGCATATATTATCCTAAAATCATTTCAGTGAATCCACTTTGTTCCTTCAAACTACATACTCATAATTATGCTTAGTAAAATGAAAACTTATTTTGTGAACAAGTAATTCTGAAAACTTAGCTGTGAATATATAACACATCCTCAACAGAATTTCAAAATTAATTGCTATGTGTTCATAGCAGCACTATTCACAATAGCCAAAAGGCAGAAAAAGCCCAAATGTCCATCAATTGGTGAACAAATTGTGTTCCTTTATACACACACACGATGGAATATTATTCAGCCATAGAAAGGAATGAGGTAGTCCGACACAAAAGGTCACATATTATATTATCCTATTTATATAAAATATCTAGAAGAGGTACCATAGAGACAGATCCCAGACTGGTGGCTACTAGGGGTTGGGAGGAGGGAAGGAAAAATATGGGGCAACTGTTTAATGGGTACTGAGTTTTCTTTTGGATGAAGAAAATGTTTTAGAAGTAGACAGAAGCAGTAGCTGCACAACACTGAATGCACTCAATTGTTCACTTTAAGAAGGTTTGTTTTTTCATATGTATTTTGCCTTAATATTAAAAAAACTTTAAAAAAAATTACCTGCTTAAAATATTTTAAAGTGGACTTTATGTGACAAATAAAACTGCTGATGTTTACCTTTTGAAATTTCAGTTATAAATCAAGTTACAGATAACTCCTTTTAGACCTATTTTAATATCAAAATGGCTTTTGCGTATGGTAAAGATCATTAAAAATTTTTTCATAGCTTTGAAATGTTATTCAGTATTTTGGTTGTATATACAATTCCTACTTATGTAGTCACACAATTCCTTTATTATTCATATGTTTGGTTAACACCCTTATCGATCATATATTTGTATATATGCTCTAATCAAGTTTGTGCCCAATAAAATCTGCTGACATCATCAACTGTTTATCTCTTTTACAATAAAAATACTCAAACAAGCTGTTTTTCTTTCAAGTCCCGATAATCTAGATACAATTCAATGCTACACTCTCCACAAATGCCACTTTTCCTGTTTCTTCCTCTACTATAAAATGCATCACCATTCACAGACTTCCTAGTAGTACAGTTATTACTTGGACTATGTGTCTCCTCCAACTATTTCCCAAACTCCTTGAAAAGCCTCAGTCCTCTGCCTCATCATAACACTACAGGGTCCGTAAGAGTGGTTCGACGTAATAGGTGCTCAAATTATGTTAATGGAATTGAAAATAAACGCAGCCAACACATAACTATTATAAATTATGTACTACAGTGAAAAAGACATCTAGCATATGAAGACTAAAAGGACCGATAAAATAAGTACCGCCTAGAGAATCCTCATGCCTCACGTTCAGGTATGTTTTTTCAATGCAACTCTACAGAACAGTCTACTGAACATCAAACATGAACATTAAGAAATTCACCTCATACCAGGCAAGAAAAAATAGGGATTACTCTTATCCATTTCCTTTTTGAAGTTCGTATGCATATGTAACAGGGAAACTGAACTTAATGAACCACAGTATTCCAAACCAGGTCACAAAAGAGCTCTAAGTCCCCAGTCATCCTGTTTCTATTTCCTGATTGGTCTGACCTGCAAGCATGATGGTGCCCAGCTTTCCCAATTCAAGATTTCCTTTAAAATATCTTCCAAGGAGAGATTTTTCTTTAAATAAAAATCGACTTCTAGAACTTTCTAGGAAAATTATGAAAAAAGCAACCCACTATTAAAAAAAAAATCTTCCGGAACACTTTATTCAAGTAAGGAAATCCAGTTTCCAGAAAAGTCCCGTTACAGTTACACTTCGAATTAATTGTGGGTCATAAACTTGCACGAGTGGACGTTAACTCGAAAGCATTACTCTTCTAGCAAAGTAGACTTAAAAAAACACGTGCCTGATTTTTAGAGGGGTCCTACCGTTGAAAAATAAGCATCTTTCAAACTAAAATTTCAAGAAACGACCTAGAATAGATGAAAAACCCAGTGCGCTAACAATTCACAGGGACAACATTTTCCTTGCAACACACTGGCAAAGCAACGACAACCAGACGCCACTTGGGCAGCAGCCCGGACCCTGGGCCTCCAAACCCCGATCGTCCCGGAGTCGAGTTCCCCACTAGTTTGCTTCCAGCCAAGCCCGCCACCACTTCCACGTCGCAGCGACCCACACGCCTCCTCAGCGATTTAAATCCGTTTTTAACTCACCACACACACGCGCGCGCACACACACACACAGGGTTATCGGTCTCCGGTCATCCAAGGGAACAGGGAGGGAGCGAGAGATCCTGCGAGCGAGAAGCGGGGTCGCTCCACGGTCCCGCCTGGCCCGGCACCCACCTGCAGGCCGCGAGCCCGGGGGCGGCGGCGCCGGCGCCCCGTCCTCGCCAAAGACGAGTTTGAAGTCGAGCTCGTCGTGGGCGCCACAGTTTGCAGTAGTCATCGGCGTGGCCCAGGGTGCTGCAGCTCCTCCTCAGGCGGCGGCGGCGGCAGCGGCAAGCGGCGGCAGCAGCTCCTCAACGCCGCTTCATGCCGGGCCGCGCGGGCCAAGAGGTCGCGACTCCACGGCAAACTTTCCGGGCGGGGCCCGCGACGCCGAGCGTTCCGTTCCGAAAGCTGGCCGCGCGCCGAGCAGCACCAGGAACCGCAGCCGCCCGCCACCGGTGCCTAAGCCTCCACTGTCGGCTTAGCCAATGTTCCCCGCCGCCCCCCCACAGTCGCCGCCACCGCCGCCGCGGGTGCGCTCTCGCGCCCTGCCGCGCGCCCGGCCCCGCCCCCTACGCGCGCCCACCCTGCCTGGCTGCCGATTGGCCACTAACACGGCGAACAGGCGCCGGGCCCCGCCCCCTCACAGGCCTATCGCGTAACTCGGTCTCCGCGAGAAGGAAGGAAGTCACGTGAACACGCAGGCGCCCCCCCCCCCCCCCCCGCAGAGCCCAGCTACCTCTCGGGAATTGTAGTTTGGCCTGTATTCCCCCGGCGATTCCTTCTAAACCAGACGAGAGAAGGCCGTTAGCCTCTCTAATTGGATAGGGGACCACCACCGGCCAATGCAGAAGACCCTTCTCCTCATTGGGCGGAGCTCATGTCGAGGAAGGGGTGCTGAAGCACTGAGGTTCTGGGTTCGGTGATGTGGGGGCGCATCGTGTTACTCCTGATGGCTGGCTCTAGGGAAGGCATCAGGGCCCCTCAGAGTTACCTGGACGCCGCCCACATCCTCATCCCCCCACCTCAACTTTAATGGCTGAGTCTCCAGAGGGCAGGGACCGGACCGAGAGTCCAGCTAGGTTGGGGTGGAACCGAAGGAGACAGATTGCGCGACAAGTCCGGACTCTGAGCTCGCGGTCGCCGCAGGCCCACCCTCTGCGGGGCGGAGCTTTCGCCCCGGTGGCTGCGCCTTTGTCCCCACTAGCGGGCCCCCGCAGCTGCTCCCTTGACAGCATGCGCGTTTGAGGCCTCAGCGAACCCCAATGGGCAGGGCCTGTCCCTTGCTGGAAGTTGAGTAGATTGAGCGGGAAAGCCCGTTGTGAGCTCGTGCCAATCACAGCTCTGTGCTCTCTGCATCCTGCTGCATATCCATGAAAGCGGGAGGGATGGAGCCGCCTAAATTGGGTGGCTGGCAGTGGAGAGGAAGTGACACTGCCTAAAGAACCGTTTTCGTGATCTGCCCCTCCCGAGCAAGCTAGCCTTCCCGAGATGGCCCAAGACGCCTCCTCCTGGGGTCTGGGGTGAAGGCCGTCCTTGGGGACTGGGAGCCTGGCTTGTTTACCTAAGGCTCCGCTGAGGCGCAAGGTGGACAGGGACGTGAGAGAAGTAGGGTGACCGCCTCCCCTAGCTCCGTGCCCCGGGCATAGGGCCCACAGGGCATAGCATCCCTAGATGCGCGTTGCTGGAGGAACCCAGGGCACTGTCAGAGGCTTGGGTGCAGGTGCGCCCAAAAATGCTGCCCTCTCAGAGGCTACAATAGGTTAAAAAAAAAGAGAGAAAAAAAAAAAAGAAATGCCGCTCTCGCAAGGCCTACAGCACATTCCACACCGCCCACAAAGGCCAGTGGGAAGAGAGGGTAAAGGGAAGCTCTTTGCCGAGGTCTCAATGTCTGGACTGACACTTGAGCTACCAGGGAGCCCTAGAGGGAGCCAAACTAGACCTTGGGTCAGGAAGACAGGGAATGTCCAGGGCATCCAAGACGTTCATCTTGTATTGCTTCATTTCTGCCCAGTGTTTTGTACCGGTACCTGTGCTGTTCCTGGGGATTCAGAGATAAAGTCTCCCTTCAGGGGTAGGGGAGAGGGGACCAGCAAATCTATAATTACTGTACAAAGAGATGAGGGTTGTGCCAGGAGCTCAGAGACAGTTCATAAGCCTGCTAGCTGCAGGGCCTTGACAGGGGTTAGTAGGAACCGGAGTGACAGACAAGAAGTGAGCAAGTTTCATTCCAGGCAGAGAACAGATTTCCAAAGACTTGATAACCATAAAGTAACCTGCAGTGGGCAGAAGCCTAAGGTGGGGCCGGATGAGTGGGCAGAATGCTGCAGGCCACTGCAAAGTGTCTGGACTTTATCCTGACGGCAGTAGGGAGCAGTGGAAGGACTTAGAGCAGGGGATTTACATGGTCAGAATTCTGGATGGATCACTAGATTCAACTGGGACAGGGGTGAATGAAGTCAGAGGGAGAAGATAATGTGGTCAAGGAGAGGGAACAACTGGCATTAGACGGGTGGACTATCCTTCCCAATAACCTGTCCTGCCTGCAAATCTCCAACCTTGAGGGCCTGAGTGTGGAACTTGGGGCCCAAATGCCACATCAGCTCTAGAGCCCTCTGCCTCAGGCAGGTTGCTGGCCCACCTATTTGTACCACATGTAACAGGATCCTGATACAGTATAAGGTCCCAGAGGCTTGGCCAGCTCATCTGAAGTCCCTCCAGACATGACTTCACCTAAATCATGGGATCAGCCATAGTCAGACCAGACAGCAGGCAGGAGGGAGACCCTGGGCTGGTCAGCCCCTCCACTGGGAAGGGACCACAGAGAAGCTGTAGATGGCTTGAAAAATTCAACCACTCATCAAATGCTCAGCTATGCATCTGTCTTCCCAGCCACTGAGCACCTGGAGAACACTTAGAACAGATTACATTGTAGGGAGGGTTTCTGATCTCACCAAGGAATGGTGAGGGCTGGGACAGGGATGGGCACCAACTGCAGGAAGAGAGTCACCATGTGTGTAAGAAAGTCAGCAACGGCTGGGAACTCTGCAGCCTGTGAAGGGGCCTGACCACACACATACACCGATATGTACATACTCTTTCAGCCCTTTGCCCCAGCTAGGGCCAGTATGTACCCCCATGAGCTCTTCTTCAGGCAGTTCCAAAGCTCCTGCAGGTCATCTGGACCCACCTTCAGCCCTCTGAGAGCCCTGTGAAACCAGGAGGCCCACAGGACCAGTGCAGTAGGTGGAACCCCAGGGTGGACAAGGGCTATGTGGGTCACTGTACAACCACTCTCTCCTGTATGAATGCCACCCAAGACTGGGAATTAGGGAAAGCCATCATTATCATCAGCTGCCACAGGACTGTTCCCAAGCACCCATTGTTGAAGTTCTTCAGTGCCCTCTGAGCCATGGGATGGTACAGTTTAGCCTGCCCCAGTCCCTTGTTCCCCATTAGGCAAAACAGGAGCCTCTGAGGAAATTCAGAGTTTAGAAAAGTTCTTCCTCTCCATGCCAAACATCCCCCTCATCCCAAGCTCTGGTTTGATTCTTCTGTGCCTGCTCCCCAGACCCATGCCAAGGTAGCCACAGGGGACACAAGGACTGCCCTTGAGCAGCTCCCAATCTGGGAGGAGAGGATAAGACCAGCCAACTACAATCTCAGAAAGTTAGTTGCTGAAGTCAGCACAGGGTGCTGAGAAGACAGGGTCAGCACTTTGTCCTCAAATGCCAGGCTGAGGAGTTTGGACTTGGTCCAGAGAGCAGACTTAAGAGACCCATGGAAGAGTTCTGAGCAGAGTAAACTGGAAGGACCCAAGTATCCAGAACTGAGGGTGGAAGAGATTCTTTGCACACAGCCCAGTCTTCTTGCTGTGGCCTTTGAGAGACCTGCCACCCTCTCCAGCCTTACTCATCCCTTCCTCTCATGCTCATATCAAAACCATTTGTCCCCCAAATGTGATGATCTAAGGGGAAATCCTCAATCAGGCTGGCTGGAATGGATGGATAAGTGTTGTGGCTACTAGCCCAGGGAGAGGTTTGGGAGTCTAAGTGGCCCAGTTTAAGGTGGACATGGTGAGAACAATGGGCAGAGCTTTCAGGCCTGACTGTCCCCCTCCACCCCCCAGTCAGTCCCATCCTTGGGCAGGTCACTTTGAGACCAGGAAAGGCAACACTGAGGTATGCTAAAGTGAGATCATTTGAGGATTAACATATCCAACCAGGATCTCTGCCAGACATCCTCAGTCACAGAATATATAGTAGACCCACCCCACCTTCCTCCCCTGTAAAGGATTCTCTCCCCAGTGCTTCCCAGGGCCCTCAAAGCCCCCACATTACAGCCTCTATCTTAATAGCAGACCTGAATCCCTGCCTCTCCTTCCCCAGAGCCCAGAAATGAACCTGACCCTGCCAGAGGAGGGGCTTCCCCCAGGGAAACCATACTGGTGGGAGAAGTGGCCTGAGATCAAAGCCCAGTTCCACTGGGGAGGTAGGTCTTAGGACTCAGTGACTTGGTGGGGGCGGGCAGCACTGCAGCCTCTGTCTGACCAGTTCCAGTTGGAGTATAAGAAAAGGCAAAGGGGGCATTTTTGTTTTTTGTTGTTGTTTTTTTGAGACAGGGTCTTGCTCTGTTGCCCAGGCTGAAACACAGTAGTGCCATCATGGCTCACTGCAGCTTCAACCTCCTGGGCTCAAGTGATCCACCCACCTCAGCCTCCTGAGTAGCTAGGACTATAGGCACGTGCCACCACACCCGGCTAATTTTTTTTTTTTTTCGAGACAGAGTCTCACTTTGTCGCCCAGGCTGGAGTGCAGTGGCATGATCTTGGCTCACTGCAAGCTCCGCCTCCCGGGTTCATGCCATTCTCCTGCCTCAGTCTCCCAAGTAGCTGGGATTACAGGTGCCCGCCAACAGGCCCAGCTAATTTTTTGTAATTTTAGTAGAGACAGGGTTTCACCATGTTAGCCAGGATGGTCTTGATCTCCTGACCTCGTGATCCGCCCATCTCGGCCTCCCAAAGTGCTGGGATTACAGGCGTAAGGCACCGCACCCGGCCACACCTGGCTAATTTTTATATTTTTTTGTAGACAGGGTTTTGGCACATTGCCCAGCAGGCTGGTCTTGAACTCCCAAGCTCAAGTGATCTACCCACCTCGGCCTCCCAAAGTGCTGGGATTACAGGTGTGAGCCACCATACCCAGCCAAAGGAGGCATTTTGATTGAGATTGTTTTTAGTACGAAAAATCAGAAATAGGCCAGGCGCAGTAGCTCATGCCTGTAATCCCAGCACTTTGGGAGGGTGAGGCGGGAGGACTGCTTGAGGCCAAGCATTCAAGATCAACCTGGCCAACATAGCAAGACTCTATCTCTATGAAAAAAAAAAAGAAGAAAAATCAGAAATAAATTGTGCCTAAAGCTTGGTGGCTGAGACTGGACCAAGCCTCAGTCTTTCTCCTGAGTGGAGCCCTTTCTCGGGGAGCACTGGTCTGGGAAGTCAGTTAGGGCAGCCTGGCATGGAATGACCCCATTAACCATGCAGAGTCCTATCAAAGGGCCAGCCTACTGTCCTCCAGCCAGCCTCACACAGGCAGAGGACAGCGGATCCCCTCTAAGAGGAGGGCCCTCAGGACAGAGAGGACTAGAAGTGAGTTGCCCAAGGTCAAACAGCAATGAGCTCTGGGAGGCAGTGGGTAGTGCGGTATCCTTATCTGCACACAGAAAAGCAAGCGTGGGTGGCAGGGGGGAGGGGGGCGGTGCTGGAACTGAGACAGAGGCCTCACCCACCAAACCCTAGACTCAGAGGCCAGCAGGGCCAGAGGCTGCTGGCTGGCACAGGTGCCTGACCCTGTGTTAAAGTTGCCACAAAACAGTAAAGCTCTGACACAGGGGAGATGTGGGAAATACAGCTTTGACCCAGAGGGGACTCCTCCCCTCCCCACTCCCCAATGGAGCCTGGAAAAAGGGAGGAGAAGCAGCATGTTTACAGCTGAGGAAGCGGGGGCAGGACAGGGCAGGGACCTTTGGTCAGAACGCCCCTCCCAGTAAGCGGGGGAGGCCCCATGAGATGCGGTAGCCGTTTGTTTGCTTCTCACTGCCAGGAGGAAATTAAAGAGAATCTGCCACTTCCTTCCGCCCCAAGTGGGATGAGGAAGGCGGGGGACGGGAGGGACTGTGTGGTGTGATCTGCCAAACATAAGGGCCCCAAATTGCTGTCATCAGCCGCCTCCAGTGCCCCACTGTCCAAAGCAGGCACCTCATCAGGTCTGAGACTCCAGGCAGCTGTCAGGCTTGGAGACTCTGGGGATCAGACCAACACTCCCCACCCCACTGGACTAGTCCCTTACTGCAGCACCAGTTACCCTAGTCTTTCTTCCAGATTCCATATCACCTCTCATCAGGACATACAATTGATGCCCAGTGTGTCAGGTGTACCATCAGTAGAATGGGCTTCTTGGGCCTTCCTAACTTGGCCCAAGTCCAGTGATACCCCATTCCCCACCTCTACCAGACCCACAGAGATGGGCAGGAGATCCACTTTGGAAAGCTCAAGCTCTGCACAGAGGGTGGGAGTAGAATCATGCCAGGACACAAGCCCATTTATGAAGATGCCCAAGGCTGAAGCAGCCAGCCGTGGGTGAGGGTAGGGGGTGTCTTTATTGCACAGTACCAATGTCAGGTTGGGGAGTTACCACCTGAAAAGCTCCTGTTTTCAAAGAGAACTTGACCCTGTCACTCAGATCCACCAAAGGGGCCAGGATCCACCCCTGGGCGGCCCCTGGTCCATGCTCTAGGCTGATGGCCCCTGCCAGGACATCTAACTTCTGCCAGGCAAGACCAGCAAACTGTTCAACGGCATCTGGTTCATGCTGTGGCATCCACAGCCACCTTAGCACCAGGCCCATGGAGGGGTGACTAAGGCAGGAAGAGTAGTCACCAGCCTTCCAGGGGGCTTTCTTCACCACTTCCCAAGGCCACAAAGGGCTTCTTGCACAGATCCCCAGGTTGTGCTAGCTCCTGAGCTCTGGGGCCCCCAGGGTCTTGGTCAGGAGCCTCCCTCTTTCGCTTGTGCAAGGAAGGGCTCTCCTCACCCAGCCGACCCTCAGGGAGGCCCTGGCTCCGCAGACAGACGATGGCTGCAGCCTGCTCCGCCAGTTTCTTGGACTTGTCCCTGAGCAGACAGAGGGCAATAAGGTGAGGGGCAGGGTGCAGGGCTATGAGGCCTGACTCTACACATCCTTGGCAGATTCTGACAAGACTGAGTAAGGGGTCACCATCCAGGGATGCCACTGCCCACATATACCATCTACCCAACCCTCCTAGGACAATGCTGGATGTGTGGGCAGAATGCCCACTCTCCGCCCCACCCCAAGCCTCCTCTCCTATGATAAGGAAACTTACCACAAGGTAGACTGATACTTTTGTTCAGCAACGGTGACAATAGAGGAGAACAGGCGATCTAGAGGGCGTTGAACCTGATACAAAGAGAAAAGGAATCACATGGCCAGAGAAATGAGCCCTGTAGGCCAAACTGCTGGGGTCAAATCAAAGGCAGATAAAAGGAAGTGTTTCCAACCTAAGTCAAATGAAGGCTGCCTGTATCACATGCTCCTCCCAAGCAAAAGTGCCCAGTGGAGAAAGGCACAAATACACAATGACCTCAAGTGTCTGGAGCTGTCACAGACCTAAGCAAAGCGCAGCAGAGCCCTTAGCTGCACATGACTATGGAGCCTCCTGCTGACATCTGGATAGGCCAGGTCCCCAAAATGAGGAGTCACCAGATGCCAAAAGGGTGAGAAGGGACAAGCTAGGAGCAGAGAAGGCACACGTGGCAGAGGGACCAGGTGACTTGGCTGGAGCAAAGGGCTGCAGGGATGAAACTGGAAGGAGCGAGGCACATGGAAGGGTCTCAGGCTCTATGCTGAGGTGCTGGCTTGATCCTTCAGATACTGGGGAGCTGCTGACTTGAGGAGACAGAAGTTAGATTTGTTCTGGAAAAGTCACTGTGGTGGGGGTGGGGGGGAGTGGGGACACAGACACAACCCCCAGAAGGTATAAGCCTTGAGGCCAGAAGACCAGTCCAGATGAGGCAGAGCAGCCTAAGGAAGGCATGGCTGCAAGGACCAAAGGAAGTGAAGCAAGCCTATCTCATGGTTTCCACCCCAGGGGCACCACATCTGGGGCTCAATTCTGTGCCCCATTGGCTGAGGCTTGATCCAAAAACATGTCTGGGCCAAGTGCGGTGGCTCACGCCTGTAATCCTAGCACTTTGGGAGGCCGAGGTCGGGGGATCATCTGAGGTCAGGAGTTCGAGACCAGCCTGGTGAAGATGGTGAAACCCCATCCCTACTGAAAATACAAAAAAGTTAGCCAGGTGTGGTGGTACCCACCTGTAATCCCAGCTACTCAGGAGGCTGACACAGGAGAATCACTTGAACCTGGAGGCGGAGGTTGCAGTGAGCCAAGATCATGCCACTGCACTGCAGCCTAGGCAACAGAGCGAGACTCCGTCTCAAAAAATAAATAAATAATTAAATAATTAAATAAAATTTTTAAAAAAGGCTCATGACCTATAATCCCAGCACTTTGGGAGGCTGAGGAAGGAGGACCACTTGAGCACAGGAGTTTGAGACCAGCCTGCCTGGACAACAAAGCAAGACCCCATTTATTTATTTATTTATTTATTTTGAGACAGGCTGGAGTGCAGTGGCATGATCTCAGCTAACTGCAACCTCTGCCTCCAGGTTTAAGCAGTTCTCTGCCTCAGCCTCCCAAGTAGCTGGGATTACAGGCGCCCACCACCATGTCCAGCTAATTTTTGTATTTTTAGGAAAACGGGGTTTCACCATCTTAGCCAGGCTGGTCTTGAACTCCTGACCTCGTGTTCCACCTGCCTCGGCCTCCCAAAGTTGTGGGATTACAGGCATGAGCCACCGTGCCCGGCTGAGACCACATTTCTAAAAAATAAAAAATAAAAATTAGACTCTGTTTCAAAAAAAAAAAAAAGAGAGATGTCTGGCTGAACTGGACAACAGGCCACTGTAAGAGGGGAGGGCTATCAGCAACTGACCTGGCCACCAGCAGCTTCTCCATGCCTACAGAGGTCAAGGCCAGGCTCCAGCCTGGCAATCTAGAGTTGAGGGTGTAAGCCATGGGAGTGCTGTGACTGGCTGCAGGGCAGGCCACAGCCAGGAACTCACCGTTTCATACACAGGCTGTGCCAACTTCTCCCTCCGGCACCACTCTAGTAGGCACATCTTAGGGGTGATCTGGGCTGGGTATGCTCTCCTGGGGAAAGGAAGGGAAGCAGTTGGGGTCACCCACCATCACCGCTCCCTCCCTCAGCCAGGGCACTACTCAGCTCCTGAAAGGAGCTGCAGAAATGAGAGGAACTGAGACACCGAGCTGCTGCCTTAAGGCTTCTGTACTTGCTCCCCTAGGCTCCCATTCTTGTCCTACCAGCAGCTTGGACCTGGGTTCTCCCTAAAGGGAAGATGAATTTTGGCATGCTCAAGAAATTGTAAGGGAAGGGGGAATGAACTCCCAGTACTCTGAGGTCCAGACTGGAAAAACAATGTTCAACATCCAAGAAGGAAGCTTGCCACTCAAGACAAGATTAGTAGGGAGTGGGTGGAGGTGGGCAATGGAGGTAGCCAGACAATGGTCTCGGGGATCTAGCTCAGCGCCCATCCTGATTCCGCCTGCCAAGTGTCATGATCATCTGCTGCAGCCATGGACACTTGGAATCTGGTTTCAGAGTCAGCCTGTGACAGGGTGACACAGTGACAGGGTGGGAGGGGTCATATTCCAACTTCCCAACTGGAACTCTCCCTGGCATCTGACTGCCCAACAGCTATTCCCCACCACCCTGCTCCCCCTCTCCACACCTCTGCCAGACAAGACTGGCTCCTGTCTGGTCCTGGGGACTGGAGAAAGGCTCAGATCCCAGAGGAGGGCACCATTCAAAGCTGAGTCACAATCTGAGGCGTAAGCAGCTTGAGAGAGCACCACAGAGCTGGTGAGGGGCACTGGGTGTGGGTAGGGGCTGCAGAGCCAAATGAGGGCTAGGGTCCTGCTGTTGTTTGAGGAGCTTCATGCCAGGAGCCAGTTCCTCAGGGCCTTGGAAAAGCACAGACTTTCAGGAACAGGAGACAAGTCCCCCCTGCCCTGAGTTGTGGGAGGCGGTAAATCAGGGAAAAAGTAGAGTTCAGTTATCCTTGGGACAGCCTTTCAGGGACTATCTCCCCTGAAAGCACCTTCTATGGGATGCTGAAAATTTAGAACGAGTTTCCAAACCAACAAGACCTGTGGTCCCTACGTTTGACATTAAGCACATACAGCAGCCAGTGTGCTGGCCCAGTGGGACCCCAAGGGTGCTGGCCCTAGCCCAAGCTGAGGCCAAGCTGGAGACCTACCGGTCAAACTTGACAGCCATCTTAATGACACCAGAGGTATCTTCAGCTGGCTCCCCTGTCTGCTCTGAAGTCTTGGCTGAGAGCCTGGCCTGCTGGGCATCCAGCTCCTGTGTGGTCTCCTCATAGAAGGCACCAAGGCCAAAGGCCTCACTAGGGAGGAAGAAGCAGATCAGAGCAAACACTTTAGCGGAGCCAGCATCCAGGGTACTGCAGGACCCCAGGGCCCCACCACTGAGAAACTCCTCTACCACATACACCAAAACACCACCGGGGCCTGGCCATCAGAATGTGCCCCCTGCCCAGCCCTGGGATTACTGTGGACTGGAAGATGGAAAGTGAATGTGAACCCAAGCGTGGACACTGGAGGGAGGCTGGGCTGGGTGGCAAAGGTTGTAAAGGTCACCCCCACCACCTGCAGCCTCTCTCCTGAGGGGAAGCACACAGATGGTATCCCCAGCCAGCCGTGACTGAGTTAACCAATGCTGATCAAGCACATGGGCCCATGGGAGGAAGAGACAGAGGCCTGACCACTAAGTGGTTCCCCACTTCCCGCCCAGCCACAGGCAGTTATACATGGGTCTCAGCTGACACTGAGGCACCACCCAGAGCTACAGAGTTATGTGGGGTAGGGACTGAACCAATGCCATAAGCCAAGGGTGGGAAGAGGGCTCTGGCAAAGGTTTTTCCCTTCTAGGAAACATCTTGAAGGCTGGAAGACTCAAACGAAGATAGATCCCCAATGGCAAAAGTGGTTCAGAAAGGCATCTATGTAAGAGGGAGGCTACAGATAGCTCACGTGAGAGGGAGAGAGCCTTCCAGGCAGACGACCCATTACAAGCACAGGTGTGGAGTTCTGGAAGCAGACAGGTAGACAGGGAGCTGTGGGGGCAGTGGCTAGGCCAGCTTGTGAAGGGCCTCAACTGTCAACCATCTGAGCTAGAGCTGCACCTGATCTAGAGAATCAACAGGTGGTCTCTCAAACTGCAGGGTGATGGATGTGAGTGCAGGCTCAAGGTAGAGGCTCCATGCTACAGCCCAATTCTCCTGACCACTGGTTCCTGGGGGCCTGGCCTGTGACTATCCCATTTATGGAAAATCCCCTTCCTTTGCATTCCTCTATCCTTCTAGTACCCTAGTTCCCAGAGCTCTGCTGATCCGTCCAGGGATGGGACGTTTCAAAGCTTTCAAAGAATCCCCTCCTGGGAGGCAAAGCTGTACCATCACTCCACTCCTCTACATCTACATCCAGAAGCTGTGTCCCTGGTCCCCTGGTGGAGTCAGCTTAGGGCTCAAAGTCAAACTTGGGCAATGCGTACAAGGACAGATGGACATCTTATTGTGCCTCTTACCAAATTTCCCGGGAAGACTGGGCAGCATGGAGCAACCTTCCCTGGGGCGACTCCAGCTGTTCTCGTAGCATCTGGCACAAGCAGTACTTGGTGTTGGTGTAGTGGTTGTCATACTGCACCGCCTGAGAAAAGAAATGACTTGCCTGATGCCCAGGCAGGCTCTAAGGCCTGGGCTATGCTCTGATGGCAGGGAAAGGAGCTCCAAGAAGGCACCAGAGATGTATGTGTAGCCAAGGCAATGTGACCCCCATAAGAAGAACCACCACTGGCCAGGAGCAGTGGCTCACATCTGTAATCCCAGCACTCTGAGAGGCCAATGCAGGAGGACTGCTTGAGGCTAGGAGTTCAAGAGCAGCCTGGGCAACGTAAGACTCAACTCTACAAAAATTAAAAAAAAGAAAATTATCGGCTGGGCACGGTGGCTCACGCCTGTAATCACAGCACCTTGGGAGGCCAAGGCGGGCGGATCACCTGAGGTCAGGAGTTCAAGACCAGCCTGACCAACATGGTGAAGCCCCGTCTCTACTAAAAATACAAAATTAGCTGGGCGTGGTGGCGGGTGCCTGTAATCCCAGCTACTCGGGAGGCTGAGGCAAGAGAATCGCTTGAACCCTGGAGGCGAAGGTTGCGGTGAGCCAAGATCGTGCCACTGCACTCCAGCCTGGGCGACAACAGCAAAACTCTGTCTCAAAAAAAAAAAAAAAAAGAAAAAGAAAATTAGCCAGGCATGTTGGCACACACCTGTAGCCATAGCTACTAGGGAGGCTAAGGCAAGAGGATTGCTTGCACCCAGGAGTTGTGGCTGTAGTGAGCTATGATCATGCCACTGCACTCCAGCCTGGGCAACAGACTGAGACCCTATCTAAAATTAAAAATAAAAATAAAAATAAATTAAAAAGCCACTTCGACCTTGGTCATCTACTCTTCCAGCTAGTGGTACAAAGCTTGAGGGTCACAGCCAAGGACCACGGTCAGAAACACATTCTCCTGGACAGCCTGACTGAGGTCTCGAAGTGCGGGAGCCCCTTCCTGCTTCAGCCACCACAGAGGACCTACTGCCAAGTATCTTCCAGGGAAGGGAGGGGAAACACACCAAATTCTGGCATGGCAGGTCCAGTGCCAGGAAAGGGGTGAGATTCTTCTATTCCTTCTAACCAGAATGGGCACCTTCCCTTCCCACATCTTGAATAGCCTCTAACTTCCCCCTACGTGGGTAAAACACAGCATCATTTAGTTCACATGGGTTACTCATGACTACATTTATCTATACAAGTGTGAGGTGCAACTGTCACCATCACTCCACAGACCGTGAAATGAAGGCTCAGGGAGGCAAGATGACTGACTGCCTGGGACACCCAGTGGAAGTCGGCTGGCTAGAGGTAGGGCAGGAGAGCAGTATTGGGTGAAGGTGGCCTTCCCCAGCCCTCCAGGACACCCTCCCATCCCCCACCCCCTATGCTGCTCTAGTAACTCCACGTGGGCCTATGACTTCAGTGGCTGGGAAAGTGCCACGGCACGCTCAGGACAAAGTGGGAAGTAAGTCGGGGCGCCCCGGCTGGTGGCAAGTCCTTGACTCAGCTTGTCTGGGAAGAAGGCACCTGGCTGGACCAGAAGCAGCCCTGCCTATGCTTGAAAGCCGCTCCCTTTCTCTGTGATAGCACACCCTCTTGAGGAGCTGCCAAGAGATGGCTCAGCAGGAATGATAATATCACCTTTCACCCAGTGAGCAAGCTCAGCACTGTTCAGCACGTCTTCTTGGCCAGACTTGCCAGCTGGCCAAAAAGCTGGATAGCTGACCTGGGCTGGGGCAAGCCCTCCCTTGCCATGGAGCTATCCCAGACCATTGGAGAGCTGGTGGTCACCAACTTGCCCAGCAGGACACCAGAACCAGGGAGTGAGGGCTGCAGCATTGAACAGGAAATAGGACAAAGGCTGCCCAGCTCTGGACGCAGACCTCAGGGCATCTTACCATCCTAGCTTGCACAGCCATGGAAACACTCACATACCATGGCAGCCACAGGCACTCCTAGGCAGGTATGAACCCTAGGACTGAAGAGGAGGGTGGAACTCTGCTCTGGGCAAAGACTGCACCCTCTGTTCAGACCCAATTCACTGAAGAATTTGAGGACCACTCACTGTCTCTCCCTGCAGACATGTGCAGCTGATCAGAGTCCCACAGAGTTCCAGGGTTGTGCCAAAGAGATAAGGCAAGTGAACTCTTCATTTTCTTTTATAGGGATATGCCCTTGGCACTACCATCAACCTCTCAATGAGAAGAAACTGGTTTAGAAAAGGCCATTCCCAGCCTGGGCAACATAGGGAGACCTCATCTCTATTAAAAAAATAAAAAATTAGCTGAGTGTTGTGGCACATGCCTGTAGTCCCAACTACTTGGGAGGCTGAAGCAGGAGGATCACTTGAGCCCAGGAGGTCAAGACTGCAGTGAGTCATGATTATGCCACTATGCTCACACCTGGGCAACAGAGCAAGACCCCATCTCAAAAAAAAAAAAAAAAAGCTATTCCCTAAGTAGAGGGTTATGCTTAAAGCATTCTGGAATTAGCAAGAGAAAAGTTTTAGAAATTATTTCGACTGATGAGTCAAATCAGGTGAGAAATTTCTCAATTGCTCCTCTTGGCTGTGGCTGCTCCTGAGCCAACCTATAGGCACATATGCCTTTGATGATGCAGAACCCACAGTCCACGTGCATATGCCTCTGTATGTGCAGCGTGTGAGAAAAAGAAAGATATATATCATGTGTTCGGGGTTCCAACAGCATCCTGGATCTAGAAGGTTCTTGCTATGACCTGCAAACCTCTGGAAGCTTTAGGAGATGGTAGGGGTATGCCCCCCAGCATCCTCTCTTAGCATTGCAGCTGGGGAGACCGAATAAAGCAGTGAGCTAGTGCAGCTACACTACATGAGCTAAAAAGAAAAGGAGAGGAACAGCAAGCACAGCTGGCAGCTGGGGGCTCACACAAAGTGCTCTCTGCAGGAGTGTGGTAGACAGTGAGAAATGCTTGTTTTGAAAAAGTACAGAGACGTACGTATCTGATGTATTTCTGCATGACCTCCTCCAGGGGCCGCAGACCCTCCTTGAGGAAGATAGATGGGTTCCACATGGCTGCTCGGGCCACCATCACGGAAGAGGCTGCCGTGGCTTGTCGAAAGTCCTCTATGTCCGAATACTGTTGGATGTGGTCATGAGATCCTCCGCTAAAAAGCAACCAGAGGGTTAGGGGTGTCCCCATCACGGAACCTATCAGCATTTTCAGAAAAAGTCAGCTCTCAGATCTGCCACTGATTAACAATGTGAATTTGGCCAAGTCCCTTCAGCTATCAGAGCTTCAGTAAAGTGGATATTAGAATCCATATCCCATTATGAAGTTAGGAGCACTAACTGAGATAATACATGTAGAGTGCCTGGCACTTAATAGGTAATCCAGGAAATTTACTTTCCTTGCCCCTAATCTAAAACAGTGGCTACAGCCAGCCCACATCTGGAGACATGGGTCCATAACTGGGCTACTGGGGCTACAGGAAAACCCCCAAGCTGAATGGGCCACTTATATGTTCACTGAGGGCTAAGTCAAAACCCTGGCGAGAGGAACAGACACCCTAGTGATGACAAGAGGAAGGAAGGAGGCCCAGTTAGGTCATACTTTCCCCTCCCTGCAGCCTGCTGCTCCAAGGACCCCCTGCTCTGTCTCTGTACATTTCATCAGGAGTCAGTCGGCAGCCTCAGTCCTGAGACAGGCATGCAGAGGGGAGGGTCTCAGGTGGCAGCAGAAGGAACAGGTCTGGGGTCTTGTGGAAAGCCCTGCCCTTTTCAAGCCACCCCTAAAACTTTTCACTCTAGGGAAGGCTGGGCCTGGCTACCACCCAGCCCTTAGCTCTGTGGGACACAGAGTACATGATGAAGACAGGAGGCTTACTTGGCTATGACAGGAATGGAGAGGGTATCAGCAATGGCTTTGATGACTTCACAGCTGACAGGATGCTGAGGTCGCTCCTCCCGCTTCCTTGGAGATAGAAAGATGGGGCTGAGGGCTAAGCACCAAAAGCCACGACACCACTCACACAGGGTTACCTCAGCCAAACCTTACTGTCCTCCCCACTGAACCTCAGGAAGGTCAGGTGGCCATATGGCAATCAAGGACAGGTGGCAGGAAATGGCTCTCCCTGCCCTCTGGAGAACTGTGAGGGGCAGGGGCAGCACAGATCCATGCTGAGACGGCAAGTCCAGCTCTTGGAGGCCTGCAGGGGAGGCCTGGCTGCAGGGGGGCATGGTGGGTGGCCTGGCTCCCAAGGTCATGTTGCTTTTCCCTAGCTTCCTTTTGCCTCTGCCAGAGATGAGGGACAGGGCCATAAGAGTGCTGCCCCTACTGTCCCAGTCCTGCCCTCTCCAAGGGACTGGGAACAGCTGCTGCTGCTCAGACTGGCCACTCCCACACAGCTGCCAATGCCAAAGCCAAGTTGCACAGCTGATCCTAGGGAGAGGCACCTGACACAGGGTAGGCCCCGCACCCAGGAAAGGCACGGACCATGGCTGCCACACCACGGCACAAGGGAGGCAGGACCACAACCTGGGGCCCCTCCTTCCAAAGTCAACTGCAAGTTCTTGTGCATGAGTTTTAGGGCTGCTGACGTGAGGCCTGACCTGAGCTGTGCTCAGCAACAAAGCAAGCAAGACGGTCGACCAGATAGCCCTTGTCCAGCTCTTGTCTGAGTATGTCCCCTCTGCTATACTCTTGTTCTTTTATTTTTGATATGGTGTTTCATTCTTGTTGCCCAGGCTGGAGTGCAATGGTGCAATCTCGGCTCACTGCAACCTCCACCTCCTGGGTTCAGGCAATTCTACCTCAGCCTCCCAGGTAGCTGGGATTACAGGCATGAGCTACCATGCCTAGCTAATTTTGTATTTTTTTTAGTAGAAACAGGGTTTTACCATGTTGGTCAGGCTGGTCTTGAACTCCTGACCTCATGTGATCCACCCGCCTCGGCCTCCTAAAGTGGTGGGATTCTAGGCGTTAGCCACCGCGCCCGGGCCCCTCTACTATACTCTTCAACAAAAGGGTCGAGGGCCCTGTCAACCTAGCCTCTACCTCTGTCTCCCTACATCTCCAATGGTCACTTTTAGCCCATCTCACCAGCTTTGATGGTCACAAAGGGCTTCTTCAAACTCACCCACATCTGTCTTCCGAGTGTTCCCAACTACGGGTAAAAAATAATAGCTTCCTTTATTAAGAGAATACTGGCTTGGCATGGTGGCTCACGCCTGTAATCCCTGCACTTTGGGAAGCCAAGGTGGGTGGATTATTTGAGGTTAGGAGTTTGAGACCAGCCTGGCCAACATGGTGAAACCCCATCTCTACTAAAAATACAAAAAAAAAAAAAAAAAAAGCCAGGCATGGTGGCAGGCACCTGTAATCCCAGCTACTCAGGAGGCTGAGGCAGGAGAATTGCTTGAACCCAGGAGGCGAAGGTTGCAGTGAGCCGAGATCATGCCACTGCACTCCAGCCTGGGCAACAGAGCAAGACTCCGTCTCAAAAAAAAAAAAAAAAAAAAAAGAGAGAGAAAGAATACTACATGCCAGGCACTGTGCCAAGGATTTATATTCACAATCTCATAAAAGCCCTGGGACAACCCTATAAAGTAGAAATTATCTTAATTTCTAAACAAGGAATGTTGTGCTCAGAAAGGTTAAGTGATTTCCCAAGGATATACAGCTAACAAGCAGCAGAGCCGGGATCTCAAACCAGGGAGTCTGAATCCAAAGCCTGCTGCCTTGGGAAGGCGCATATGTGTACAAGTGTGTACTCCTCCCTCCTGGCTTCAACCCAAGCAACTCTGCTTTGCTCTGCTTTGTATGAAGGGAGTTCTGGGTTCCCTTCTCTGAAAATGTTGTAAGAGCACAATCAACAACTTGGGCTCTTCCTATAAGACCCCTAAGCCCAAAGGAACATCACTCAGAGAAGAGAGGTCCCTCTGGCCCAAGTCTACTGACCTGAGATGCTGTACAAAATCACATCCTGGACACAGGGAACAAGTGTGAATGGTAAGCCAAGGGTGGCCTTCAGAACCTCAGCTCTCAGCATAGAGTACATTAGCTACAGCTAGAAGGATTGTTTAGTCATTGTGACAGCTGGCAGTCCAACAAATGCAGACAAGAGAGGCAGAGCCTTTAAAAGAATAGGTTGGGTATGGTGGCTCAAGCCTGTAATCCCAGCACTTTGAGGGGCTGAGGCAGGAGGATCACTTAAGCCCAGGAGTTTGAGACCAGCCTGGGCAACATAAGGAGATCCCGTCACTACAAAAAAATAAAAAATTAGCCAGGTGTGGTGGCATGTGCCTGTAGTTTCAGCTACTCAGGAGGCTGAGGCAGGAGGATTACTTGAGCCCAGGAGTTTGAGGCTGCAGTGAGCTATGATTGTGCCACTTCACTCCAGCCTGGGTAACAGAGCAAGACTGTCTCAAAAAACAACAACAACAATGAAAAACACATAAACAAAGCAGTCTGTCTGGGATTATTCAAGGGAGAAGTCATTGCTCAATATAATAGAAAGAAAATGAGGCTGGGCCTGGTGGCTCATGCCTGTAATCCCAGTACTTTGGGAGGCCAAGGTGGGCAGATCACCTGAGATCAGGAGTTTGAAACCAGCCTGGCCAACGTGGTGAAACCCTGTCTCTACTAAAAATATAAAAATTAGCTGGGCATGGTGGAGCGCACCTGTAATCTCAGCTACTCGGGAGGCTGAGGCAGGAGAATCACTTGAACCCGGGAGATGGAGATTGCAGTGAGCCAAGACTGCGCTACTGCACTCCAGCCTGGGTGACAGAATGACAAAGAGGAGGAGAGGAGAGGAGGGGAGAGGAGAGGGGAGGGGGGAGGGGAGGAGATGGGAAGGGAGAGGGGAGGAGATGGGAGGGGAGAGGGGAGGAGATGGGAGGGGAGAGGGGAGGAGATGGGAGGGGAGGGGGGAGAGGGGAGGAGATGGGAGAGGGAGGGGAGAAGGGAGGGGGAGGGGAGGGGAGGAAGGAAAGAAGGAAGGAAGGAGGGAAGGAAGGAGGGAGGGAGGGAAGGAAGGAAGGGAGGGAGGGAGGGAAGGAAGGAAGGGAGGGAGGGAGGGAGGGAAGGAAATAAATGAGATTTTTCTCATGAGGGTCAGAATTCCACCACGTACTGGCTGCATGGTATGATTTTGAGCAAATTACTCAATCTCTAGCATTTACACATCCTGATAGTAGAGGTGTTTCTCCTTTCTTAGTCTCTCTGTGTCTCTAAACCTCAGTACCTACCCTCAATAGGCACTCCATGAATGAAAGAAAGGCAAATGCAAAAGCCCATTCAGGGTCTGCCTGCCCTCCAGACTCATAAGATATCAAAGAGCTAGGCAGAGGTAGGCTGAATATGTAGAAGAGAAATTGGCTGTCACTTGGGGTGACAGATCAATTAAGGAAGGATCACTAAGATGGGTTAGGACCTCCCTGCCAGTCACTAGAAAGGTGACCACTCACCTCCCATGAACTGCGATGGCAGCAATGCCAGTCCTCTCTATCCGCTTCACAAGGCTCAGGGTATCTTCTAGCTGAGGAGGAGGACCACACAGGATGGTTACTGAAGCTCCAGAAGGAGCAGCTGCTGCCTCCTAAAGTAGGCTCAGCTCTACTCTCTCCTCCAAGCCTAATTTAGCACCTCAAGAATCGTTCACAAACCTAAATCCAACATCACCAGAGAGAATGGACCTTCATATGTAACACACCATCCTTACCGATGGCAGGATGCGAATCTTGCAGGTCACAGGTCTGCGTGTCCCTTTAACAAGAGTGCTGAGGATCTGCAGAAAGGAAAACACAAGAGCACCTATGTCTTCTGGAACAAACCATCACTCTGCCTGTACTAATTAACTCCGCTACAGGCTGTGCATTCCGGTGGCATGAACAGTTTGCATATGTGTGAATGCATGTGTGTGTCTGTTACACACATACACACATAAGCTCCATGAGGCAAGGGACCTGCCTTTGTTCTATACTGGAGCCCCAGCACCTGCCTGGCACCTAGTGGTATACACATATTTGTCAAATATACTGAATGAGTGAGTGAATGGGTACGCGTGTACACCTGTGTGCAGCTCACTGAGCCTTTGCCAGGACAAATACCAGAATTATCTGGAGAACTGAAGAAATACACACTCTTGAATTCCACACTATTATTTCCTGAGTCAGTCTCTAGGGGAAGGGCTTAGGAATGTGTGTTTTCAAAAGGCTCTGCCCAACACACTCCAGCCCGTCCTCAGAATCATTCTGAGGCCTAGCCTTGGTTAAGAACACACGGCTAAAAAAAAAAAAAAAGTAAGAAAAAAAGAACACATAGCTAACTGGGTGTGGTGGTTTATGCCTGTAATCCCAACACTTTGAGAGGCTGAGGTGGGAAGATTGCTTGAAGCCAGGAGTTTGAGACCAGCCTGGGCAACACAGCAAGACCCTGTTTCCTTTTTGTTTGTTTGTTTGTTTGTTTTGTTTTGAGACAGGGTCTGGCTCTGTTTCCCAGGCTAGAGTGCAGTGGCACAATCTTGGCTCACTGTAACCTCTGCCTCCCTAGCTCAAGCCATCCTCCCACTTCAGCCTCCAGAGTAGCTGGGACCACCATGTTGGCCAGGCTGGTCTCGAACTCCTGAGCTCAAGCAATCCACCTGTTTTATCCTCCCAAAGTCCTGGGATGACAGGCTTGAGCCACTGCACCTAGCCCATCCCTGTTTCTATTAAAAAAAAAAAAAGCGGGGGGGCAGACAGCTTCTTTCCTGGGTGAAGGGAATGTTCCCTAAGTGTTGTTCCAGGACTTACAGGGTGAGGGAACAGGAAGGCTCTTAAGGGGGGCCTGCATTCCTCTTTAGGGCAGTCAGACATACATGAGTGAAACTGGCAAAGGAAAAGACAACATACTCATAAGATAAGCACATATTTAAAAGTGCTTATCACATAGCAATTGCAAAAGATTTCAAAGAAAGATCAAGAAGTCACGCAGGAAAGTGACAGGGAGGTAGCAAGACCAGACCACACAAGAATCAGAGATAGAGAGGTGTAGATGACACTGCATGTCTGTGTCATTGCTATCTTCTTCCCTCATCAGAAATTTCAGGCCAGGCAAGCTGGAGGAAAGATGATCCCAAGAACCCTCTTCCAAGAACTGGATCTCTGCCTAGCAGAGCAGGGGGATATCTAGGTGGCTGCTGCCAGTCTTGATTCTAGACAGGCGGGGGCAGCAGAGAGCCAGGTTGCAAAAACCAGTAGTGGAGGCCTATCAGGGACAGGATGAAGCAGGCCATTCCAGAAGACATCAGATCAAGAGGCTGGACTGACAGACAGTTCATGAGCAAGACAGGACCTGCTGGCCCAAATGCCAGGGACTGGCAGGAAGGAACAGTCTCTAGGTGCTGCTCCAGGAGGCAGACTTGGCCTGAGGTCTTAGGGTCACCCTGGCAGGCCTTAAAGAGGCACTTACATTTTAAGGGCGGGACTGACAGGTTCATCAAGAAATACAATAAAAATTCTCATTCTAGTCCCATCCTTCATGCTCAGAGCAACATCTCTAAAAGGTTCCATTACAAGTGCTCACTTAGAATCCTCTGACATTTGGTGATTTAAGCAACACCAGCTGGTCTGATCCAATTCTCTGTCTTGTAGAACTTCCTTTTGCTATTTTATCCAAGTAGCTCTCAGTACTTTCTTCAGTATTTCTGTGTGTTTCATGTGTGTGTTAAGGACTAGGAAGGAAATTAGGTAACCAAAAACCCTAGGCACTTGCAAGGGTCACACTGAGGGGAAATGGCAACTAGAGATTGTCTTCTGGCCAGGCTCTAGCATGACACTCTCCTGGACACCAACTCTCCAGATCCAAGTCTTTGGGGAGAAAGAATGAGAGACAAGTCCATATTTGAGCAGAGGAACAGCACATCTACCTACAAGCAGGCTTGCCTCAATAGACCCACTGGCCAACTGAAGAAAAGCAGTCTCCTTCACTCCCCTGGTTTCTGGGAGGCAGCAGATGAGGATAGGAAAGCATAGGCCTGGAAAGCACTGAGACCTGAGTTCATGTCCTGGCCCTGCCAATTGTCAGCCATGGCCCAAGTACAGTGTACACAAGGGGGATGCCCTGCGCACACCTGTAATCCCAGCACTTTTGGAGGCCAGATCACCTGAGGTTAGGTGTTCAAGGCCAGCCTGAACAACATGGTGAAACCCCGTACCTACTAAAAATACAAAAATTAGCCGGGTGTTGTGGTGCATGCCTGTAATCTCAGCTATTCAGAGGCTGAGGCAGGAGAATCACTTGAACCCAGGAGGTGGATGTTGCAGTGAGCTGAGATCGCACCACTGCACTCCAGCCTGGGCAGCAGAGCAAGACTCCCTCTCAAAATAAATAAATAAATATTTAAAAAAATAAAATAAAACTGAGGTTCTTAATCCAGGGAGCATATATCAGAGTTACCTGGTAGAAGCTTTCTCAAAGAGATTGATATCCCACTCTCCACCCCTACTCACCCCAAGGGTCTGCAGAATTCTCAACAGATAGCATCCTTTATTTCTAACTGGGGTAAAATATATATAACATGAAATTTGCCATCTTAAACATTTTTAAGTGTATAATTCAGTGGCATTAATTACATTCACAATGTTGTACAACCACCAATGTTATGTATTTCCAAAGTTTTTCATAACCCCAAACAAGAATCTTGAGAAAATTTCTAGAGGTGGTCTTGAGATACTCCCACAGATGGAACCACGGGCCTAAAACGCCAAGCCTGGAAGGACCCGCAAAGCTCTCACCCAGGTCACCCAGCTTGCCAACACAGTCTGGACCCGAATTGAATCCAGCCCCTACACCTAAGCCACATCTGGCTTTGTTGTGGAAGCCTGCAACCTCCCTACCATGGGGCAAACCCCATCTATCAGTCCAACCTGGCCCATCTGAGTACCCAACCAGAGAAGTAGTGAAATGAACTAAGCTTCTGAGGTTGAGTGTATCTCTGCTGCCTCATGGATGAAATCTGCCTTATTCAAAGAGGGGCAGTAGAGAGGACAGAGCCAACAGCCTGGGTCTGAGAAGAGAGGAGGCTGGAGGATAACAAAAATGCCTGTGTGCTCATGTTGTGAACCACATCCTCCCTGCTGGGGCCCCCTCTCCTAGGTGTGGAAACCAATTTGACATCCAAGATGTCTACTTCCACTCCACCCTGCACACAAGTGTCTTAACTGGAGATTTCCAAGTTGAGGTGCCTATTGACCTGACACTTATAAACTATACCCAGGCACCTTGAACCTGAGATGCTACTGGAGAGGGTGCTGACACTAGGAGTCAGAAGAGACTATAGTTCACAAGCTGGCTCTGCCTGCCACTTATTTACTATATGATCTTTTTTTTTTTTTTTTTTTTTTGAGACGGAGTCTTGCTCTGTCGCCCAGGCTGGAGTGCAGTGGCACGATCTCTGCTCACTGCAACCTCTGCCTCCCGGGTTTATGCCATTCTCCTGCCTCAGCCTCCTGAGTAGCTGGGACCACAGGCACCCGCCACCACGCCCAGCTAATTTTTTGTATTTTTAGTAGAGACTGGGTTTCACCGTGTTAGCCAGAATGGTCTCGATCTCCTGACCTTGTGATCTGCCCGCCTCAGCCTCCCAAAGTGCTGGGATTACAGGCATGAGCCACCACGCCCGGCCTACTATATGATCTTAAGCAAATTATTTTCTCTCTCTGTGCTTTAGTCTATTGTCCTTGATCAAATGGAGATAACTGCCAATCCTATCTACTTCAAGGGGTTTCAGGATCAAATGAAAGGCACATTATGGCTGGGCACAGTGGCTCACATCTGTAATCCCAGCACTTTGGGAGGCCAAGATGGGCAGATCACCTGAGGTCAGGAGTTCAAGACCAGCGTGGCCAACATGACAAAACCCCATCTCTACTAAAAATACAAAAATTAGCCAGGCGTCGTCGTGGGCGCCTGTAATCCCAGCTACTCAGGAGGTTGAGGCAGAAGAATTGCTTGAAACCTGGAGGCAGAGGTTGCAGTGAGCTGAGATTGTGCCACTGCACTCCAGCCTGGGTGACAGAGCAAGACTCTGTCTCAAAAAAAAGAAAGGCACATTATACAGGTGCACTATAGATAGAGTATCTCTGGCTGCACATGGGAAAAACGAGAAGGCATGTAGCCAGCAAGCACAGTGGTCTTCCTATGTCCCAGAGACAGTGGGGCTGGAGGAACATGCAGGGTTGGGCTGCTGGCACAGCAACCATGCAGCTCTCATTGGCAATGATGGCAGCTCTCATTGGTGATGCCTAAGTCCCAAGTCGCTCTAGCCTCTGGGAAGCAGGATGAGGCTTAAAGCCCAGACAGGGAAGTAGCGATAGAGAATGAAAAGGAAAACAAAGGAGCTAAAAGGAAAGAGCTGGCAGACTGGGAGAGGAACACAAACCTGTCCCCAGGGCCTCATTAAGCTAGCCTACAGAATCACCAAAGAAAGGGGAACAGAGAGAGACTAACTTCAGCTTGCCTCCTCTGACCCTGGCCCGGGCTTCTCTCCAAGGGCTGGGGTAGACTCTTTCAGGACATAGGGGACCCACTGCTCCTCTCATCAAGCCCCCTGGGAGAGGCCAATCCACCCACACACATACAAACACATATGGCCACTGAGCCCGTCCTCACCACAGGTGGGCTGGCCTCTGCTCTCAAGACCTTCCCAGAAGGGAGACAGGAAATACAGAGGAGGTTCTCTGTGAGTCCTCAGGACCCCTGGCTCTTCATTGACATGTCTCTTGCTCTGGGCTTTTTAGGAACATCAAGGCTGCTGTAGGCTGGCTCGGGGGTTCCCAAACTTAGCTGCATGTCAAAATCACTGGAAAATTTTTTGGAAATCGCTAGGCCTCAGGGAGAGAAACTGGGTGGACATCAGTAAATCTGGTATTGGTGGAAGGAGGCGTTCTAGACAATTCTAGTTTGGAGCTGTGTTTGAGGACCCCTGCTTTCACTCGTGGAGGACTTACCTTCTCAATCTTGTCAGGGTCTGACAGCAGGGCAGCTCCCATTCCTCCCTAAGGAGAAACACACAAAAGGTCTTCTTACATCTGGGAGACACTATGGCCCTCTCCATGGGATGGGGTCTGGCAACTGAGCGTCACCCCGGCACTCACTTCCAAGGGACCAAGGCCCACTGGCAACCGGCACTTCTTTTAAACAAGTAGGAGGGCAGCAGTATCTGTGCCCATAACATCTGGGACTGAAGTGTGATAATTTTTTTTCTTTTTTTTTTGAGACAGATTCTCGCTCTGTCACCCAGGCTGGAGTGCAGTGGCGCAATCTCGGCTCACTGCAACCTCCACCTCCCCAGTTCAAGTGATTCTCCTTCCTCTGCATCCTGAGTAGCCAGGATTGCAGGCATGCACAACCACACCTAGCTAATTTTTTAATATATTTTTAGTAGAGACAGGGTTTCACCATGTTGGCCAGGCTGGCCAGACCAGAGTGATGACTTTTAAAATGTATAGGCTGGGCGTGGTGGCTCACGCCTGTAATTCCAGCACTTTGGGAAGCTGAGTCAGGTGGATTACCTGAGGTCAGGAGTTCGAGACCAGCCTGGCTAACATGGTGAAATCCAGTCTCTACCAAAAATACAAAAATTAGCCGAGCATGGAGGTGTGTGCCTGTAGTCCCAGCTATTCAGGAGGCTGAGGCAGAAGAATTGCTTGAACCCAGGAGGTGGAGGTTGCAGTGAGCCGAGATTGCACCACTGTACCCTAGCCTGGTTGACAGGGCAAGACTCCATCTCAAACAAACAAACAAACAAAAAAGTCATCATTCTGATCCCCTTGGTAAATCCCACAAATCTATCTAGAGTGGGCTATATAAAACTTATTTTTCAAGACTGCCCACTCCCTAACCCAGGTCTCAGTGTCTTAATAAACTAAATCCCACCATCTCCCAAGCCCTTAAAAAACAATGAATCATCCTTCATTTGAAATAAGATCAAATGTGCCTTCTTCCTATCATACTCAATGCTTGCATAGGCATCAACACCACCAGCAAAGCTACTAAGGTGCACACAACTTACAAACCTTGTCTAGGCCCTTCTCTTCTGCCAGCAACAATGTCCCAGCCCAGACCCATGCCCAACTCTAACCAAAGCCCCAGGAAATGGAAACTACCAACCCACACAACCACTTGAATCTTGATAATAGTAATGGTGGTTGCTTTTTATTGTGAGTTACTGGTGATTTTCCTGCTCTTTTCTGTACTTGTCTATATTTTCCAACTTCTAGACAATGGTATTAATTACTTTAATAATGGAGGAGGGGGATCTTTAAAAATCTGAATCCATTAAGAGTGAGATGAAGGCAAAAAAAACAATTCCAATAAATATATGCTGCCAGTATAAAGATTACATACTAATGAATGCTCACAGAATGTGCTCAGAAGGTGTAAGTTCAGTTATTACACTTTAATTTCATGTTTAAGGATGATAAATTGGAATCAGAGAGAACATTAAACCACCACAGACTCGGCCAGGCTGAGCCTGGATTTTAAAGAAGAATGGGTAGACTGGAAAATCCACCAAGCCTGGACTACATTGGTCATAAAAGAAACCTTGAAGGCCTTGAGGAAGCCCCAGCACTCCCCCTGGCTCCATCTGTCCTTCCACTCACACGTATCCAGCCCTTCCTTATAGAATCACAGGATCTAAAATTCAGTTTCACTGCCCCTTCCACAATAATAGCTTTCTCAACAATGGAATTTCCTTCCTTCCTTCGTTTCTATTAAACTTACTTGCTTTTTTGAATAGGTAAAACATTCAAAATTTGAGAGATTCAAATGGGTAACGAGTAAGAAGTCTCCCTGCCTAAGGAATGGGAAATGTTTCAATCTATACTTTTTTTTTTCTTTTGTTTCTCATATAGGGTCTCACTCTGTGGCCCAGGGTGGACTGCAGTGGCGTGATCTTGGCTCACTGCGACCTCTGCCTCTGGGGTTCATGCAATTCTCCTGCCTCAGCCTCCCAAGTAGCTGGGACTACAGGTGTCTGCCACCATACCTGGCTAATTTTTATATTTTTTGGTAGACATGCGGTTTCATTCTTTTGGCCAGACTGGTCTTGAACTCCTGACCTCAGGTGATCTGCCCGCCTCAGCCTCCCAAAGTGCTGGGATTACAGGCATCGGCCACCAAGCCCAGCCTCAATCTATGCTTTTTATCTGGCTTCAATTTTTGAACCATGAGAACACAGCAGATATTCAGCTAGTATGTACATGTGTGGCATATTGATTGGTGTCTCTTCTGACTGATCAGTGCCAGTGCTGTGCCAGTTAATTATTTTCAGTAGCACCCCTGTAATGGGAATTTACTACCTATGCATAACCAGATAAAAACTTAAGTTTCCTTCCCCAGAGGAAATCAATGTTACTAGTTTCTTCTGTGTCTCTCCAAAAATCTTCCCTGAATAAACAAATAAATATATATAATCATTCCCTATCCTCCTTATATAAATGGTATATACCACCTTACCCTGCCTCCAGATCATTTTAACTCTGCTCCTCACATAATTTAGGAACACAAAGAAGTAATCAGAAAACAGCAAAACCACCGGGCACAGTGGCTCACACCTGTAATCCCTGCACTTTGGGAGGCCGAGGCAGGTGGATCACGAGGTCAGGCGTTCAAGACCAGCCTGGCTAACATGGCAAAACCCCGTCTCTACTAAAAATACAAAAAAAATTAGTTGGGTGTGGTGGCGGGCACCTGTAGTCCCAGCTACTCAGGAGGCTGAGGCAGGAGAATCGCTTGAACCCAGGAGACGGAGGTTGCAGTCAGCCGAGATTGCACTGCTACACTCCAGCCTGCACGACAAGAGTGAGACTCCATCTCAAAAAAAAAAAAAAGCCCAAAGATACCTAAAGTCCAAGTCCAGCTGATCTTTTACCAACCAAGGTTTTCGATCCTGCAGTCTGCTTCTTCTTCATCATCTCCCACTCGACAAACCTCTGGTCAAATCGGGCTACTCAGGCCTCCCTGTGTCTACCTCATATTCATCCCCAGGCCCCTGCTTATACCACACCCTCTGCTTACAGGGTCCTAAATCTCAGCCCAAGGACAATATTTCCCTATCAAATTCCAAGTTTAAAGGCTGCCTTTCCACTCCCTTCTCTGGGCTACCATAGTCTGATCTCTTCTGATACGACAATGGGAACATTTACACTGCATCCACTTTTTTTTTTTTTTTTTTTTTGAGACAGATTTTCGCTCTTGTCACCCAGGCTGCAGTGCAGTGGCATGATCTTGCTCACTGCAACCTCCGTCTCCCAGGTTCAAGCGATTCTCCTGCCTTAGCCTCCCAAGTAGCTGGGATTACAGGCACACACCACCACGCCCAGCTAATTGCTTGTAATTTTAGTAGAGACAAGGTTTCACCATGTTGGTTAGGCTGGTCTCAAACTCCTGACCTCAGGTGATCTGACCACCTCAGCCTCCCAAAGTGCTGGGATTACAGGCATGAGCCACCAGGCCTGGCCTTTTTTTTTTAAACTTTTGAAAATTTTTATAGAGACAGGGTTTCACTCTGTTGCCCAGACTCATCTCAATCTCCTGGGATCAAGTGATCCTCCTGCATCAGCCTCCCAAATTGCTAGGATTACATGTGTGGGCCACCACTCCCGGCCTCCTCTCTTTTTTTTAAATGTATGTCTCAGTTGTTTTCCCTTTTTTTTTTTTATAATCCTCCTCTGGGCTTTCTGGGATATGTGTCTCAGTCTTATTCATGAAAAGACACAGCCCTGTCCCCTCTATTTTTCTCTGTACCTTTGCATTGTTTTATTACTTGGGCATGAGTTCTCTCTCTCTCTCTCTTTCTCTCTCTCTCTCTATATATATATATGTATCTATACACATACACAATTATATACATTTATATATGTAATATATATTTATTATATATTTATTTTATATACTACATATATTATATATTTATATATTTATTATATATTTATATATGTAATATATAATATATGTAATCTATAATTATATATTATATATTTATAACATATATATTACATATATATATAAATATATATTACATATATTTATATGTATTATATAATTATATATTATATATTTATATATTTATTGTATATATTTATATGTGTAATATATAATTATAGATTACATATAATTACATATATGTGTATTATTATATTATATAGAATAAATATATATGTAATATAATATACCTATATATTATATAACATATAAATAATATATAACATTATATAATATATAACATTATATATAATATATAATAAAATATATATAATCTATGTATGAATCTATATATGTATGTGTGTGTGATATATGAGTGTGTGTGTATATGTATAAACCACTTGAGGGTAAATTACATATATCATAGCCCCTTACTCCTAAATATTTCAGTGTGTATTCTCTAAGAACAGGGATATTCTGTTACATAACCACAGAAGTTATCTTCATAAGTTTACATTGATACAGTATATTTAGCTAATATACTATGGTCCCTATTCTAATGTTGTCAGTTCATCTAACGATATCTTTTTGAGCATTTTCCCCATCTAGTACAGAATCCAGTCCAGAGTTAGGTACTATACTTAGTTATGTCTTGTCAGCCTCTTAATCTGCATCCTATGTTTATGAGGAGTATAAAGAAACCAGTTTACCTTGGTGGAATATTGTTTTGGACAGCCCATGTTGACATCAATACCAGCCACATCATTTTCTCTGGAAAAGGATGAAGGAGTAAAGGTAATAAGTATTGAATTAGAGCAAAGAAGGTGAAATTAAAGGCATGGATGGGCCTGTGCTCATGAACCTCTTACCCTGTCCCTGACTCTATGAAACACACCAACCCCCAATGACAGAAGCTGAAAAATGGGAAAGAAACCCATCCTTAAAACGTGCACCTGCCTCATCTAAGCAGAAATCCAGAGAAAAGACATAATGTGTGCACACATCTATAAAGGGCTAGATGAAGAGGGCTTTGCTACTTTGGAGTTGTATCAGATAACTCAGATGGGCACACTGAACTCGGCTGAAATAGTAAAAGCCATTTGTCAATGCAGAAAAGTGACATGAGCCTAAGAGCCCTTTGCCAGACGACAGCTTCTGGTGGAAGTTCTAGCACTGCCTTTGTTGGCTGGGCTGCACAGATGGTTTAATCCAAACAATTCTTAGATGTCAAAAGAATCCTCACTCCGTCCTCTGGTATGTATTAGGTTGGTGCAAAAGTAATTGCGGTTTTTGCCATTGAAAGTAATGGCAAAAACCGCAATTACTTTTGCACCAACCTAAATAGTAATACATAGTTAATAGTCCGTGATCAGCAGCAATAACTGCCTGAGTTCCCACTCACTCTTTGTAATTATAACGATAGCTAACACTTACTAAGATGTCAGTATGTGCCACATGCTGCAAAGACATTTACAGGCATTATTTCATTTACCCTTCCCTATGCCAGAGGTTGGTAGCACTATTTTATAGGTGAGAAAACTAGGTTCTCATTGAGGTTAAGCAACTTATCTCAGGTCACACAGTTAACAAGTAGCAAAACCAGAATTGCAAACCAGGTCTGTCTTAACTTCAAAACCTATCACATTAACTATAGCACTCTCCTGCCTTTGTTTTTGTTCTTGAGACAGGGTCTCACTGTGTTCCCCAGGCTGGAGTCCAGTGGCGCAATGGAGGCTCACTGCAGCCTCGACCTCCTGGGCCCAAGTGATCCTTCCACGTCAGTCTTCCAAGTAGTTGGGACCACTGGCATGCACCACCATTTTTGTAGAGATGAGCTCTGCCTATGTTCCCCAGGCTTCCTATCTATGTTAATTCAGGAAGCAATATGTCTTACCTATACTTTGATACTTAAAGCTTCAGGACTCATAGTCATGGGAGTCCCTGGGAAGGAGTTTCACGAATAAATACAAAAAAACAGCTCCCCCCAATATGCATAGAGGGTCTCTGAGATCTAGGCACTGTAGGTACACATGAGTCCCAGGCCAGCCCTTGGATGCCACAAAGAGAAGGAAACTAGACACTCTTTTTTTTTTAAGACAGAGTCTCGCTTGGTCACCAGGCTGGAGTGCAATGGCGCAATCTCGGCTCACTGCAACCTCTGCCTCCCGGGTTCAAGCGATTCTTCTGCCTCAGCCTCCTGAGTAGCTGGGACTACAGGCACGCGCCACCACACCCAGCTAATTTTTGTATTTTTAGTAGAGACAGGGTTTCACCATGTTGGCCAAGATGGTCTCGATCTCTTGACCTCATGATCCACCTGCCTCAGCCTCCCAAAATGCTGGGATTACAGGCATGAGCCACCGCACCTGGCTGGAAACCAGGCACTCTTAACCTGGAAACAGAAGGTAATGGGCTAGAAGGCAGAAGGGTGAGTCACCTACAAAGTCACCAGGACATTAAACCCTCACAGCTCAAAGGAGAGGCAAAGGCAGTGCTAAAGACAGAGGATGAACTTACACAAGCCTGGCCACAGCAAGGGCTCGCTCTGCGTCTGAAGTCCCCTGGGAACACAAGAGGCTGCATCAACCACTGCCCTGACACAGATACACATGCACTGACAAACACACCCATGCAGCACACACATACACACACACACCCCACACACCAACAACAGAGTCAGGCTGGCTTTCTCTTAAACAGCCAGCCCACTAGACTAGCTCACTGCCAGCAGAAAAAGGTGGACTTGGAAGGTCTAGAAAATGTTATCTATACTATGATTACACTCAAACATATAAAAAACTTGAAAACATTTTATAGTGACCATTCAAACACTCACCATTTAGATTCTACAATTAACATTTTGCTAGATTTGCTTTATCACATGGTTACCCATTGTTAACTTATAGTGACCATTCAAACACTCACCATTTAGATTCTACAATTAACATTTTGCTAGATTTGCTTTATCACATGGTTACCCATTGTTAACAATTTTTTAGAAACCTAAACATCATTAAGGATGTTTCTGAAAAAGCACCAAGAAATGCCCAAAGCGAGAGAAGGGCACTATAGAGTCATCACAACTCAAATACAAATCTTAACTACTCTTGAAAAATCCTAATATTTTTCTATGAGAAATATATACACACTACATAAAAACAAAGACTATGATCTGAGTAATCAATGCTAGGGATAAAAAAATAGAGAAATCATGCCAAACAGACAATTCCTACAAGTAAGTAAATTAAATTTGAGACTAGAGACATATAAGACTGTGATAGCTTGATTTCCATAAACTGTCTCCAATAGTATAATTACTCATGACTGGCTCTTTGGAAAACATTAAAGCAGAATCTTCAGGAAGCCATCGTTGTACAATGTACCCCAGGTATTCAACACTGGCCTGGCACAGGGCATGAGTTGGGAAATCCCAGGGGATGGTGAGCCTCAGGAGGGCATGCAGCAATGGAGTCTCTCACCATCTGGAAGACCACCCTGTTCTGCTCTCTTTCACAGGTGCGGAAGACAACTCGATCATCAGGGGCGACAAAGTCCACTGTGCTGAGCACCTCTGCAAGAAAACCCAAACACATAGGGTCACTCAATGAAGATGCAAGTTCAACGCTAGCCTAAGCCCTGGAAGAAAACACAGCCAGAGTATAAGCTTCAAGGGGAAAGAGATCCTAAATGTATACCATTCTTACCAAAAATAACTATGCACATGGGAGGCTTCTGTGATGATGAGGATGGTCTATTTCCTGACCTGGGTGATGGTTGTTCATTTTGCAATTACTTGTGAAACTGCATGTTTGTGTTTAATGCACTTTTTCTGAATGGTGGTTAACATTTTGCAACGTTTAAAATGTTAAAACCGGGCCGGGTATGGTGGCTTACGCCTGTAATCCCAGCACCTTGGGAGGCCGAGGCGGGCGGATCATGAGGTCAAGAGTTCAAGACCAGCCTGGCCAACATGGTGAAACACCGTCTCTGATAAGAATACAAAAATTAGCCAGGCGTGGTGGGGTATGCCTGTAACCCTAGCTACTCGAGAGGCTGAGGCAGGAGAATCGCTTGAATCTGGGAGGCGGAGGTTGCAGCGAGCCGAGATCGCGCCATTGCACTCCAGCCTGGGCGACAGAGCAAGACTCCGTCTCGAAAAAAAAAAAAATGTTGAAACAAAATGTACATACATAGCCGGGCGCAGTGGCTCACGCTTGTAATCCTAGGACTTTGGAAGGCCAAGGCAGGTGGATCATGTGAGGTTAGGAGTTTGAAACCAGCCTACACAACATGGCAAAACCGCATCTCTACTAAAAATACAAAAATTAGCTGGGCGTGGTGGAGGGTGCCTGTAATACCAGCTACTCAAGAGGCTGAGGCAGCACAATCTCTTGAACCTGGGAGGCAGAGATTGCAGTGAGCTGAGATCGCGCCACTGCACTCCAGCCTGGGCAACAGAGGGAGGCTCTGTCTCAAAAAAAAAAAAAAAGTCCATACATGGAAGTTTGTCTATGTTTCAGATTTGGCCCAAATTTTCCCAGAAAACATCACTCTGAAGTTCAGCAAATTTACTATTTACTTACAGTGAGACAGGTGCTATGAGTGGAAGGTTACTATATAACAATCAATCTCCTATACTATTCATAGTTGCATATTTGCAAATGTGCCTATTTGCTAACATTTATTTGTGACCCCAAAATCAATACTTGTGATGTTTTCATGGTCATCCAAGGACAGGAACAGAGTGGTGAAAGTTTTGAGTTGCCTGATGTGCATGTTCCCAGCTGAGGTCAAACAAGGTGATGCTCTGTCTTCTCCCTTCAGCTCTCATACTGTCAACAAGTGTCCCTTTTGTGGTATATTTCATGCCACATTTCTGCATGTCTATGCTTTTTGTTGGTGATCTCACTGTTTAAAATGGTCCCAAGTGGCTGGGTGCGGTGGCTCACACCTGTAATCCCAGCACTTTGGGAGGCCGAGGCGGGTGGGTTACCTGAGGTTAGGGAGTTCGAGACCACCCTGGGCAACATGGTGAAACTCAAGTCTCTACTAAAATACAAAAAAAAAAATTAGCTGGGTGTGGTGGCACACACCTGTAGTCCCCACTACTTGGAAGGCTGAGGCACAAGAATCTCTTGAGCCGGGAAGGCGGAGGTTGCAGTGAGCCAAGATCACGCCACTGCACTCTAGCTTGGGCTACAGAGTAAGATTCCATCTCAAAAAATATAAAATAAATAAAATAAAATGGTCCCAACCATACTGCTGAAATGCTATCTAATGTTCCTAAGCACAAGAAAACGGTCATGGGACTTACAGAGAAAATACACATCTTGAATAAGCTTTGTTTCGGCATGAAATTATAGCACTATTACCCATGTTAGTGGGTTCAATGTTAAGTGAATCAATGGTATATATTAAATAATATGCCTTTAAACAGAAACACATGGCCAGTGTGATGGCTAAGTCCTGTAATCCCAGTATTTTGGGAGGCTGAGGCAGGGGGATCACTTGAGGCCAGGAGTTTGAGACCAGCTGGGGAACATAGCAAGACCCCCATCTCTACAAAAAATTTAAAAATTGGCTGGGCATGGAGGTGTGCACCTGAAATCCCAGCTACTTGGAAGGCTGAGGCAGGATGATCATTTGAGCCCAGGAGTTTGAGGCTGCAGCGAGCTATGGTCACACCAGTACACTCCAGCCTGAGCAACAGAGTGAGACCTGGTCACAAAAAAGAAACCAAACAAAAACAAAGAAACACACATAAAACAAAGTTATGGACTGACAAGTTGATGAAAATATGACCAGAGGCTTGCACAAACCTAACCCTTTGTTTACCCCAGGGTCAATGGTTCAGTATCCGCTCATTTGATGTTTAAAGCAACTTTATAGAAACAACAACGGTGCATAATGAGAAGCAACTGTATTTTATCTGTCAGCTTCCTAAAGAAGCTCCACAATAGGTGCTACCATTACTAGCTTTCAAAGATCACTATACATGAAAAAGACTGAACGTGGCAGATGGGAGAATATGCCTACCTCAAAGGCTGTCTTGAGAAATAAATGAGATCTTTGATGCACTTAAAGTATTTCCATACATGGATGGTTTTATTATCATCCAGCACTAAACAGATGAGAAGGTTTTTAGGGTGGGATAAAGGCAATGACATGTTGAGAGAGGTAATCAAAGTGATCACTGACAGAGACAGCTCATGACTGGCAGTAAGAAGTATGAGAGAAGAACCACAAAATATTTGTGTGTTTATAATGCAACTCTGTTTATAACAGCAAAATACTGGGAACCCCTGTTAAGGCTCTGGTAAAATCAATTCTGACATAGTTGCCCCTAGGTACTGACATGGGCAAATGACCTAGTAGATAAGTAAATGGCAAAACAACACGTGTTGTATGATCAAATGGGGTGGGGAGATAGATAAATATAGATATAGATATAGATACAGATATAGATATAGATACATTTTTTTTCCTTATCTTCAACCTAGAAGAGGGATATATATAAACACGTCATATTTTGTACACACACATTATTTACTATATGTATAGAAAAACATACATTATTCCTCTCTCTGATTACCTCTTTAGGTGTAGGATTATGGAGGATTTTCATTTTCTAGGTTACACAGATCTATAATATTGAATTTTTTATCACACAGAAAAAAATATACACATTTAAAATAGTTCGGCCAGGCATGGTGGCTCACACCTGTAATTCCAGCACTTTGGGAGGCCAAGGCAGGCGGATCACGAGGTCAAGAGTTCAAGACCAGACTGGCCGCCATGGTGAAACCCCTTCTCTACTAAAAATACAAAAATTAGCCGGGTGTGGTGGCGGGCACCTGTAGTCCCAGCTACTCGGGAGGCTGAGGCAGGAGAACTGCTTGAACCTGGGAGGCAGAGGTTGCAGTGAACCAAGACCGCGCCGTTGCACTCAAGCCTAGGCAACAGAGGGAGATTCCGTCTCAAAAAAAAAAAGATTTCACAAGCATATACGTATGTATCAGAAAACTCAAGGAATATACCACAACTCTAATCAAAGCAGAATCAGCCTCATCAATAAAGTATCAGCAAAACTACAATTCATCACAATCACATTTGCACAGAGCATAGGGCGTCCACAGTACTTACATGTACCTTATCTTATTTGGTCCTCACTCCAACCCTATGATTGAAGTAAAGCAAAGACTATGATTTCATTTTACAGATAAAGGAACTAAGGCAGACAGAGGTCATATGGCCTGCCCAAGGTCACACATCTAGCAAGTGGCCAAGCCAGGGCCAATGCTAAAGCCATCCTGACTCCAAGGCTCCTAGAGTCCCTCCTATGCTATGATGCATGGTGATTTCTATGCCAGCAAGCCTGTGAGTGAAAGGCACTCTCAGCCTGTTTCACATCAGGCTTTTTGTCATGGCCTCTGGAGATCAGTGACTGCTCTCAAGGGAGCATGTGATCTATAGAATTACTCAATGAAGCCAGGCAAGACACTGTCACCCCAGGCAAGGGCAGTGGTAGTGCTGCTTGAGCCCAGCAGGGCATATGCATAATTCTGGAGCCAGATCTGTACTCACCATTAACAACTCTCTTGCACTGAATCATCTTGAGGTCGATCAGCTCCTGCAGAGGAATCAGAGGACGCTTGTCATTCCTGAACATGTAGGCTCTGGGCATGAAGGATTTTCATCACACACCTAATGAGGATCGCTTGGCCAGTCGCCCTACTACCAAGAACAAACCACGGCTTTTGGGACATGTAGTGCTATTCTCCCCACCCAAGCATGGCAAGCAGGAGCCAGAGTGAGCTACTCTCAATTAGCTGTCCTTCCCAGGAAACTTGGAGATGGTTGGGGCCTAGAATGAATGAACCACTTAGCCAGAAAGACAATAATCATTCAGGATGTATTCACTTGGAAAATTTCCTCACCTACTGGTCTCAGCAGAAGCCCACCCCATCAAAGAATATCCCACCTATCCCTCAGCAAAGGGCAGGCAGTGAAGGGCTCCCAAGAAACATCCAAAAACAAAACTGGAACCAGAGAATAGAAGCAAAGGGAGGAAGATCTGAGATGAACACAGGAAAGAAAAGTCTAAAACCCCTATCCCACATGGGTCACACTATGTGGAAATGAAAAGGGCGAGGTCCCCAACTCTGGAGATACTCAAACAGACTAAGGAAAGAAAGAAAAAGGGGGGTTCTTCAAAATCACATCATAAATGGAAGAAAACCTCCTATGTGCTGGAGGACTGAGATTCTCTAATTCTTAGTTGGAGACAAGACTGTTCTGCTTTGTTCAGCAGACACCTGTCACACTGCCCAGAAGTTCATGCCCATGGATTCTGGGGGTCCAGAAAAGAAAAGAAGAGGTGCTTACTCCTGGTACTAACCCCCATACTGACTCCCTATGAGCCCCAGCAAGTCACAACCCCAGCCAAGTGGGCACAATGACCTCCTACTCACTCATCGGAGTACCTAGGGACAATGGCCAAAGAATCCTCATAGTATCCATGGGACTTCCCGCAGCATACCCACCATCAGATTAACAAATGCTCTAGGTGTTTCTGTGGCCATTCTCTCCATGCAGTATTCAGGTCATCAAATATCTGATGACCACTAGGCCTGAACAAACAAATCACCACAACTAAGCAGTTTGGACATGGTTGACATCCAACCCCCAAGAATCAGTGTGGCATCCCAAGGGATGGGCAGAGCCCAACTCAGAGCCCCAGTAGCCAGTGATCCTAGTTGCAGGGGAAGGCAAGTAGACAAGTAGGAAGCACTGAATGGCCTGTGCTTATAAAAAGAAATTCAGTAGCCAAACTGAGCTTTGGTAGGGACTAGAACAGGAAAAAGTAAGACACGTACCACATCAAAGATTGGGAAGTTCATTGTTTCCAAGTATTTACGGAAATCTCCATCCAAATATTAGCTAACAATTAAGCTAACCCAGGAGAACTTTATAGGCCACACATGGCAAAGAACACAGGCCTTACAAAATTAGTTCAGAATAGTCACTAAGCAAACAAACAACAACAAACCCTGGCCAGACATGATGGCTTATGTCTGTAATCCCTACACTTTAGAAAACCAAAGCAGGAGGATCACTTGAGCTCAGGAGTTCAAGACCAGCCTGGGCAACAAAGTGAGACCTTGTCTCTACAAAACATTTTTAAAAATTAGCCGGGCGTGGTGGCATGTGCCTGTGGTCCCAGCTACATGGGATGCTGAGGCAGGAGAATCGCTTAAGCCCAGATGCTCGAGGTTGCAGTGAGCTGTGATTGTGCCACTGCATGCCACCCTGGGCAACAGAGTGACACCTGTCTCAAAAAAAAAAAAAAAACACGCCAGCACGGTGGCTCATGTCTATAATCCCAGCACTCTGGGAGGCCGAGTCAGGCAGATCACTTGAGGTCAGGAGTTCAAGACCATCCTGGCCAACATGGTGAAACCCCATCTCTACTAAAATACAAAAATTAGCTGGCCATGGTGGTACATGCCTGCAATCCCAGCTACTCAGGAGGCTGAGGCAGGAGAATTGCTTGAACCAGGGAGGCGGAGGTTGCAGTGAGCCGAGATTGCGCCATTGCACTCCAGAGCCTGGGCAACAGAGCAAGACTCCATCTCGGGAAAAAACAACAATGACAACAACAACAACAACAACAACAAAAACTTTGTTATTTGAAAATATTAACAAAATTGACAAACTTTTAGCTAGACTACCAGTGGAAAAAAAGAGAGAAGACAAAAATTATTAAAATCAGAATGAGAGAGGCCAGACGCGGCAGCTCACGCCTGTAATCCCAGCACTTTGGGAGGCTGAGGCGGGTGGATCACGAGGTCAGGAGTTCAAGGCCAGCCTGGCCAACATGGTGAAACTCCATCTCTACTAAAAATACAAAAATTAGTCAGGCGTGGTGGCACGTGCCCGTAATCCCAGCCACTTGGGAGGCTGAGGCAGGAGAATCGCTTGAACCCAGGAGGCGGAGGTTGCAGTGAGCCAAGACCGCACCACTGCACTCCAGCCTGGCAACAGAGTAAGACTCCATCTCAAAAAAAAAAAAAAAAAAAAAAAAAGGCCGGGCATGGTGGCTCACGCCTGTAATCCCAGCACTTTGGGAAGCCAAGGCGGGCGGATCACGAGGTCAGGAGATCAAGACCATCCTGGCTAACACAGTGAAACCCCGTCTCTACTAAAAATACAAAAACAAAATTAGCCGGGTGTGGTGGCAGACGCCTGTAGTCCCAGCTGCTCCGGAGGCTGAGGCAGGAGAATGGCATGAATCCGGCAGGCGGAGCTTGCAGTGAGCCAAGATGGTGCCACTACACTCCAGCCTCGGCGACAGAGCAAGACTTCGTCTCAAAAAAAAAAAAAATCAGAATGAGAGAGAAAACGTTACTTCTGACCTTAAAGAAATAAAAAGTATTATAAGGAAATAATATAAACCATTGTATGCCAAAAAATTAGATAACCTACATGAAATGGACACACACTACTGAATCTGACTCAAGAAATAAAAAATGGGAATAGTCCTAAAACAAGAAATTAAGGCCAGGCACAGTTGGCTTATGCCAACAAAAATTAGCCGAGCGTGGTGGCACAGGCCTGTATCCCAGCTACTGGGGAGGCTGAGACAGGAGAATCGCTTGAACCTGGGAGGCGGAGGCTACAGTGAGCTGAGATCGTGCCACTGCACTCTAGCCTGGGCAACAGAAGGAGACTCCGTTTCAAAAAAAAAAAAAATGAATGAAATCATGTACTTTACAGCAACATAGATGCAGCTGGCAGCCGTTATCCTAAGCAAATTAACACAGAAACAAACCCAAATAACATATGTTCTCACTTATAAGCAGGAGCTAAGCATTGGGTACACACGAACATAAACATGGGAACAACAGACACCGGAGACTTCAAAAGGCAGGAAGCAGAGAGGAGGCAAGGGCTAAAAAAGATCCTATTGGGTATTATGTTCACTATCTGGGTGACAGGATCAATAGAAGCCAAACCCTCAGCATCACACATGGTACCCTTGTAACAAATCCGCATATATACCCCTGAATCTAAAATTTTGAAAATAAGAATAAATTTTAAAATTAAAAAGTTTCCCAGGCCAGGGACAGTGGCTCACGCCTGTAATCCCAGCACTTCGGGAGGCCGGGGAGGGTGGATCACCTGAGGTCAGGAGTTCGAGACCAGTCTGATTAACATGGTGAAACCCCGTAACTACTAAAAATACAAAAATTAGCCACTCATGCCTGTAATCCCAGCTACTTGGGAATCTGAGGCAGGAGAATCACTTGAACATGGGAGGCAGACGTTGCAGTGAGCCAAGATCATGTCACTTCACTCCACTCCAGGGCCTGGGCAACAAGAGCAAAACTCCGTCTCAAAAAAAAAAAAGAAAAGAAAGTTCCAGCCAGGACAATTAGGTAGAAAAAAAAATAAAATAAAAGGCATCCATATTAGAAAGGAAAAAGTAAAACTATATTTGCAGATGATGTTTTTTTTTTTTTTAAGACAGAGTTTTGCTCTTGTTGCCCAGGATGGAGTGCAGTGGCGTGATCTCGGCTCACTGCAACCTCCACCTCCTGGGTTCGAGCGATTCTCCTCCCTCAGCCTCCCTAGTAGCTGGGATTACAGGCGTCCACCACCATGCCCAGCTAATTTTTTGTATTTTTTTTTAATAGAGATGGGGTTTCATCGTGTTGGCCAGGCTGGTCTCAAACTCCTGACCATGGGTGATCCACCCGCCTCGGTCTCCCAAAGTGCTGGGATTACAGGTGTGAGCCACCACGCTGGGCCGATGTGATCTTGTATATAGAAAGCCTGTGGAAGTTTCCCCCACCCATACATATACACACAGGAGAGACAGAGAGAGACAGAAAGAGAACATACATGCTAATAAACAAGTTCAGCAAGGTCAAGGACACAAGATCAATACACAAAAATCAATTATATTTTATACACTAGTAATGAACAATACAAAAGGAAATTAAGAAATTCCATTTGTAATAACATCTAAAAGAATAACACGGCCGGGCACAGTGGCTCACGCCTGTAATTCCAGCACTTTGGGAGGCCGAGCTGGGTGGATTGCCTGAGGTCAGGAGTTCAAGACCAGCCTGACCAACATGGTGAAACCCCATTTCTATTAAAAATACAAAAATTATCCAGGCATGGTGGCAGGCGCCTGTAATCCCAGCTACTCGCGAGGCTGAGGCAGGAGAATGGCTTGAGCCCGGGAGGCAGAGGTTGCAGTGAGCTGAGATTGCGCCACTGCACTGCAGCCTGGGCAACTAAGCGGGACTCTGCCTCAAAAAATAAAAGTAAATAAAAATAAAACACATAGGAAATAATTCAAAAAAAGAGGTATGAGACTCATGTACTGAAAACTATGAAACACTGTTGAAAGAAATTAAAGAAGACCTGACCCGGCCCAATGGCTCATGCTTTTAATACCAGCACTTTGGGAGGCCTAGGCAGGCGGATCACTTTGAGATCAGGAGTTCGAGACCAGCCTGGGCAACATGGTGAAACCCTAACTCTACAAAAAAATACAAAAATTAGCCATGTGGGGTGGAGTATGGCTGTAGTCCCAGCTACTCAGGAGGCTGAGGTAGGAGGATGGCTTCAGCCCAGGAGGCATAGGTTGCAGTGAGCTGAGATCATGTCACTGTACTTGAGCCTGGGTAACAGAGTGAGACCTCATCTCAAAAAAAAAAAAAAAAAGAAATTAAAGAAGACCTAAATAAAGACATCTCATGTTCATGGATTGGAATACTAAATATTGTTATGACAGCAATAATCCGTAAACTAATCTACAGATTCAATGCAAACTCCATCAAAATCCCAGCTGCCTTTCTGGCAGAATTGACCAGCTGATCCTAAAATTCATATAGCAATGCAAAGAACCCAGATTACACAAAACAATCTTGAAAGAGAAGAAAAAGTTGGAGAATTTATACTTCCCAATCTTAAAACCTACCAAGCTACAATAATCAAGACTGTGTTGTGTCCTCAATTCACCAGTAAGAAGAAAGAAAAAAAAAGGCTGTGGTACTGGCATACAGGTAGACATACAGACCAGCGTAACAGAAATGAGAGTCCAGATATAAATCAAATCAAAACATCTATGATTAATTGATTTTTTACAAGAGCACAGACCCGGTGCAGTGGCTCAAGCCTGTAATCCCAGCACTTTGGGAGGCCCGAGCAGGAGGATCACTTGAGGCCAGGAGTTCAATACAAGCCCGGCCAACATGCCAAAACCCCGTCTCTACCAAAAATACCTAAATTAAGCAGGCATGGGGGCATGCACCTGTAGTCCCAGCTCCCTGGGAGGCCAAGGCAGAAGAATTGCTTGAACCTGGGAGGTGGAGGTTGCAGTGAGCTGAGATGGTGCCACTGCACTCCTGCGTGGGCAACAGAGCAAGACTCCATCTCAAAAAAAAAGAAAAGAAATTATTTCTTTCTAAAAACATAATTTTTAATTTGTTGTTTTTAAAAAATTACCTATTCTGGGTGAATATGACCTACAAATGGCCAAAAAAGCATATAAAAAGATGTTCACCATCACTAATCATCACTAATCAGAGAAATAAACCACAATGAAATATCACCTCATACCCATTAGGATGGCTACCATCAAAAAAACAATAAGTGAGCCAGGCACGGTGGCTCACACCTGTAATCCCAGCACTTTTTTTTTTTTTTCTCCCTGAGACGGAGTCTTGCTCTGACACCCAGAGCTGGAGTGCAATGGCGTGATCTCAGTTCACTGCAACCTCCGCCTCATGGGTTCAAGCAATTCTCCTGTCTCAGCCTCCCCAGTAGCTGGGATTACAGATGGGCACCACCACACCCGGCTAATTTTTGTATTTTTGTAGAGACGGGGTTTCACCATGTTGCCTAGGCTGGTCTCAAACTCCTGACCTCGTGATCCACCTGAGTCGGCCTCTCAAAGTTCTGGGATTACAGGTGTGAGCCATCACGCCCAGCCAATCCCAGCACTTTGAGAGGCCCAGGTGAGGGGATCACTTGAGGCCACCTGTTTGGGACCAGCATGGGCAACATAGCGAAATCCTGTCTCTACAAAAGATTTTAAAATTAGCCAGATGTGGCTGGGCATGGTGGCTCATGCCTGTAATCCCAGCACTTTGGGAGGCTGAGGCGGGCAGATCATCTGAGGCCAGGAGTTCGAGACCAGTCTGGCCAACATGGAAAAACCCGTCTCTACCAAAAATACAAAAATTAGCCAGGTGTAGTGGTGCATGCCTGTAATCCCAGCTACTCAGGAGGCTGAGGCACAAGAATTGCTTGAACCCAGGAAGCACAGGTTGCAGTGAACTGAGATCACGCCATGGCACTCCAGTCTGGGCGATAGAGCGAGACTCTGTCTCAAAATAAAAATAAAAATAAAATAAAAATAAAAATAAATAAATAAATAAAATTAGCCAGGTGTGGTGGCATAAGCCTGTAGTCCCAGCTACTCAGGAGGCTGAAGTAGGAGGATCCCTTGAGCCCAGGAGCTCCAGGCTGGTCACTGCACTCCAGCCTGGGTGACAGGATAAGACTCTGTCTCAAAAACAACAATCAAACAAGCATTTTTGAGGATGTAGAGAAACCGGAAGCTTTGTGTGCTGTTAGTGGGATTGTAAAATGATGCAGCTATTATGGTTATGGGAAACAGAATGGAGGGTCCTCAAAAAATTAAAAACCACCATATGATCTAGCAATCCCACTTCCGGATATATAATCAAAAGAATTAAAAGCAGGGTCTCAAAGAGATTATTTGCACGCCCATGTTCACAGCAGCATTATTCACAATTGAAAGAGATAGAAGCAACCCAATGGCCATTAACGGATGAATGGATAAACCAAGTGTGATATATACATACAATAGAGTATTATTCAGCCTTAAAAAAGAAGGAAATCTTGTCACATGCTATAACATAGGTAAGCCTTGATGACATTATGCTAAGGGAAATAAGCCAGTCACAAACAATAAATATTGTATGATTCCACTTATATAAGGTATCTAAAGTAGTCAAATTCATAGAAATAGAAAGTAGAATGGTAGTTACCAGTGGCTGGGAGAAGGGGAACTGGGGAATTGCTGTTTAATGGGTGCAGGGTTTCCGTTTCACAAGATGAAAAAGTTCCGGAGGTCTGTTTCACAACAATGTCAATATACATAACACTACTGAACAGTACACTTACAAATGGTTAAGACAGTAAATCTTGTATGTTTTTTGTCACAATAAGAAAAAAAAAACTTTTAAAAATCACTCATTTCTCTTTTTTTTTTTTTTTTTTGACACAGAGTTTTGCTCTTGTCACCCAGGCTGGAGTGCAATGGCGCACTGGGCACATTGCAACCTCTGCCTCATGGGTTCAAGTGATTCTCTTGTCTCAACCTCCCAAGTAGCTGGGATTACAGGTGTGCACCACCAGGCTAAGCTAAATTTGTATTTTTAGTAGAGACAGAGCTTCACCATGCTGGCCAGGCTAGTCTCGAACTCCTGACCTCAGGTGATCCACCTGCCTCGGCCTCCCAAAGTGCTGGGATTACAGGCATGAGCCACTGTGCTTGGCCTAAATCAATCATTTGTGGGCCTCTGGGCTGTAGGACTCTGGGTCTCTTAAGAACATTGCCTTGTCCCTTGATCCTACTTAATAAGAAGTTTAAGTCTAACAGGTCAGTGTCTCTTCACAGACAGGAACACCAGAATCCCACCATTCTTATAAAAAGAAACAGGAACGCGGCCTCTGCAGCACCTCCCAAAAACTGTCATCACTCCTCAAAAATTCCTGACAGACCCTGATGTGGGAAGACTACGGCTCTCTTGCCTTTTACAGACTGGCTCATCCTCCAGAGGCTGAGGACTTTGTGGGTTGTGTTTTGTTTTGTTTTGTTCTGTCGCCCAGGCTGGAGTGCAGTGGCACAATCTCAGCTCACTACAACCTCTGCCTCCCAGGTTCAGGCGTTTCTCCTGCCTCAGCCTGAAGCTGGGACTACAGGTGTGCACCACCGCGTACAGCTAATTTTTTGTATTTTTGTAGAGATGGGGTTTCACCATGTTGTTCAGGCTGGTCTTGAACTCCTGACCTCAGGTGATCCACCTGTCTTGGCCTCCCAAAGTGCTGGGATTGCAGGCGTGAGCCACCACGCTCGGCGACTTTGTGGGGTTTTTAAGGAGGTGCCTACATGCTTGATATGCACGAGGTCCTGTGAGCTGGGTGAGGTCATTTGATTATCTAATCCCACAGATGGGCCACCTCACATCAACTCCCCCCCGCCACCCCCAGTAAGAACATCCACGCAACTGGTACTCCAAAGCTCACTGGCAAAACAACCATGGATCCACCAGGGGGCGCTGACACCACACTCAGCCATGCCCGGGGGCCCAGTCCCAGCCACCTACACAACCTAGGTTGACCTGCCTGCCTGTCTGCTCTCCATAGGTGGCAGATCTGGGTGGAAGGCTTAGGTCTCTGCCTAGGTAGATACCCCTTTGTTTATTTGTAAGTTATACTGACTCTCTCAGGGAAGAGCACATCAAACAATGCTAACAGATTTTAATTCATATTTCCTCTGCTCCATACAGGAGCAGGACCCTGGAAGAAAGGAATGGGCACATTTACTAGGAAAACCAAGTCTTGCCCAATTAGGAGGGTCACATACTGAAGTAATCACATAAATCGTGGGCCCTAAACTTCCAAAGGGCTTGAAAACAATCCTAAGGCCGGGTGCAGTGTCTCACACCTATAATCCCAGCACTTTGGGAGGCCAAGGCAGGTGGATTACCTGAGGTCAAGGGTTCAAGACCAGCCTGGCCAACATGGCAAAACCCCATCTCTACTAAATACAAAAATTAGCTGGACATGGAGGCGGGCACCTGTGATCCCAGCTACTCAGGAGGCTGAGTTGGGAGAATCACTTGAACCTGGGAAGCAGAGGTTGCAGTGAGCCAAGACTGTGCCACTGCACTCCAGCCTCGGAAGGCAGAGTGAGACACTGTCTTAAAAAAAAAAAAAGAAAAAAAAAGATTCCTGTCCTCTTCAAGCCCTGACCTTACCCATCACGCCAAATCCCCCAAATGAATCTTCAGGCCTCCTTCTAATGCCTTCCTTCCTCTTATACTACAAACATGCAAGTCATCTAGAAACAACTCCCTTCACCCTGCTTCCTCCACCTCAGGCTACCTGCCTGTACCTCCCTTAACTGAAGGGGTAGTTGGCAGCCCTATTTCTATTCCCTCATCTGCTATTCATTCCTCAAGCCATTAACTCCGTGAGTGTTCATGTCTATGTGCTAGAGCTGTCCTCCAGGGGTCTAATTTTCTTTTCCCTCCCTCCCTCCTTCCTTCCTTCCTCCCTTCCTTGCTTTTTTTCAAGAAACAGGGGGCCAGGCACGGTGGCTCACACCTGTAATCCCAGCACTTTGGAAGGCGGAGACGTGAGGATCATGAGGTCAGGAGATCGAGACCATCCTGGCTAACACAGTGAAACCCCGTCTCTACTAAAAATACAAAAAGAAATTAGCCAGGCGTGGTGGCGGACGCCTGTAGTCCCAGCTACTCGGGAGGCTGAGGCAGAAGAATGGTGTGAACCTGGGAGGCAGAGCTTGCAGTGAGCCAAGATCGCGCCACTGCACTCCAGCCTGGGCGACAGAGCGAGACTCTGTCTCAAGGAAAAAAAAAAATAGAAACAGGGTCTCGCTATGTTGCCAAGGCTGGTTTTGAATACCTGGGCTCAAGCGATCCTCCTGCCTAGCCCCCCACAGGCATGAGCCACTCTGCCCAGCCTAATTTTCAAGTCAAATACCTGCTTGGTCTTTTTGCAGCTGGATTTCTCTGCATTACCTGACATGGTTAACAAACCTGACTTTTGCCTTCCCTGACACTACACTCTTTTTAATTTGCCTATTTTTCTCATTCTTTTACCTCTTCTGTCATTAATTCCTATGCGCCAACACACATACCCAGTACATAAGGGTTTGTTTTCCGCCAATCTCCTCTTAAGTCTTCCATTCTCTCTATATAGTGGTTTTCTTTTTCTTTTGTACATTTTTTATATTTTTATTTTTTGGTAGAGACAGGGTCTCACTACGTTGCCCAGGCTGGTCTCGAACTCCTGGACTCAAGTAATCCTCATGCCTCAGCCTCCCAAAGTGCTGGGATTACAGGTGTGAGCCACCACACCAGGCTTATTTTTTTTAATATATAAATTTTTTTAAAAAAAGAGATAGAGTCTCACTATATTGCCCAGGCTGGTCTCAAACTCCTAGGCTCAAGTGATCCTCCTGCCTTGGCCTCCCAAAGTACTAGTATTACGGCATGAGCTACCACGCCCAGCCTCTTTTTATTTTTTATTTTTATCTTTTTTTTTTTTTTTGAGATGGAGTCTTGCTCTGTTGCCCAGGCTGGAGTGCAGTGGCGTGATCTTTGCTCACTGCAACCTCCACTTCCCAGGTTCAAGCAATTCTCCTGCCTCACCCTCCCGAGTAGCTGGGACTACAGGCACGTAACACTACGCCTGGCTAATTTTTCTATTTTTAGTAGAGACAAGGTTTCACCGTGTTGGCCAGACTGGTCTCGAACTCCTGACCTCAGGTGATCTGCCCGCCTTGGCCTCCCAAAGTGCTGGGATTACAGCCATGAGCCACTGTGCCAGGCCTCTTTTATTTTTTAAAATAGAGATGAGGTCCCACTATGTTGCCCAGACATGTCAGGCGACTTATCTATCCACCCGGCCCAGGGTATCCCAGAACGCTTCTGTGCTACCAGGCTCCTGGACCTTGGCAGGGTTCACAAGACTCATCAGTGTCACACATGTTTGTCTCCTCCAGCCTTTGGTGAACACCTATAAAGTCAATTCCCATTCTGTCCCCACTAACTCCTGACCACTCCCACACACAAATGAAGAGGAGTCTGTACTTGTGGAGAAGCCCACCCAGAAAATCAGAGCCCCTTACCTCACAGTAAACAATGTCCGCTCCATAATCCAGGGCCAGCAGCCTCATTGGAAGAGTCCCTACCCGAACCATTGGGGCCAGGATTAGCTTATTATGGTAACACAGAGAGAGGCTATTCAAAATCATTTCCTCCTCTGTTACAGCCTGAAAAAAAAAGAGGAAACAAGAGTCAGAAATTCAAATGAAGAAAATCTCTCCTGTTATCAAGAGCAGGCTTCCCTTCTTCAAGGTTCCAGCACACAGTAGTTTTCATTTTCTTTTGGTTGGTTGTTTATGTTTGATTGTTTTTGTTTTTGAGACAGTCTTGCTTTGTCACCCAGGCTGGAGTGCAGTGTAGTGCAGGGCTCACTGCAACCCAAGTAACTGGGATTATGGGCGTCTGCCACCACGACCGGCTAATTTTTGTATTTTTAGTAAAGATGGAGTTTTACAGCTAGGCACGATGGTTCACATCTGTAATCCCAACACTTTGGGAGGCCGAGGCAGGCGGATCACCTGAGGTCAGGAGTTTGAGACCAGCCTGGCCAACATGGTGAAACCCTATCTCTACTAAAAAATACAAAAATTAGCTGGGCATGGTGGCGGGCACCTGTAATCCCAGCTACTCAGGAGGCTGAGGCAGGAGAATTGTTTGAACCTGGGAGGCGGAGGTTGCAGTCAGACAACATGGCACCATTGTACCCCCGCCTGGGCAACAAGAGCAAGACTCCATCTCAAAAAAAAAAAAAAAAAAAGATGGAGTTTCACCACATTGGCCAGGCTGGTCTTGAACTCCAGACCTCAAGTGATCTGCCCACCTTAGCCTCTCAGAGTGCTGGGATTACAGGCATGAGCCACTGCACCTGGCCTGTTTTCCTTTTCCCTGAACATAAAAATTAGTATACATGCACATACATTCATCTAACGAATATTTATTAAGTACCTAGTCTGTGCCAGTCACTGACCCAGTCTCCTGGGATACATTAGAGAAAAAAAAAAAAAACAGACAAAAATCCCTGCTCTGGCAGTTTTCAATCATTTTTTTTTTACTCAGATACCTGCACTGGAGTATCTGAAGCAGAGTTTTCATTCTAGCCAGAGAGTATAGGCAAAAAAACAAAAAGCATAACAAATAAGTAAACTATATAGTATGTTGGAAAACTGGTAATGCTAGAGCAGAGAGAGGGGAGATTGAAAGTGCTGGGGATGGGTTGCAATTTGAAATAGAGAAGTCAACATGGGCTTTAATGAGAAGATAAGATTTGATCAATGAAGACCCCTGAGAAGAAAAAAAAAATGGAGCAAAGATTTGAGTTACTCAAGAAGAATGCACAGCAGAGGAAATAACCAATGCAAAGGTCCTGAGGCAAGAGATTGCCTACTGTGTTAGAGGAACAGCAGGAAAGCCAATGTGGTTAAAGCGTAGAATGTGGTCAGGCGCAGTGGCTCACACCTATAATCCCAATACTTTGGGAGGCCAAGGTGGGTGGATCACTTGAAGTCAGGAGTTCGAGACCAGCCTGGCCAACATGGCAAAACCCCATCTCTACTTAAAATATAAAAAATTAGGCTGGGCACTGTGGCTCGCGCTTGTAATCCTAGCACTTTGGGAGGCTGAGGCAGGTGGATCACAAGGTCAGGAGTTCCAGATCAGCCTGACTAACAAGGTGAAACCCTGTCTCTACTAAAAATACAAAAATTAGCCAGCTGGGCCGAGTGAGGTGGCTCACGCCTGTAATCCCAGCACTTTGGGAGGCAGAGGCAGGTGGATCACCTGAGGTCAGGAGTTCAAGACCAGCCTGGCCAAGATGGTGAAACCCCGTCTCTACTCAAAATACAAAAATTAGCTGGGCATGATGACAAGTGCCTGTAATCCTAGCTACTTGGGAGGCTGAGGCAAAGAATCTCTTGAACCCAGGAGGCGGAAGATTGCAGTGAGTCGAGCTCATGCCACCGCACTCCAGCCTGGGCGACAGAGCAAGACTCTGTCTCGAAAAAAAAAAAAAATTAGCCAGCTGTGCTGATGCATGCCTGTAGTCCCAGCTACTCTGGAGGCTGAGGCAAGAGAATTGCTTGAACCCAGGAGGTGGAGGTTGCAATAAGCCAAGATCGCGCCATTGCACTCTAGCCTGAGCAACAGAGGAAAACTCCATCTAAAAATAAAAATAAAAATAAAAATAATATATATATGTATATATATATATAACATATGTGTGTATATATATGTGTATGTATGTGTGTATATATATATATATATATATATATATATATATATATATATATATAAAATTAGCGGGATGTGGTGGTACACACCTGTAATCCTAGCTACTCGGGAAGCTGTGGCACGAGAATTGCTTGAACCTGCAAGGCACAGGTTGCAGTGAGCTGAGATTGCGCCCCTGCACTCCAGCCTGGGTAACAGAGGGTAAATGTCTCAAAAAAAAAAAACCAAAAAAAAAAACCACATAGAATGAAGAAGAGAGACCAGGCACGGTGGCTCATGCCTATAATCCCAGCACTTTGGGAGGCCAAGGCAGGAGGATTGCTTGAGGCCAGGAGTTTGCAGACCAGCCTGGGCAACATAAACTCAGTCTCTACCAAAAAAAAAAAATTTTATTTAATTACCCAGGCATGGTGGCATATGCCTATGGTCAGAGTAATTTGGAAGGCTGAGGCAGAATGATGACATGAGCCCAGGAGTTTCAGGTTACAGTGAGATATGATAATACCGCTAAACTCCAGTCTAGGCAACAGAGCAAGGAAAAAGAAAAAAAAAAAAGGAAAACACAGAGTCAGATACACAATGTTAACAGCAGTAAGAAAACAGGATACAATGGTCAGATCATGTAGAGCCTTGTAGGATACGCTGAGAATTTCATTAGCTCTGCATGAACTGTCTCATATTTTTACATGATCATTATGACTGCTGCACTAAGAGTGGACTATCCGGGGGCACAGATGCAGGAAGACCAGAGAGAAGGCGATTCTGTAATCAACATGAAAGATGATGGTGGCTCCCTCAGACCCTGGAGCTGGTAGTGAAGGTGTTGAGAAGTGGTCACATTCTAGAAATACTCTGAAGGGAGAGCCAACAGGAGGAAAAAAGAAAATCAGAATCTCACGTCCCAAAGAAAACTACTGCTAATATTATGTTTTTGTTTTTTTTTTAAACAGAGTCTTGCTCTGTTGCCCAGGCTAGAGTGGTGCAGTGGTGCAATCTTGGCTCACTGCAACCTCTGCCTCCCGGGTTCAAGCAATTCTTCTGCCTCAGCCTCCCGAGTAGAGTAGCTGGCACTACAGGCATGCGCCACCATGCCCAGCTAATTTTTGTATTTTTAGTAGAAATGGGGCTTTGCCATATTGGCCAGGCTGGTCTTGAACTCCTGACCTCGTGATCCGCCCACCTCGGCCTCCCAAAGTGCTGGGATTACAGGCATGAGCCACCATGCCCAGCCTAATATGATTTATTCTAACCAAATATGGTCTCCTCTAAACAGTCACAAAGAGGCCAGGCATGGTAGCTCATGCTATAATTCCAGTGCTTTGGGAGGATGAGACAGATGGATTGCTTGAGCTCAGGAGTTTGAGACAAGCCTGGACAACATGGCAAAACTCCATCTCTACCCAAAAATAATAAAAAAATAAATAAAATTAGCTGGGGGTGGTGGCACATGCCTATAGTCCCGGTTACTTGGGAGGCTGAGGTGGGCGGATTGCTTGAGGCCATGAGTTCAACACCAGCCTGACCAACATAGCAAAATCCCATCTTTACAAAAAATAAAAATAATAAAAAGACAGGCAATGGCTCACGCCAGTTATCTTAGCACTAAGGAGGCCATGGTGGGGAGATCGCTTGAGTTGGAGATGGGAGATCAGCTTGGAGTTGGAGATTAGCCTGGGTAACATGGCAAGACCTCATCTCTACAGAAACATAAAAATTAGCCAGGAGTGGTAGTGCATGCCTGTAGTACCAGCTCCTAGGGAGGCTGAGGTGAGATCACTAGAGCCTGGGAGGCAGAGGTTGCCGAGCTGAGCTGATATCATACCACTGCACTCCAGCCTGGGTGACAGTGAGACCCTGTTTGAAAATAAAAATAAAACTAGGCCAGGCAAGGTGCCTCACGCCTATAATCCCAACACTTTGGGAGGCCAAGGTGGACAGATTGCTTGAACTCAGGAGTTCAAGATCAGCCTGGGCAACATGGTGAAACCCCATCTCTACAAAAAATGCAAAAATTGGGCTGGGCACGGTGGTTCATGTCTGTAATCCTAGTGCTTTGGGAGGACGAGGTGGGTGGATCACTCGAGGTCAGGAGTTCAAGACTAGCCTGGCCAATATGGTGAAACCCCATCTCTACTAAAAATACAAAAATTAGCCAGACGTGGTGGCATGCGCCTGTAATCCCAGCTACTCAGGAGGCTGAGGCAAGAGAATCACTTGAACCCAGGAGATGAAGTGAGCTGACATTGTGCCACTGCACTCCAGCCTGGGTGACACAGCAAGACTCTATATAAAAAAAAAAAAAAAAAAAAAAATTAGCACCTGTAGTCTCAGCTACTTGGGAGGATGAAGTTGGAGGATCACTTGGGCCTGGGAGGTTGAGGCTGCAGTGAGCCATGATCATGCCACTGCACTCCAACCTGGGTGACAGAGCAAGACCCTGTCTCAAAAAAAATTTTTTTTTAATTTTTAAATAAAAATAATTTTAAAAAGAAATAATCTCTGATCCAAGGTCTAAAGGAAGAGAACATGTTAACCAGTCCAATATGTAGAAAGAAAATCTTTCCCATTTCATTAATAGCATCTCCAGTCTCCCAATTACTCATTCTTAACCCACATTCCCCACATTCAATCCATCACTGACTTCTATTGAAATAACCTTCAAAATATAACTAACCCACATGCTTTACTACATGCCAATGGCCACAACTGCGCACCAGAAACCCTCCGCTCATCTGTTGCCAGGACTTTAGCACAGCCCCCAAATGTGTCTCCCAAAATCTACACTTGCCCCTTCCTATCCATTCTGCCAGCATGGGATCCTAAAAAGGCAACTCTGATAATACCACTCCCCCGTTTATACCTTTCAATGGCTTCCCACTGACTTTAGGAAAAATCCTAAACCTTTCTAATGGCCCACAAGGCCCTGCATGATCAGTCCCTACCCACCTCTCCAGCCTCACCCTCACCTGTGTCTCTCTCACCCTCCCTCTCGGCCCTGGCCACCCTGGCATTCCCTTTTTTTTTTTTTTTTTTTTTTTGAGATGGAGTCTCACTCTGTTGCCCAGGCTGGAGTGCAGTGGCGCAATCTTAGCTCACTGCAACCTCCACCTCCCAGGTTCAGCCTCCTGCCTCAGCCTCCCGAGTAGCTGGGATTACAGGCACCCACCACCACACCCAGCTAACTCCTGACCTCAGGTGATCCACCCACTTTGGCCTTCCAAAGAGCTGGGATTACAGGTGTGAGCCACTGTGCCCGGCCACCCTGGCCTTCCTTTAAAGTCTCCCACACCAAACTGTCTGCTTCCCTGGGGCCTGCCCACTTGCAGTTCTGTCTGGAATACTCCTCCAACTCAGTCATGCATGCCCATGCTAAGGTCCCCTTGTCCTTGAATGCCCCCTTTGTGAAGATACGTCCCTACAGAAAATCAAATTCAGGTCCCTGGTCCCATGCTTTCCAAACACCCTACATTTCTCTGCAGCTCAGTTACACTCCATGTGTCCACACTGACTGCTGTAGTTTCTTGTTCAATCCTCAGCTCCTCCTGGAGACCACCAGGACAACAAGCTCTACAAGAACAGGAGTGTGGCTGCTTAGTTCACTGCCAGATTTCTAGCACTGAGCCAGGTACATGACCTTTAGAGGCTGCTTAGTAAGGTGTGACTGAATACTTACCACTGTGGTAGCCAAGAGGACAGCCTCTTGTAGGGTGGTTGGTCTGGCAACTTCCTCTGGCACTCAGTCAGAGGTGCCTGACACACCCTGCCTCTAAGGAGGCTCCTCTGAGAAAAACTAGGCAGCCCCCATGCCTTTCCCAGTTACTGCCACAACCACTCACCCCACCCTGAGATCACACCCACATCACCACTTTAGTCACTCATTTCCAATCTCTTCTACCATTCCTTTTAAGGGCTGGTCTCCTCTATTACGCTCAATTTCTTAGACAGTAACCTTGGCTGGGCGAGGTGGCTCATGCCTATAATCCCAGCACTTTGGGAGGCCAAGGCAGGAGGATCACCTGAGATCAGGAGTTCCAGACCAGCCTGGCCAACATGATGAAACCCTGTCTCTACTAAAAATAAAAAAATTAGCCAGGCATGGTGGTGTGCACCTGCAATCCCAGCTACTCGGGAGGCTGAAGCAGGAGAATCACTCAAACCAGGGAGGCAGAGGTTGCAGTTAGCCAAGATCGCACCACTGCCCTCCAGCCTGGGCAACAGAGTGAGATTCCATCTCAAAAAATAAAAAATAATAACCTTAACTTCAGTTACATGGACATAATATCCTGTTAACCTTAAAAAAAAAAGACATTAAAGAAAAATACCTCCAAACATGTTGAGTTTATTTGAGAATGAGAGAAAAGGATTATAATCCAGGATGCACAGAAGGGCAAGCCACAAGTACATCTGGTGACAGAAGGGGAAAAGGAAGCTTTTATTGGCAGAAAGGGAGAGATTTATATAAGTTGCTTAGAAACAGAGTTCATGGCCAGACACAGTGGCTCATGCCTGTAATCCTAGCACTTTGGGAGGCCAAGGCAGGCGGATCACGAGGTAAAGAGATCAAGACCATCCTGGCCAACATGGTGAAACCCCGTCTCTACTAAAAATACAAAAATTAGCTGGGTGTGGCGGCGCATGCCTGTAGTCGCAGCTACTCAGGAAGCTGAGGCAGGAGAATCGCTTGAACCCGGGAGGCAGAGGTTGCAGTGAGAGATCACGCCACTGCATTCCAGCCTGGTGACAGAGCGAGACTCATCTCCAAAAAAGAAAAAAAAGAGTTCATGAGTTTCCTAGAGGATCAAAGCCAGAGTTGTCTTCAGTTCACTGGTGGAGATGCCATTACTGGGCAAGTATTCTTTCCAGAGCATTTTATCTGAATTACAATAGTCCTAAAAAATGTCTATGCCAGGCAAGGTGGCTCACACCTGTAATCCCATCACTTTGGGAGGCCAAGGCAGGAGGATCACTCAAGGCCAGGAGTTTGGGACCAGCCTGGGCAACATAGCAAGATCCCATCTCTACCAAAAATATATATATATTTTTTAACTAGCCAGGAGTGATGGAAGGTGCCTGCAGTCCCAGCCACTCTGGGAGGCTTAAGCAGAAGAATCATTGGGAGTCCAAGAGTTCGATGCAGCAGTGAGCCATGATTGTGCAACTGTACTCCAGCCTGGGTGACAGAGCAAGGCCCTGTCTCCAAAAAAAAGAAAAAGAAAACCAAAATGTCTACTGATAAACTTTTGTCATAGAAATATATATACATATGCAAAACATGCAAGCCATGCAAAGCAGGTAATTCAAGAAAGACATGAAGGGATTTCTAGTGGGTTTTTATTTATTTATTTATTTATTTTTTGAGATGGAGTCTCACTCTGTCACCCAGGCTAGAGTACAGTGGCATGATCTTGGCTCACTGCAATCTCCACCTCCGAGGTTCGAGCAATTCTCCTGCCTCAGCCTCCTGATTAGCTGGGACAAAAATTAACCACCATGCCCGGCCAATTTTTGTGTTTTCAGTAGAGACGGGGTTTCACCATGTTGGCCAGACTCGTCTTGAACTCCTGACCTCAAGTGATCCACCCGCCTCAGCCTCCCAAAGTGCTGGGATTGCAGATGTGAGTCACCACTCCTGGCCTCCGGTGGGGTTTTTAGAAAATCCTTGGAAACAGTTCTTATCTCAGACATGTAAGCATGAGCTTCCTCTACTTCACACCTTCCTTGTCCTATTTTGACAAAAGCGGTTTCATCCTGGTATCTGCAACTTTCATAATCCCATTAATTATAGTGCTTTCAGATTGAACATAACACTATTCAGGAAAAATAATGAGTATAAACAAACTTTACCATTCCCTTCCCTGTCAATTTTCCCCAAAGACAAAGCTTGCTTAAAAAGCAATTTCTGGCCAGGCATGGTGGCTCACACCTGTAATCCCAGCACTTTGGGAGGCTGAGGCGGGAGGATCGTTTGAGGCCAGGAGTTCAAGACCAGCCCAGGCAACATAATAAGACACCACCTCTACAAAAAATTAGCGGGGCATGGTGGTACACACCTGTGGTCCTAGGTACTCCACCTGCCTCAGCCTCCCAAAGTGTTGGGATTACAGGCGTGAGCCACTGCATCCAGCTCTAAAATTCAAATTTGGAAAGTCAACTAGAATCAAGTATTTACAGAATTATCTTATTTCCTAATCTGAACATGTGGCTGGGTCCAGTGGCTCATGCCTATAATCCCAACACTTTGGGAGGCCAAGGTGGGCAGATTACCTGAGCTCAGTAGTTCAAGACCAGCCTGGGCAACATGGCAAACCCCATCTATACCAAAAAATACAAAAATTAGCCGGGTATGGTGGTGCAGGCCTGTTATCCCACCTACTTGGGGGGCTGAGGCAGGAGAATCACTTGAACTTGTGAGGTGGAGGCTGCAGTGAGCCAAGATCGTATCACTGCACTCCAGCCTGGAAATTGGAGCAAGACTCTGCCTCAAAAAAATAAAAAAAGTGTAAATACACCAGGTGTGGTAGCTCACACCTGTAATCCTAACACTGGGAGGTTGAGGCAAGAGGATCATTTGAGCCCAAGAGTTCAAGACCAGTCAGGGCAACATAGTAAGACCCCATCTCTATTAAAAATAAAAATTAAAAACAAAAATTAAAAACAGAAAACAAAATACATGCACATGACAAAAAGTAAAAATGATTTGTTAGATTTGAGGAGAAAGAGGTGATATAGCTTTTTTTTTTTAGAGATGGGACCTTGCTGTGTTGCCCAGGCTGGAGTGCAGCGGCACAATCATGGCTCACTGCAGTCCCAAACTCCTGGGCTCTAGTGATCCTCCCATCTCAGCATCCGGAGTAACTGGGACTACAGGCATGTTCCACCACATCTAGCTAATTTTGTGTTTAAATTTTTCTGTAGCGATACAGTCTTGCTATGTTGCTCAGGCTAGTCTCCAACTCCTGGCCTCTAGCGATCCTCCTGCCTAACCTTCTGAAGTGCTGGAATCAGGCGTGACCCACTGTGCCCAGCCCTGATACAGCATTTCATAGTTAAGATCCTGAGCTCTGGAATTGGACAGACCTTCACTTGAATCCCAGCTGTGCCTCGGGCACATTAATTAACCCAGCTGAGCCTCAGCTTCTCCTTGTGGAATATGAGGCTCCACTATGGGAGTCAAAGGAAATGCTGTGAAGAGTGAATTCCATGGTGTACCACAGTTCTCAGCACATAGTAAAGGCTTAATAAATGTTAGCCACTCTCATCATGCTTTCACGGTTTCAACACTCTATTTTTTGTTTGTTTGTTTGTTTTGAGACGGAGTCTCCTACTGTCTCCCAGGATGGAGTGCAGTGGCGTGATCTCAGCTCACTGCAACCTCCGCCTCCCGGGTTCAAGCAATTCTCTTGCCTCAGCCTCTCGAGTAGCTGGGATTACAGGTGCCCACCACCACGCCCAGCTAATTTTTTGTATTTTTTTTTAGTAGGGATGGGGTTTCACCATGTTGGCCAGACTGGTCTCAAACTCCTGACTTCGTGATTCACCCGCCTTGGCCTCCCAAAGTGCTGGGATTACAGGTGTGAGCCACCGCGCCTGGCCTCTAACGTCTATTATTATGTTGTTATATCGACAAACATCTGCTAGCTCTTTTAAGATCAAGGCAGCGTGTGAGGTATAAAGACACGGAAAGCACTAAGCTCTTAACCTCAAAGAGCTTCTCAGCTCTACAACTGCCATCATCTATCAACTGAACCATGACAACAGTCTCCAAACCAGTCTCTCTGCCTCCAGGCTTATCACTTCCAATCCATGCTCCTTCCAGCCAAAGGGCTCTTTCCAAACGCAAAGATATGATACGCAAAACATGATAGTTCCATTTCTGGACGCCTTCCCTACTGCCTGTAAAATTAAGTCTACACTCTTTAACACAGTAAATATAAGGTCTGGTCTCCACCTTCCATAGAAGCCTCTTTCATCACCTGCCTCCTGCCCTCAGAACTCCCCCATGCTAAGCTTCAGCTATTCTTAAATATTTCTAGTTCCCCAGCCTGGCCTGCTCTCTCTCAGTATGGGATCTCTGAACAAGCTGTCCCTGCCCAGGGGCCACGTCCCTATTCTTCCACCTGGCTGACTCCCTGTAGACTTTTAGAACCTCATCACCTCCTCCTGGAAGCCTTCTCTGACCAACATCTCCCAAAACAGGGTAAAGGCATCTCTGAGCTCATTCCTGTCCTGGCATGGAGCTATCCTGGCAACTATTAATAGAAGAGCAACTATCTGTCAATATGCCTTCTTCACTGTAAGGTGAAAATAGGCACTGTGGCTTGTTCATCACCAGATCCTCATCAGAGAGCATACAATCTGGCATATGGTAGATGCTTAGTGTTTGCTGTAAAAAGAAGTTAATGGCAGCCGGGTGAGGTGGCTCACGCCTGTAATCCCAGCACTTTGGGAGGCCAAGGCAGGCGGATTACCTAAAGTCGGGAGTTTGAGACCAGACCAGCCTGACCAACATGGAGAAACCACGTCTCTACTAAAAATACAAAATTAGCCGGGTGTGGTGGCGCATGCCTGTAATCCCAGCTACTTGGGAGGCTGAGGCAAGAGAATCACTTGAACCCGGGAGGCGGAGGTCACAGTAAGCTGAGATCATGCCACTGCACTCTAGCCTGGGCAACAAGAGCAAAACTCCATCTCCAAAAAAAAAAAAAAACAAGAAGTTAATGGACCAAGTGCAACAAGAGCTATGATCCACTCCATGCTTCAGTCACAGAAGAACTCTATCCCAGCCAAAGTGCATTTAAAGTGCTTTGTTATCACTCAAGTTTGGTTTTAGAGGAGACGAATGACTACTCCAATCTCTGGCTTACCCAGTAAAGGACTACAAGCCCTTTGGCCAACTTGCATGGAGCCATCACTTGAGTGAACAAGATTCACATAAGAAAGCAACAGAAGAGGTTGAGCCCAATTCTGGATACTGATTAGGAAATAATCTGCAGGCAACAAGGATTCATGAATGGCTTTTGAGTCAAAGGGTAACATGGCCATAGCTGTGCTTTTTTTTTTTTTTTTTTTTTCAGATAGACTCTTGCTCTATCACCCAGTCTGGAATGCAATGGCACAATCTCAGGTCACTGCAACCTCCGCCTCCCGGGTTCAAGCAATTCTTCCACTTCAGCCTCCCGAGTAGCTGGGATTACAGGTGCCTGCCACCATGCTCAGCTAATTTTTGTATTTTTGTAAAGAAAGGGTTTCACCACGTTTGCCAGACTGGTCTTGAACTCCTGACCTCGTGATCTGCCCGCCTTGGCCTCTCAAAGTGCTGGGATTACAGGCGTGAGCCACCACACCAGGCCTAGCTGTGCTTTAATAACATCACTCGGGAAACAGAAGGTAGACCAGAGGGTAAAAAACAAAGAGCAGGTAGGGAGCTGGATGAGAAGGAAGGTCAAAGGGTCCAGGAATACTATAGTGATAATGACTGAAAATATGATTACCTGCGCACAGCCCTGCTACAGGTGGGAAAATGGAGGAACAATAAAGTAATACCAATAGCACTTTTTATTGCTGTAATGCTTTGCAATTCCCAAAGTGCTTCATTTATAACTGTGATTCTCAAGCCTAGTTACATCTGGAGAGGTTTCTAAAAATACCAATTTCTCGGCTGGGCACAATGGCTCACATCTGTAATCCCAGCACTTCGGGAGGCCAAGGCAGGCAGATCAACTGAGGTCAGGAGTTCGAGATCAGCCTGGTCAAAATGGCAAAACCTCATCTCTACTAAAAATACAGAAATTAGCCGGGTTTGGTAGCACGTGCCTGTAATCCCACCTACTGGGGTGGCTGAGGCAGAAGAATCACTTGAACCTGGGAGGCAGAGGTTACAGTGAGTCGAGATGGCACCACTGAAGTCTAGCCTGGGTGACAGAGCAAGACCTTGTCTAGGCCTTAACCCAAATCAATTAAATCAGAATGTAAACTCCACAAGGGCAGGGATTTTGGCTGTTTTCCTCACTACCAATGCCTGGCACATGCGTGGTGCTCAGGAAGTATTTGTTGAATGAATGATTGAATGAATGAATGAATATACCATTATTAACTGAGATCCAAGGAACACACCAAGCTCCTGATCTCAGGAGCTTAGATTTTTTTTCACAATAAGGATACCTTTCCTATTTCTAAAGCACTACTTATAAAAATATCTCAGAAAACATTTAGAAGTTAATCAATGTCCTCTGTGAGTGAGGGGGAAAAAAGGTAGGCAGTGTCTAGTGATGTGACAAGAAGAAATTAGTGGCCACGGACACAGACAGGCTTAGGCAAGCTCTAACTCCTGTGAAATTTTGAGGTAATCATATTGTAAGGACTCAAGCATAATGAGAAAACAACTATATATTAACCAGCTACCCTACCCTGGATATTTGAACAAAACCCAAAAACCCAAATGCATATACATACCTATTATTTTGTTCTGATACTTCAGGATTACTTTGATATATGTGTTCTGGCTTTGTACAGAGTAATTCTTTGTTTGATATCTGAAAAACAGTGGCACATGGAAATGGATGAAACCTGTTGGGACAAACATCCAAGGGACCTTTTTTTTTTTTTTTTGAGACAGAGTCTCGCCCTGTCGCCCAGGCTGGAGTGCAATGGTGCGATCTCGGCTCACTGCAACAACCTCCGCCTCCCGGGTTCAAACGATTATCCTGCCTCAGCCTCCCGAGTAGCTGGGATTACAGGCATGAGCCTGGCCCCAAGGAACTATTTGGATAAGGAGAAGCCCTGAGTTTGGAAAGAATCATAAAAGTAGCATAGAATTGGGCCGGGCACAGCGGCTCACACCTGTAATCTCAGCACTTTGGGAGACCAAGGTGGGCAAATCATGAGGTCAGGAGTTTGAGACCAGCCTGCCCAACGTAGTGAAACCCTGTCTCTATTAAAAATACAAAAATTAGCTGGGAGTGGTAGCGCACACCTCTAATCCCAGCTACTCAGATGGCTGATGCAGGAGAATCCCTTGAACCCAGAAGGCAGAGACTGCAGTGAGCTGACATCGCACCACTGTACTCCAGCCTGGGCAACACAGTGAGACTGTCTATAAAAAAAAAAAAAAAAAAAGTATCCAGCCATTGTCAAATATGGTGGGAGGGAAAGGGCAAAATCACCCTTGTTTTAGAACCACTACCCTATCCAATGACTGTTCATTCACCCATCACTACTCAAAACTTTCTCTTCCTACTTCCAGATATTTTCTTGTGGAGAAAAAAAGCCTCTCTTCCTCTGATTTATCTGGTAACTCTCCAGAAAGTCTAATTGTGTAGCACAAGGGTAGAGTGTACTTAAAATTGTGAAAGTTTTTCCTCATACTATTCCAAAAAAAGCAAAGTTTTTATCTTTTCATTGGTATTTGATGAAACTAAAACGTTTTCTCCAGATGTTACGAACCTCCCAGAGAGTTAATCCATAAATATTTACCTTATCTCCCACCCCAGGCACTGCAAATTACAGAAAAGATCTGACACCCATTTTCCAGATCTGTTCAAGAAGTATCTGTTGGGCATGGTGGCTCACGCTTATAATCCCATCACTTTGGGAGGCCGAGGTGGGAAGATCGCTTGAGGCCAGGAGTTCGAGACCAGCCAGGCCTACATAGTGAAACCCTGTCTCTACTAAAAACAGAAAAAATTAGCCGGGCGTGGGTGGTGTACGGCTGTAGTCTCAGCTACTTGGGAGGCAGAGGCAGGAGAATCACCTGAACCCAGGAGGTGGAGGTTGCAGTGAGCCGAGATTGCGCCACTGCACTCCAGCCTGGGTGACAGAACGAGACTGTGTCTCAGAAAAAAAAAAAAAAAAAGTGACTCGTATAGTTCTTGTTTTTACAACCCGAATATCTGAATTCAGGTAAAATATTCTGCCTGACCAGGGCTACATGATAAGCCACGTACTTGATCACTTTGTAGGGTCGCAGCACCCTTCTTACTACTATTTTAGGTAATTCAGGTTTCTGACGGGGAAGCCAGTGGAGCTGAGCGGGCTGCAAGAGGGGTGGGTTCTGGATGAGAAGTTGGGACGCGTGACGAGGGAGTAGAGAGTGAACCTTGGCTTAAAAGGAAGGAAAATAACTGTGAAGAAAAGATGACCCAACTTGAAATAAAACCTGAAGACCTTATCTCCCACTTGAGAGAGAGAAGAAGCTGAAAGCCATCAGCTTGCACTCTGGGCTCACAGACAGAGAGGGTGAGGGGTTGAGCCCAGATCTATGACTTCAGACCCCTGTCTCGGCCCCTAGGCCTGATCATTCATTCAAACTCTCAATAAACACGGATTACCAGACCCTGCGCAGGGAACACATCTGGGAAAACAGCTGCAACCTCGGATACCAGCACGGGACAAGCTATCTCAGGGCAATGAGGAACAACTAAAGAGAATCCCAGGAACCAGGTAACCAATCGCCAGAAGCCCTCCGCCCTCATGGTCCATTGGGTCAAGGCCCCACTGCCGCCTCGTATCGCCAGCCTCCAGTCCTGCCTCCACGACGCGCCCTTCCCCAAGGCTGGCCGGGTCTGGATGTCGCCATCCCCTATTCGGAGCTACAGACCTCGCAGCTGAACTCTTAAAAAGAACCTCGCTTCTTCCTCACGGTGCTCCAGCTCCACACACCGTACTGAGCCTCGCCAGCCACCGTACGCGAGGTCGCGGCGCGTCCGTGACGTCACTGATGTGCGCTTCTCCCGCACTAAGGGAAACATGGCTCTAACGCGGCCGGTGCGGCTCTTTTCCCTCGTGACTCGGTTGCTCCTGGCGCCGCGACGGGGCCTCACGGTCCGCAGTCCCGACGAACCCCTGCCGGTGGTGCGCATCCCAGTGGCTCTACAGCGGCAGTTGGAACAGCGGCAGAGCAGGCGGCGGAACCTCCCGAGGCCGGTGCTGGTTCGACCCGGACCGCTGCTGGTTTCGGCGCGGCGGCCGGAGTTGAACCAGCCGGCGCGCCTCACACTGGGCCGTTGGGAGCGCGCGCCGCTAGCCTCTCAAGGCTGGAAGAGTCGACGCGCGCGTCGGGACCACTTCTCCATCGAGCGCGCGCAACAGGAGGCGCCAGCGGTGCGAAAGCTCTCGTCTAAGGGCAGCTTTGCTGACCTGGGCCTGGAGCCCCGTGTGCTGCACGCACTACAGGAGGCTGCGCCTGAAGTCGTTCAGCCCACAACCGTGCAGTCTAGCACCATCCCCTCACTACTTCGCGGCCGCCATGTCGTTTGCGCCGCAGAAACCGGCAGTGGCAAGACTCTCAGCTACCTCCTGCCGCTGCTTCAACGGCTCTTGGGCCAGCCAAGCCTGGACTCCCTTCCTATCCCCGCGCCCCGAGGCCTGGTCCTTGTTCCTTCCCGAGAATTGGCCCAACAGGTGCGGGCTGTGGCCCAACCCTTGGGCCGCTCCTTGGGCCTGCTGGTGCGGGACCTGGAGGGAGGCCACGGCATGCGTAGGATCAGGCTGCAGCTGTCCAGACAGCCTTCAGCAGATGTGCTTGTGGCCACTCCAGGGGCTCTGTGGAAGGCCCTGAAAAGTCGACTGATCAGTCTGGAGCAACTCTCCTTCTTGGTGTTGGATGAGGCAGACACACTGCTGGATGAAAGCTTCCTGGAACTGGTGGACTACATCTTAGAGAAGAGCCACATAGCAGAAGGCCCAGCTGACTTGGAAGACCCCTTCAATCCCAAAGCTCAGTTAGTGCTGGTAGGAGCCACATTTCCCGAAGGTGTAGGCCAGTTGCTGAATAAAGTCGCCAGCCCAGATGCTGTCACCACCATCACCAGCTCCAAGCTCCACTGTATCATGCCTCATGTGAAACAGACATTTCTGAGACTGAAGGGAGCAGATAAGGTGGCCGAGCTGGTGCACATCCTCAAGCATCGTGACAGAGCAGAAAGGACTGGTCCCTCAGGAACTGTTCTGGTGTTCTGTAATAGCTCCAGCACTGTGAACTGGCTGGGATATATTCTGGATGACCACAAAATCCAACACCTAAGGTTGCAGGGGCAAATGCCAGCCTTGATGAGGGTAGGAATCTTCCAGTCCTTCCAGAAGAGCTCCCGAGACATACTTCTCTGCACAGACATAGCCTCTCGGGGCCTGGACAGCACTGGTGTGGAGCTGGTTGTCAATTATGATTTCCCCCCAACGCTGCAAGATTACATCCACAGAGCAGGGAGAGTGGGCCGTGTGGGGAGCGAGGTGCCAGGCACCGTCATCAGTTTTGTGACCCATCCCTGGGATGTGAGCCTGGTTCAGAAGATTGAGCTGGCGGCTCGCCGAAGGAGAAGTCTTCCAGGACTAGCATCCTCGGTGAAAGAGCCTTTGCCCCAAGCAACCTGATTTTGACAAATCTGATTAAAATGTGATGCTAGAACAGGGATCTTTCCCAGTATCTTGAGTGGGTGACCACACTTGTCAGTGGGAGGCTCTGGGCTGCCCTGTCGGCTCCTTGAGGGCGGGATGAACTGCTTTGTGACTTGGAAAGGTACGCTGCTGGCCAGCATTGGAGAAGAAGCTGCTGAGCATGGCTTTCTGTAGTCTTTAGCAAGACACAAGTGGATTTTGACTTTGTATCATGTCATGATTTCTAACAATAAATGATGTTTTTATGTGCCTCCCCTAAGAATAATTAGCACCGGGGCGGAATTCAGTAGTTTCTGAGGATTCATACACCAAACCTCCACATCTAGGACAAAGGCTCTTTCAGTTGATGTTTTCATTTATAAACATTTAGTTTGTATTTCCTGCCCCCAAAAAGGTATCCATTAAGCCCCCAGGGAAAGGAAAGGAAAGGAAATGTGACTAGCAGTAGACAGAGTTACTCTCTAACAATGCCCAAGACAAACGGGCGTCTTGGCGAAATCTCTGGAAGGTACTGGCAGAAAAGTAAAGGGTAGACGAACACAGAAGTTTTGCTTGTACATTTTCAGGTTCTGCCTTCTATCCCAACTCGGTAGCCGAGAAAGAGGAGAGATGATTAAACGGTTTTACAAAACTGGAAAAATAACCATATAGCATTTTCTTTATATATATATATACGTATATATATATATATATATATATATATACATACGTATATATATATATACACATACATATATATACGTATATATATATATGTATATATATATATACGTGTATATATATATACGTGTATATATATATGTGTATATATATATATACACAAAAAAAAATTACAAAAATCAACCCGGCGTGGTGGCACGCGCCTGTAGTCCCAGCTACTCGGGAGGCTGAGGCAGGAGAATCACTTGAACCTGGGAGGCGGAGGTTGCAGTGAGCCAAGATCATACCACTACACTCCAGCCTAGGGGACAGAGCAAGACTCCATCTCAAAAAAAAAAAAAAAAAAAAGCCGGGTGTGGTGGCTCACGCCTGTAATGCCAGCACTTTGGGAGGCTGAGGCAGGAGGATCACCTGAGGTCAGGAGTTTAAGACCAGCCTGGTAAACATGCGAAACCCCATCTCTATTAAAAATACAAAAAAATTAGCTGAATGTGGTGGTGCACGCCTGTAATCCCAAATACTTGGGAGGCTGAGGCACAAGAATGGCTTGAATTCTGGAGGCGAAGGTTTCAGTGAGCCAAAATTGCACTTCTGCACTCCAGCCTGGGTGACAGAGCTGATATTCTGTCTCAAAAAAAATAACAGAATCCTGAGCCCCACTCCAGATGGGATTAAGCTCTCTAAAGTTTGACCTGAGAATACTCTTTGTAAACTCCCCCAGGTGATACTTGGGCCCTCCCAAATTGATAAACCATTTGTCTATGCTGTACTGCCTTTCCCAGAGTCCCAGCAAATTCCTGTAAGGCTTTGTACCCCCACAAGACAAGAGGGATGCTTCCGGACAAGTACTCTCTCCAGAGCCTTGGAGAATCTGAGTGATCTCATGCTAGCCCTCCTGCCAGAACAGACTTCCCAGGAACCATCCCCTTGATATTTTACCTCCTACCACTCCCTGCAGGCCATCAATTAGCACCACACTAAAGCAACTTATGAGAGAAGGTGCTATGATTCTCAACCGGGGTGACCCAGTCTCCAAAGATCGGGCCGTCTCTACCTCCTGGGCATATCCCCTCTGCAATAACCCCACTAAATAAATGTCCCATGTTTGCTTTTTCAAGGCCAGTAATAGGGAGACCTCTCCTTAAGGTCATCTCTCTTTGGTAGGAAGTTCTTGGCCACACTGAACCAAAGGCTGCTCCTAGTGTGGTCCTGATCAGGCTAAGGGCAGAGTTGCCTGTTTCCTTTGAGTAGGACCAAATCGCCTTTTTTTAAATATAAAAAAAATAGACACAAGGTCTAGCTATGTTACCCACGCTGGTCTCAAATTCCTGGGCTCAAGAGATACTCCTGCCTCCACCTCGCAAAGTGCTAGGATTACAGGTGTGAGCCGCCACGCCTGGCCCTAATGACCTTTTGGTACCTCTCCACAGTGCTGACCTGGGCTGCTGCTGGGAGCTAAACCTCATCCTTTCATAGTGATAAGATTGTCATTGTTTGCCTATTTAAAGAGAGGGCAGTGTAATGATAAGGTTATGATTTTGTATTGTTATCTTTTTTTTTTTTTTTGAAACAGAGTCTTAACTCTGTCACCCAGGCTGGAGTGCAGTGGCACAATCTCGGCTCACTGCAACCTCTGCCTCCCAAGTTCAAGCAATTCTCGGGCCTCAGCCTCCTGAGTAGCTGGGATTAGAGGTGCACACCACCATGCCCGGCTAGTTTTTATATTTTTAGTAGAGACAGAGTTTTGCCATGTTGGCCAGGCTGGTTGTGAACTCCTGGCCTCAAGTGACCCGCCTGCCTCAGCCTCCCAAAGTGCTGGGATTACAGACATGAGCCAAGGCACCTGGCCAGTCATTTGGGATTCTTATCTTGTCATGAATTTGTTTGAATTTCATGTTAAAATAGGTTCATCTGTAGACGTGACATCTCACTCCTATAATCTCAGCACTTTGGGAGGCCAAGGCAAGAGGATCACTTGAGGCCAGGAGTTCCAGGTTACAGTAAGCTATGATGGTGCCACTGTATTCTAGCCTGGATGACAAAATGAGACCCTGTTTCTGAAAAAAGAATAAATTTTAAAAATAGAACCATCATTCGCACTTCATACAGTCATTTGGGAGCCTCATTTTGCCTTGGGGCACATTTAACATACCTCCAGTGTACATCACCTTTAAATGTGATGAGCTTGTCCTCACATTCTTAACAGCTATAATTCTGGAGCCCCAAATGAAGCCCTGCGGATCAGAATGCCTCTCTGCTACCTGTATGACCTTGGATGGACCCCTAACCTCTTGGCGTTCTTGAATCTTAGGTGGTAAAAATGTGAGGGTGCTATGAATTTACATTTGGGGCAGAACAAAGTCAAGAAGAGCCTGTATGTTTTCAGTCTTCTTAACTGGAACGTATTCCCTCTCCTATTGAAACCGCCATTGCAAAATTACAACCGAGAGAGTGAAAGAGATTTGACCTAACCAGCTCCATCGTGCTTCTAACCTCCAAGCTGTCCTTGTTCATTCCTGGGCATAGGCTGAACTAACTTTGGGAGGAACTTAGTTTATAGTTTATAGTTTAAAACAAAGAAGATAACAGCCCTTTCCCAAAAGAAACCCCCTTCATGCCTGGGGACTAGACTGCCTTTGTAGGACTAACAAAATCAGCCAAAAGATTAGAAATTATGGTTTAGGAGTCATGCAGCTAGAGGCTACAAGATTCTTTTTTTTTTTTTGAGATGGAGTCTCACTGTTGTTGCCCAGGCTGGAGTGCGGAGGCGCTATCTTGACTCACTGCAACCTCCGCCTCCCGGGTTCAAGCAATTCTCCTGCCTCAGCCTCCTGAGTAGCTGGGATTACAGGCACCCACCACCACGCCCAGCTAATTTTTTGTATTTTTAGTAGAGACGAGTTTCACCATGTTACCCAGGCTGGTCTTGAACTCTTGACCTCAGGTGATCCACCCACCTCAGCCTCCCAAAGTGCTGGGATTACAGGCGTGAGCCACTGTGCCCGGCCGAGGCTACAAGATTCTGACCAGTCCCCAAATTGCTCTTGGGGATAACATCACTATATAAAACCTAAGATCATGCTCGCTTCAGCAACACATATACTAAAATTGGAACTATACAGAGAAGATGAGCACAGCCCCTTGTGCAAGGATGACATGCAAATCCATGAAGCGTTCCATATTTGTTAATTTTTTAATTTTTTTTAAATTATATACCTAGGCCGGGTATGGTGGCTCATGCCTGTAATCTCAGAACTTTGGGAGGCCGAGGCATCTGTCTCAAAATATATATATATGTGTGTGTGTGTGTGTGTGTGTGTGTGTGTACATATATACATACATACGTGTCATATATATGTTATATATTATATATATGACATAGTATCAGTGCTTGAGATATTTTGCACACCCTACACTTGATTGGCTGGGCGCAGTGGCTCACGCCTGTAATCCCAACACTTTGGAAGGCCAAGGCAGGCGGATCCCTTGAGGACGGGGGAGTTTGAGAGCAGACTGGCCAACATGGCAAAACCCTGTCTCTACTAAAAATACAAAAATTAGCTGGGCGTGGTGGCAGGTGCCTGTAGTCCCAGCTTCTCAGGAGGCTGAGACACGAGAATCCCTTGAAGGGGAGGTTGCGGTGAGTCAAGATCATTGCACCACTGTACTCCAGCCTGGGCAACAGAGTGAGACTCTGTCTCAAAAAACATAAATAAAATAAAAAAGACCTTGCACTTGATGGATCAGCTGACACCACCCAGATTAATCTTGTGGCTCCCCCACCCAGGAACTGACTCGGCAAGAGGATACTTTCGACTACCTAAGATTTCTTTTTTTTTTCCTTTGAGATGGAGTCTCACTCTGTCGCCTAGGCTGGAGTGCAGTGGCATGATCTTGGCTCACTGCAATCTCTGCCTCCTGGGTTTCAGTGCTTCAGCCTCCCAGGTAGCTAGCTGGGGTTACAGACAGCGCCACCACGCCCGGCTAACTTTTTGTTTTTGTTGTTGTTTTTGAGACAGAGTCTCGCTCTGTCACTAGGCTGGAATGCAATGGCTGGATCTCAGCTCACTGCAACCCACACCTCCCAGATTCAGGATTCTTCTGCCTCAGCCTCCCAAGTAGCTGGGACTACAGGCACATGCCACCACACCCAGCTAAATTGTATTTTTAGTAGAGACAGGGTTTCACCATATTGGCCAGGATGGTCTCGATCTCTTGACCTCGTGATCCGCCCACCTTGGCCTCCGAAAGTGCTGGGATTACAGGCATGAGCCACCGCGTCCAGCCTAATTTTTGTTTTTTTAGGGGTTTCACCATGTTGGCCAGGCTGGTCAGCCTCCCAGAGTGCTGGGATTACAAGCACGAGCTGCCACGCCCAAGCTGACTCCCTATGATTTCATCTCTGACCCAACCAATCAGCTTTCCGGACTCACTGCCCACCACCCACCAAATTATCTTTAAAAACTCTGATCCCTGAATGCTTAGGGAGACTGATTTGAGTAATAAAACTCCAGTCTCCCGCACAGCTAGCTCTGCGTGAATTACTCTTTATTGCAATTTCCCTGTCTTGATAAATCAGCTTTGTCTAGGCAGTGGCAAGGGGAACACGTTGGGCAGTTACTCTTTGCGTGTGTCCAGATCTCACCAGTCCTTCAAGTCCAGCTCGAAGGAGCCTTCCATGATCCCTTTGTCCATCCCAATCTCTGCCTCTCCTGCTGTTGATTGCTTAGCACCAGTGCGTGGCTACCTATCTATCTCTTAGATTAATCTTGCCTCTCCAGCTCATATCAGAATTTAGGTTTCTCTTGCCCTCCTGTGGTCACTGGGGCTTGTACCAGCCGACAGATGTGCCCCACAGAGTGGCTACTAGGCATTTGTAGGGAGGGCTGGATGGGAGGGCCCAGGCAGGATTCCTCTCTATCTCTGCCCTGCTCTCCTCCACAAAACCCTGAAGGCCTGAAGCCTGCCCCTTAAGTCACAGATTCCTTAGGTGACTTCACAGGGTAGTGATGACCTCACAAGCTTCCAAAGTTTCCATGGCAGCGTGACTACACACCTGCGTCCTAGAGAAGCCTCCCTACCATTTCTCTGTAAGATACCAATCTGTTTGGTTGGCTGAGAGAGAATGACTGACCGGATCCTCTATATTGTCTCTAACATGTCCTCTGTCCCCTGGGAGGGCAGCGCAGCAGGTAGGCATACAGGGGGCATCTATACAGGAGGCGTTGCTGTACCCACAGCTTCACCTGGCTGACACATTCCTTCTGGGCTGGCCCACCACACCTCGAGCTTTCCCAGCCATAAGTAATATCGAGGGCGTGGCCACTCAGGGACCCACAGTGTTCCTGCTCAGGGCAAGTTCACCTGCTAAGGGCAAGTGAAATGTCATCTGAGCAGGTGCTCAGAAAGGTTCTCATCTTTTTTTTTTTTTTTTTTTTTTAATTGAGATGGGGTCTTGCTATGTTGCTGGGGCTGGTCTGAATTTTTTTTTTTTTTTTTTTTTTTTTTGAGACAGGTTCTCTGTCGTCCAGGTTGGAGCACACTGGCATAATCACAGCTCACTGAAACCTCAACTTCCTGGGCTCAGGGGATTCTCCCAACTCGTCTCCCTAGTAGCTGGGACTACAGGCACGCGCCACCACACCCAGCTAATTTTTTCTCTTTTTAGTAGTGACAGGGTTTCGCCATGTTGCCTAGGCTGGTCTTGAACTCCTGAGCTCAAGCGATCGGCCCACCTCAGCCTCCCAAAGTGCTAGGATTACGGGCGTGAGGCACTGTGCCTGGCCCACCAATTTGTATTAGATCTTTTTATTTTAGTCTCGCTCTGTCACCCAGGCTGGAGTGCAGTGGCACAATATTAGATCCTTTTTTTCTTTTTCTTTTTCTTTTTTGAGACAGTGTCTCGCTCTGTCACCCAGGCTGGAATGCAGTGGTGCGATCTTGGCTCACTGCAACCTCCGCCTCCCAGGTTCAAGCGATTCTCCTGCCTCAGCCTCCCAAGCAGCTGGGACTACAGGTGCGTGCCACCATGCCTGACTAATTTTTTGTATTTTTAGTAGAGATGGGGTTTCACCATGTTGGCCAGGCTGGTACTCCTGGGCTCAAGTGATCCTCCCTCCTCAGTTTCCCAAAGTGCTGAGATTATAAGCGTGAACCACCCCACCTGGCTGATAGTAGATCATTTTTTACAAAACTTGAAAATAATTTCCATTAAAGCCTGAGATGTGACAGACCTTAAGAAATGTATTTTTGGTCATGGAAGGGATGAGGAGGATCTCCTGGTCTCCTGCTGCTGACACAGGCTCCACATAACTGCTTTCACAGCCAGCATCCTGTCTCAGGGACACATAGAGGTGATAGGCCAAGGCTGTGTCTGGGATGCGAAGAAGATGAAAGGACTTCTTAGGAAGAGTCGCGAGAGAGGGTAGGCTGTAACAGCACAATGTATAAGGTAAAAGTGACTAATTCTGGTTTTCTTTCCAGCTGCAGTGCCTGCCACTTCTCCTCCCACACCTGGGCACTACCATGTTCTCTACCGAGGGTGTGGAGAAACTCAGGTAGGCTGGCATGGGGAGACGTACTGCCTGGTTGGTGGCTACCGGGTCCATGGGGATGCTCCTTTGGCCACCCCAACAAAGGCTGAAGCAGAGAAGCCAGCCCCCAGGCGTGCTCCCAAGAGACGTCAAGCTACGATAGAGTCAGATAAAGACCTGGGTTGCTCTAGCCCCAAAATTCGGCGCTTGGAGCATCGTGGCAGGAGACTGACCCCACAGAAGCTTGCTGGCTGAGCCATTTGGGAGAAAGGACAAATGTTTAGCTGTCTAAGACAGCTAATGCCTCTTCTGCGGTGACCTCCCCTGCCCACCACTGCAGATAGAGCCTGAGTCATTCTGCCTATGCCTTCCTCATCCAGAAGCCCCCTTCCATGCTAACTACCCATGGCCAAGGAGCCTCAGAAACTGTGGTTTAAAATGAGAGGTTGCTTTGAACATCCCAAGGCTGAAGACGGCCTGGAAGAAAACCTGATGTTCCTCTACTCATCTCTCCAGAGTCCCTTTTTGGGCAGAAGATAGAAATAGTCTGCACTCTGCTAGCCGAGGAGTCAAGTGCAGAGAGGGAGTGCAGCATAGCCCAGTAAGGGCTTGATCTACCAGATGGGTCTTTGCTTTGAGTCACTGCCAGCAACTACCAGCACAAACCAGGAGGGCCAGGACTTGCTGAAACTGGAAGCAGCAGCCCATGGCTAGTCACAGCAGGAGAAAGCCTCCTGCTTGGCATCTCAGGAGGTAGAAGAAAGAGACCTGGGGAGACCTGCCACCTACAGCAAGAACAATAAGGAGGAAGTTGAGCAACATCCCCCTGAAGCTCACATGTTACTTTATTTCCTGCCCATTATGGCCCCAGTGAGGTCCCTACTGCTCAATTTAAAAAAAAATTAAAAAAATTATTTTTCCATAACAGTATTTGACTTGATCATCTTTTTTTTTTTTCTTTTTTGACGGAGTCTCACTCTGTCACCCAGGCTGGCGTGCAGTGGCACTATCTCGGCTCCCTGCAAGCTCCACCTCCTGGGTTCACGCCATTCTCCTGCCTCAGCCTCCCTGGTAGCTGGGACTACAGGCGCCCGCCACCACACCCAGCCAATTTTTGTATTTTTAGCAGAGACGGGGTTTCACCATGTTGGCCAGGATGGTCTTGATCTCCTGACCTCAAGATCTGCCCGCGTTGGCCTCCCAAAGTTCTGGGATTATAGGCATGAGCCACCATACCCAGCCTCTTTCTTCCTCCTCTTCTTATTCTTCTTCCTTCTTCCTTCTTTCTTCTTCTTCTCCTTCTCCTTCTCCTCCTTCTTCTTCCTCTTTTCTCTCTCTCTCTTAGATGGGGTCTCGGCCAGGCACAGTGGCTCAGTCCTGTAATCCCTGCACTTTGGGACGCTGAGGCAGTGGATCACCTAAGGTCAGAAGTTTGAGACCAGCCTGGCCAGCACAATGAAACCCCATCTTACTAAAAATACAAAAAATTGGCCAGGCGTGGTGGCTCACGCCTGTAATCCCAGCACTTTGGGAGGCCGAGGTGGGCGGATCACGAGGTCAGGAGATTGCGACCATCCTAACATGGTGAAACCCCATCTCTACTAAAAAATACAAAAAATTAGCCAGGCGTGGTGGCGGGTGCCTGTAGTCCCAGCTACTCGGGAGGCTGAGGCAGGAGAATGGCATGAACCCGGGAGGCAGAGCTTGTGGTGAGCCGAGATAGTGCCACTGCACTAAAGCCTGGGCGACATCCGTATCAAAACAAAAAAAAAAATACAAAAACTTAACTGGTCATGGTGGTGGGCACTTGTAATCCCAGCTACTCAGGAACCTCAGGCAGGAGAATCACTTGAACCTGGGAGGCAAAGGTTGCAGTGAGCCGAGATCATGCCACTGCACTCCAATCTGGGCAACAAGAGTGAAACTCTGTCTAAAAAAAAATAAAAAAAAAAAGGCCAGGCGCTGTGGCTCACACCTGTAATCCCAACACTTTGGGAGGCAGAGGCGGGCGGATCACAAGGTCAGGAGATCAAGACCATCCTGACTAACACAGTGAAACCCCGTCTCTCCTAAAAATACAAAAAATTAGTCAGTTGTGGTGGCAGGCACCTGTAGTCTCAGCTACTTGAGAGGCTGAGGCAGGAGAATGGCATGAACCCGGGAGGCGGAGCTTGCAGTAAGCCAAGATCACGCCACTGCACTCCAGCCTAGGCGACAGAGCGACACTCCATCTCAAAAAAAAAAAAAAAAAAGATGGGGTCTTGCCGTGTTGTCCAGGCTGGTCTTGAACTCCTGGGCTCAAGTGACCCATCTGCCTCAGCCTCCCAAATAAATAAAAATTTAAAAAAGAAACGCAGAGCCTGGCCGGCCACAGTGGCTCACATCTGTAATCCCAATACTTTGGGAGGCCAAGATGGGAGAATTGCTTGAAGCCAGGAGTTCAAGACGAGCTTGGGCAAGTAGTGAGATCCTGTCTCTACAAAAATAAAAATAATTAGTTAGGTATGGTGGGGTGCACCTATAGTCCTAGCCATCTGGGGGGCTGAGGCGTGAGGATCGCTTAAAGCCAGGAGTTGAAGGCTGCAGTAAGCTATGATCATACCACTGCATTTCAGCAGTCTGGGTGACTGGGTGACACAACGAGACCCTGTCTCAAAAAAGAAAGAAAAAAAGAAAAGCTAAAAAAATGTAGAGCCCAGTGAGTGTTTCCGTGTGTGTGTGTGTGTTTTAGAGAGTGTTAGGAGAGGGACAAAATAACTAAGAAGATGCTGCTCCATCTATCCACTCATCCATTCATTCATTTATTCAACAAGTATTTATTGGGCACTTTTTTTTTTTGTTTGACACAGAGTTTTCTCTCCTGTTGCCCAGGCTAGAGTGCAGTGGCACGATCTCGGCTCACTGCAGCCTCCGCCTTCCGAGTTCAAGCGATTCTCCTGCCTCAGCCTCCTGAGTAGCCGGGACTACAGGGGCACACCCCCACACCCGGCTAATTTTTGTATTTTTAGTAGAGATGGGATTCACCATATCGGTCAGGCTGGTCTCGAACTCGTAACCTCAGGCGATCCACCCACCAAAGTGCTGGGATTACAGACATAAGCCACCGCACCCGGCCTATTGAGCACTTCTTACATACCAGCCACTGTGCTGGTTGCTTGGGATATATTGGTGAATGAGAAACTCCTCCCCTCAAGGCACCCACAAACAATATAATTTGTTCATAGAGACAAACAATATAATTTTTGTTGTTGTTGTTGTAGTTGTTTTTCTTGAGACGGAGTCTCGCTCTGTCACCCAGTCTGGAGTGGCGCGATCTAGGCTCACTGCAAGCTCTGCCTCCTGGGTTCACGCCATTGTCCTGCCTCAGCCTCCCCAAACAATATAATTTTAGATAACTATAACTGGTATAAAGAAAAATGAAACTGGATAAGAGAATACAGTAATGAGGTGTGCTGTGTTACACCAGGTGGTTAGGGAAGGCTTCTCTGAGATGATGACATTGTGGCTGAGATGTGAGGGAATCGTGAGGAGTAGAAGGGAGAGCATTACTGGAGGAAATTTCAAGTATAATGGTAAGAATGAGACTGATCCATTTTTTCTTTTTTTGAGGTGGGGTCTCACTTTGTCTCCCAGGATGGCGTACAATGGTGCGACCTTGGCTCGTTGCAACCTCTGCCTCTCAGGTTCAAGTGATTCTCCTGCCTCAGCCTCCTGAGTAGCTGGGACTAGAGGCACATGCCACTACACTCGGCTAATTTTTGTGTTTTTAGTAGAGATGGGGTTTCACTATGTTTGCCAGGCTGGTCTTAAACTGCAGACCTCAGGTAATCCGCCAGCGTTGGCCTCCCAGGGTGCTAGGATTACAGGTGTGAGCCAACACACCCGGCCTACAAGACTGACCAATTTGAGGGCCAGCAGAAAGGCCAGTGTGGCCAGGGAAGAAAGATAGAGGAGATTGAAAGATGTGGTGGCTGGGAGGCCAAGGAGGGAGGGTCACTTGAGCCCAGGAGTTTGAGACCAGCCTGGCAACATAGGGAGGTGCCCTTTCTACAAAAAATCAAAAAATCAGCTGGGTGTGGTGGTGAATGCCTGTGGTCCCTAGCTACTCAGGAGGCTGAGGCAGGAGGATTGCTTGAGCCTAGGAGGTATAGGCTGCAACGAGCCATGATCCTGCCACTGCACTCCAGCCTAGGCAACGAGTGAGACTCTGTCAGAAAGAAAGAAAGGAAGGAAGGAAGGAAGGAAAGATGGAAGGAAGGAAGGAAGGAAGGAAGGAAGGAAGGAAGGAAGGAAGGAAGGAAGGAAGGAAGGAAAAAAAAATAAGATGGTTGGAGGCCAGGTGCAGTGGCTCACTCCTGTAATTCCAGCAATTTGGGAGGCTGAGGCTAGTGGATCACCTGAGGTCAGGAGTTCGAGACTAGCCTGGCCAACATGGTGAAACCCTGTCTCTACTAAAAAATACAAAAATTAGCTGGGTGTGGTGGCAGGCGCCTTAATCCCAGCTACTTGGGAGGCAGAGGCAGGAGAATCATTTGAACCCGGGAGGCGAAGGCTGCAGTGAGCCGAGATCGAGCCATTGCACTCAAGCCTGAGGGACAAGAGTGAGACTTGTCTCAAAAAAAAAAAGAAAGAAAAGAAAAAGGTGGTTGGAGAAGTAAGGAAGTAAGCAAGTAAGCATGGGCCAGACCATAGTGGGCCGTGCCAGCCACGGTAAGGACAGTGGATCTTGTTTTAAGTATATTGGGAAGTCATGGAGGAATCTGAATAAGGTAGGGAAGTAATCTGATATAGATGCTAAAAAGATCCGTCTGACTGCTGCGTGCCATGGTAGTGAGGTGCTGGCTGTTACCAGGGGGACTGTCTCTCTCTGCAGCTGGGACAGCTGGTGCTGGGGACTGGGGGATGGAGGAGCAGTCAGCAGAGAAGAAACACCATGACGTTTGTCCCAAGTCTGCCTGTATCAGCAGCCCAGAAAAAGGCGGCACTGTCAGCAACTCACTTGTCCTTAGGGGTCCCAGCAGCAAGACTGTTGCTCCTCCCCCCAACACGCATACCATGGAGGCCAGGAAAGGTCCTGATAGGTTTTCCTAACTTGGGTTAAAGGAAGGAGGCACAGGCCCTGGGCTCCCAGAAAGTTCCCTGTGAGAGTCTCCATTAACCCCCAGAGTCTCTCATCCGTGGCGTGACTGAAGCAGATTTGTGGTTCCTGGATGGCCTGGATAGTTTGGCAGTTCCCAAAGCTGAAACAAATAGACTCAACTGGGGCTCTTAAAAAAGAGTGATCCCGGCCAGGCGCAGTGGCTCACACCTGTAATCCCAGCACTTTGGGAGGCCAAGGCGGGGAGATCACGAGGTCAGGAGATCGAGACCATCCTGGCTAACACGGTGAAACTCCGTCTCTACTAAAAAATACAAAAAAAAAAAAAAAATTAGCCAGGTGTGGTGGTGGGTGCCTGTAGTCCCAGCTACGCGGGAAGCTGAGGCAGGAAAATGGCATGAACCCGGGAGGCGGAGCTTGCAGTGAGCTGAGATCGCGCCATTGCACTCCAGCCTGGGTGACAGAGCGAGACTCGGTCTTAAAAAAAAAAAAGTGATCCCCAGCACCCACACCAGTCTAAAGTTTTAGGGTACTGGCCTAGAAATCCACAGTATTAAAAGCTTCCCCTCAGCTGGCCATGGTGGCTCATGGCTGTAATCCCAGCACTTTGGGAGGCTGAGGTGGGAGGATTGCTTGAGCCCAAGAGTTCGAGACCAGCCTGGGCAACACAGCAGCACTCCATCTCTACAAAAAATATTAACAGTAAAGAATTAGAAAAAAAAATTTTAAATAAATAAAAGCTTGCCTTAACTACCAGTTTATAGAAAACACAAGGACACAGGAACATGTTAAATGACACCATGAGATGCAATCAGAAAACTCTACAACATGGAAAACTCTAACGGACAAGGACGTGATTTTTTCAACAAAGAAATTGCAAGGAAGACAAAAAAAAGAAGAACCTGAAGATTGAGTCATAACAACCATTTACAATGTGGGCGGTCTGAGCTCCATTACAGTTCAAACCAATGAATTATTTAAAAATTGGACAATCAGATAAATTTGAACATGATAGATAATTTATGATACTAAAGAATTGGGCTGGGCACGGTGGCTCATGCCTGTAATCCCAGCACTTTGGGAGGCAGAGGTGGGCGGATGACATGAAGTCAGGAATTCAAGACCAGCTTGACCAACATAATGAAACCCCGTCACTACTAAAAATACAAAAAAATTAGCCAGGTGTGTTAATGCGTGCCTGTAATCCCAGCTACTTGGGAGGCTGAGGCAGAAGAATCCCTTGAACCTGGGAGGTAGAAGTTGCAGAGAGCCAAGACCACGCCATTGCACTCCAGCCTGGGCAACAAAAACAAAACTCCGTCTCAAAAAAAAAAAAAAAAAAAGGCCGGGCGTGGTGGCTCACACCTGTAATCCCAGCACTTTGGGGAGGCCGAGGCGGGTGGATCACAAGGTCAGGAGATTGAGACCATCCTGGCTAACATGGTGAAACCCCATCTCTACTAAAAATACAAAAAATTAGCCAGGCGTGGTGGCAGACACCTGTAGTCCCAGCTACTCGGGAGGCTGAGGCAGGAGAATGGCATAAACCCGAGAGGCGGAGCTTGCAGTGAGCCGAGATGGCGCCACTGCACTCCAACCTGGGCGACAGAGCGAGACTCCATCTCAAAAAAAAAAAAAAAAGTGGCTGGGTGTGGTGGCTCATGCCTGTAATCACAGCACTTTGGGAGGCCAAAGAGGGAGGACTGCTTGAGCCCAGGAGTTCGTCACCAGCCTGGGGAATAAAACAGGACCCTGTCTCGGCCAGGCGCGGTGGCTCATGCCTGTAATCCCAGCACTTTGGGAGGCCGAGGCGGGTGGATCACGAGGTTAGGAGATCGAGACCATCCTGGCTAACATGGTGAAACCCCGTCTCTACTGAAAATACAAAAAAATTAGCTGGGCATGGTGGCGGGTGCCTGTAGTCCCAGCTACTCGGAAGGCGAGGCAGGAGAATGGCGTGAACGCAGGAGGCGGAGTTTGCAGTGAGCCGACATCACCCCACTGCGCTCCAGCCTGGGCAACAGAGGGAGACTCTGTCTCAAAAAAAAAAGACCCTGTCTCTACAAATTTTAAAAGAAAAGTACTGTTAACTTTTATAAGGGTCATAATGGTATGGTAATTGCCATTTATTTATATATTTATTTATTTTATTTTATTTTTCAGAAACAGGGTTTTAGTATGCTGCCCAGGCTGGCCTCAAACTCCTGGGCTCAAGCAATCCTCCTGTTTCAGCCTCCCAAATAGCTAGTAGGACTACAGGAATGGCCCAGTGCACCTGGCTTATAGTTGTCTTTTAAAAACAGCCATTACCATTTATTTATTTATTTATTTAGAGACTGAGTCTTTCTCTGCTGCCCAGGCTGGAGTACAGTGGCATGATCTCAGCTCACTGCAATCTCTGCCTCCTGGGTTCAAGCAGTTCTCCTGTCTCAGACTCCTGAGTAGCTGGGATTATAGGTGTCCTCCACGACAACCAGCTAATTTTTGTATTTTTAGCAGAGATGGGGTTCGCTATGTTAGCCAGGCTGGTCTCCAACTCCTGACCTCAGGTGATCCACCCACCTCAAGCTTCCAAAGTGCTGTGATTTCAGGCAAGAGCCACGTGCCCAGCCTAAAAAGAGCCCTTACCTTTTAGAGAGGCATACTTAAAAATGGATGAAATAGATGTCTATGATTTGCTTTAAAATAATCTGTAGAAAGAGGTGAGTGAGAGCATAAATGAAATAAGATGAGCCATCAGTTGGTAATCTTTGAAACTGGGTGATGGCTACATGGGAGTTAATACACTTTTCTCTCTCCTTTCTCATGTATTTGCAATTTTTCCTATAAAAAGTTTTTTGGTCTGGGCACAGTGGCTCATGCCTGTAATCCCAACACTGTGGGAGGCTAAGGTGGGAGGATCACTTGAGACCAGGGGTTTGAGACCAGCCTGGCAACATGGTGAAATCCCATCTCTACCAAAAAAAAAAAAAAAATTAGCTGGGTGTGGTGGCACCACCCTGTAGTCCCTGCTACTCGGGAAGCTGAGGTGAGAGGATCACCTGAGCCCCGAATTTGAGGCTACAGTGAGCCATGACGGCACCACTGCACTCCAGCCTAGGCCACAGAGGGAGATACAGTTTCAAAAAAAAAGTTTTGTGTTGTTGTTTTTAACTAAGCTTCTCAGATTCACCCAGATGCGGAGTCAGTGAGATCTCACATGGTCAGCTTCACAGGAGGGCAGGCTTTCTGCATAAAAACAGGAAGCTTAGAGAGCTCCGGGGCAGGGTGTGCTGTGACTTCACTGTGTTTTTGCAGAAACAGGTCTGATAGCCCTCGGAGATCAGCAGACAAGGTTAAGCAAGAGACAGCAAGTCTGAATTTGAGGTTAAATGTGAAATCACACATGTTGTCTAGATGTTTGGTCAGCACTGGCTCCTGGATCTTGGGGGCCTCTACAGAGCCCACCCTCCACCCCCATGTGCTTATGCCAGCACATGTGATAGCTGGAGACTTATCCAGCCACCTCACTGCACACCCCAGCAAATGGCCAGCACCAGTGGGTGATCAGGAAATGATGCCCGGACAAACTGATAGATGTAAGGAATTTGAGGCTGGGCACAGTGGCTCACGCCTGTAATCCTAGCACTCTGGGAGACTGAGGTGGGCAGATCCCTTGAGGTCATGAGTTTGAGACCAGCCTGGCCAACATGGAGAAACCCCTGTCTCTACTAAAAATAAAAAAATTAGCCAGGCATGGTGGCGTGCGCCTGTAATCCCAGGAAGCTGAGGTAAGGAATTTGAGGCCTTTCCTAGAGGCAGCAGCTGGAAGTGGAGGGATTGAAGGAACCCCTCATCTGACCAGCTGCTCAATTTTCTTACCCACACGATAAGGCTGGTTCCTTAACTACACGGCCACGTGAAAAAAACAAAAAACAGGGCCAGGCACAGCGGCTCATGCCTATATTCCAGTACTTTGGGAGGCTGATGTGGGAGGATCACTTGAGGCCCGGAGTTCGAGACCAGCCTGGACAACATGACAAAACCCCATCGCTACTAAAAATGTGAATATTTAGCTGGGAGTGGTGGTGGGTGCCTGTATTCCTGGTTACTCTGGAGGATGAGGTATGAGAATCCCTTGAACCCTGGAGGCAGAAGTTGCAGCGAGCCGAGATTGCGCCACTGCACTCCAGCCTGAGCAACAGAGCAAGACTTCATCTCAAAAAAAAAAGAAAAAGAAAAAAAACACAATTTTGGGTCCAGGCCCTCTGGGAAGATGACTGCAGTACAAGGGGCCAAGGTTAAAGTGGATGGTGGTGAGTCAAAACTGAGCAAGAACAAGCCGAAGAGATACCTGAAAGCCGAGAAGAAAGTGGCAGAGAAGGCAGCCAAGCAGTAAGAGCTCAGTGAGAAACAGCTAAGCCCAGGTCACTGCTGCTGCCACCAACCATACCACTGACAATGGTGTGGGTCCTGAGGAGGAGAGCCTGGACCCAAATCAGTACTACAAGATCCACAGCCAAGGCCAGGCCCGGTGGTTCACTCCTGTAATCCTAGCACTTTGGGAGGCTGAGGCAGGCAGATCACTTGAAGTCAGGGGTTCGAGGCCAGCCTGGCCAACATGATGAAACCCCATCTCTACTAAAAATACAAAAATTAGCTGGGCATGGTGGCACATGCCTGTAATTCCAGCTACTTGGGAGGCTGAGGTAGGAGAATCGCTTGAATCTGGGAGGTGGAGGTTGCAGTGAGCTGAGATTGAGCCACTGCACTCCAGCCTGGGCAACAGAGCGAGACTCTGTCTCAAAAAAAAAAAAAAAAAAAAAGATTTGCAGTCAGGTAGGTCAATGGGAAAGACCCATACCCCAACGAGATCCATGTAGACATCTCCCTCACTGACTTCATCCCAGAATATTGTCACCTGCAAACTGGGGATCTCCTGACTGATATCACCTTAAACGTGACAGATAGGATCCATGCCAAAAAAGCTTTTGGAGGAAAGCTGAACTTCTATGATCTTTTTTTTTTTTTTTTTGAGATGGAATTTCACTATTGTTGCCCAGGCTGGAATGCAATGGCACAATCTCAGCTCACTGCAACCTCCTCCTCCCTAGGTTTAAGCAATTCTCCTGCCTCAGCCTCCCTAGTAGCTGGGATTACAGGCGTGCGCCACCACGCCCGGCTAATTTTGTATTTTTAGTAGAGGTGAGGTTTCTCCATGTTGGTCAGGCTGATCTCGAACTCCCAACCTCAGGTGATCTGCCTGCCTGCCTTGGCCTCCCAAAGTGCTGGGATTATAGGCGTGAGACACAGTGCCCAGCCATGAACTTCTATGATCTTTGAGCAGAGGGGGTCAAGTTGCAAGTCATGGCCAATTTCAGGAATTATAATTTCAGGAAGAATAATTTATTCATATTAATAACAAACTGCGTTGGGGAAACATAATTGGAATTCAGAGGAATCCTGGGAAAAACCAAGAAGGATGAGCTGAGCTTCATTCCCTATGAGATCACACTGCTGTGGCCTTGCTTGTATATGTTACCTCATCTTCACTTTGGCCTCAAAGACAAGGAAATAAGGTATGGTCAGAGATACTTGGACTTGATCCTGAATGAATGAGGCAGAAATTTATCATCTGCTGTAAGATCATCACATGTATAATAAGTTTCTTAGGCCAGGTGCAGTGGCTCACGCCTGTAATCCCAGCACTTTGGGAGGCCAAGGCAGGCAGATTGCCTGAGGTCAGGAGTTCGAGACCAGTCTGGACGACATGGTAAAACCCCACCTCTACTAAAAATACAAAAATTAGATGGGCGTGGTGGCAGGTGCCTATAATCCTAGCTACTCAGGAGGCTGAAGCAGAATTACTTGAACCCAGGAGGTGGAGGTTGCAGTAAGCCAAGATTGCACCACTATACTCCAGCCTGAGCAACAAGAAAACTCCATCTCAAAAAAAAAAAAAAAGTTTCTTGGATGAGCTGGGATTCCTAGAGCTTGAAACTCCCATGAATGAACGTCATCCCAGGGGAGCTATGACCAAGCCTTTCATCACTTATCACAACAAGCTGCACATGAACTACTCTAGAACTCTACCATAAGATGCTAGTGGTTGGTGGCATTGACCAGGTTTATGAAATTGCATTCCAGTTCTGGAATGAAGGAATTGATTTGACGTAAAATCCTGAGTTCAGCACCCCTGAGTTCTACATGGCCTAGACTATCACAATCTCACGGAAATCACGGGGAAGATGGTTCCAGGGATGGTGAAGCATAATACAGGTAGTTACAAGGTCACCTACTACCCAGATGTCCCAGAGGGATAAGCCTGCAATATTGACTTCACCCTACCCTTCCGGAGAATCAGCATGATAGAAGAGCTTGAGAAAGCCCTGGGGGTGAAGCTGCCAGAAAATAACCTATTTGAAACTGAAGCAATTGGCAAAATTCTTGATAATATCTGCGTGCAAATGCTATTGCGTGCCCTCCACCTAGGACCACAGCCAGGCTCCTTGACAAGCTTGTTGGGGGAGTTCCTGGAAGTGATTTGCAACAATTCTACATTCATCTGTGATCACCCCCAGATAATGAGCCCTTTGGCTAAATGGCACTACTCAAAAGGTCTGACCCAGCGCTTTAAGCTATTTGTCATAAAGAAAGCGATAAGCAATGCCTACACTGATCTAAATGATCCTATGCAGCAGTGGCAGCTTTTTGAAGAACAGGCTAAGGCCGCAGGTGATGATGAGGCCCTGTCCGTAGATGAAAACTTTGTTGCCGCCATGGAATACAGGCTGTCCCCCACAACTGCCTGGGGCATGGTTATTGACCGAGTCACCATGTTTCTCACAGATTCCACCAGCAACTCGGAAGGCTGAGGCAGGAGGATTGCCTGAGCCCAGGAGTTTGAAGTTTCAGTGAACAACACAGTGAGACCCTGTCTCTAAAAGGAAATTTTTTTTTTTTGAGACAGAGTTTCGCTCTTGTTGCCCAGGCTGGAGTGCAGTGGCACGATCTCAGCTCACTGCAACCTCCGCCTCCCGGGTTCAAGCGATTCTCCTGCTTCAGCCTCCCAAGCAGCTGGGATTACAGGTGTGCACTGCCACACCTGGCTAATTTTTGTATTTTTTATAAAGACGGGGCTTCATCATGTTGCCCAGGCTGCTCTCGAACTCCTGAGCTCAAGCAATTCACCTGCCTTGGTCTCCCAAAGTGCTAGGATTACAGGCGTGAGCCACCATACCCAACCTTTTAAAATTTTTTTCTTTTCTTTTCTTTATTCCTTCCTTCCTTCCTTCTTTTCTCTTTTTTTAATCTTACAAAAAATGTTTCGGAAAAGGTATTTTATTTTTAAGACAGGGTCTTGCTCTTTCCCAGAGGCTGGAATGCAGTGGAGCGACCATAGCTCACTGTGGCCTCTAACTTCTGGGCTCAAGCAATTCTCCCACCTCAGCCTCCTGAGTAGCTGAGACTACAGACATGTGCCACCATGACCAGCTACTTTTTAAAAAATTTTTTTGTAGAGAAGGGGTCTCACCATGTTTCCCAGGCTGGTCTTGAACTCCTGGCCTCAAGCAATCCTCATGCCTTGGCCTCCCAAAGTGCTAGGATTACAGGCATGAGCCACCATCTCTTGTCCCCTGAGATACTTTTAATGGCCTTGCTGGATCCAGCTCCTGCACCCCAGGGCCCTCCTGCCTCCTCCCCACCCTCGGCTGATGGCACTACCTCAAGGACATGGGATAGCATGCAGCCTTCTGTCCCAGATCCTCTGTACTGTCTGAAATCAGGCAGAACCCAGCTGCAAGAGGAACTCAATGGTACACATGGGACCCAAGTCATCAATCGTCTCCATCAGAAAGCAACCCAGGGCCAGGCACAGTGGCTCAGGCCTGTAATCCCAGCACTTTGGGAGTCCAAGGCGGGTGGATCACCTGAGGCCGGGAGTTCAAGGCCAATGTAGTGAAATCCCGTCTCTACTAAAAATACAAAAATTTGCTGGACATGGTGGTGCATGCCTGTAGCCCCAGCTACTAGGGAGGCTGAGGTTGGAGAATTGCTTGAACCTGGGAGGCGGAGGTTGCAGTGAGCCAAAGTGGCACCACTGCACTCCAGCCTGGGCAACAGAGCAAGATCCTGTCTCAAAAAAAAAAAAAAAAAGAAAAGAAAAAAGGCCGGGCGCAGTGGCTCATGCCTGTAATCCCAGCACTTTCAGAGGCCAAGGCTGGTGGATCACCCGAGGTCAGGAGTTCGAGACAATCCAGCCTCATCAACATGGTGAAACCCCATCTCTACTAAAAAAAATACAAAAATTAGCCAGCCTGGTGGTGCATGCCTGTAATCCCACGTACTTGGGAGGCTGAGGCAGGAGAATCGCTTGAACCTGGAAGGTGGAGGTTGCAGTGAGCCGAGATCGTGCCCTCGCACTCCAAAAAAAAAAAAAAAAAGCACCCCAGGAATGTTGGACAGAGAGGCTGGCGGGGTAGGGGTTGGTTGGTAAGGCTTGAGCAGAAGGTTCTAGATGCATTCAGGAGATAAAGATGCATTTGGGGTTATTGCACTTCTCCTAGAAACATAAACATTGACTTCCTTTTGTGGAAGAAAAATGTTATGTTAGCTATTTGACGTTTCAGGAAGGGTGGCTTCAGCTTGGTGATTGGAGGATGTTTGTCTACAGTGGCCAGGCTGCTTTCTGGCTTGGAAGACTATTGTTTCTTGGGAATTGTCTGTATCAGACATCATGGGAGCAGATCCAGGGCGACATCAAAGGGAAGCATGAGTCTCCAGGACCAGAGGGGCTTGGATGCAGATGATCATCATCTGGGCACTGCTGGATACTGAGTAAGCCCCAGCTGCACCCCACCTCTGCGCTCTGAGCATGGGAGGCAGCCTGTGCAGCTATAACTCAGCCTGACTTTTTCCTTCCCTGCATACTCTTGAAATACACTGGAGATGAGTAGGGGCGAGTGAGCTGCACACCAGAATAAGTTTGGTCCTTGGAGCAAACTGTTTCTACTGCTGCCTCCTCTGCAGGTCTTGATTTATGCAAACACTGCATAGAAGAGGAAGTAGAGGGAAAAGCTGTTCACCCACCTACTCCTTCCTGGTAGCAAGATTTCCTATCCTGGCCTTGCCTCAACAGCCCTACCAATTGGAGGCTGAGGTTGTGCCAAGGCTCTATGGGGGGACGTAGCATCACTGAGGTGGCCAGATTTTGGAGGACAGGAAAGTTTGTGCTATTTGCTGAGACTGGAGAGGCTGGTGAGAGCAGACTCTCCATGAGTTGAAAGCCAAAGAAAGAAATTCGGTAGATTTCTGCAATGAGAAGCCACGGAAGAACTTCAGGCAGGAGGATGCATTGGATCTTGTTTTCGTTTTGTTAGAGATGGGGTCTCACTCTGTCGCCCAGGCTAGGGAGCAGTGGTGCCATCGTCTCTCACTGCAACCTTAAACTCCTGGGCTCAGGCGAACCTCCCACCTCAGCCTCGTAAGTACCTGGAACCACAGGCATGCACCACTTTTTTTTTTCCTTTTTCTTAGAGTTCTCATTATGTTGCCTAGACTGGTCTCAAACCTCCGGCTTCAAGAGATCCTCTCACCTCGACCTTCAAATTACTGGGATTACAGGCATGAGCCACCATGTCCTACCAGACTTTGTTAAAAGAGGAACAGGCCAGGCATCGTGGGCTCACATGAACACTCATGCCCCAGAAGTAAACAAGTGTTAGCCAACCAGGAGGCCTATCCTCCCCCTAACCTCACCCAAAGCCATCTCTGTGCCCTCCCCCTTGCAGGGGAAACAGCACACACTAGTGAAATCTTGTCTTAGTGTGTCCGGAATTGGTGGGTTCTTGGTCTCACTGAGTTCTAGAATGAAGCTGCAGACCCTCGCAGTGAGTGTTACAGCTCTTAAGGTAGCGCGTCTGGAGTTTGTTTCTTTTGATGTTTGGATGTTTGGAGTTTCTTCCTTCTGGTGGGTTTGTGGTCTTGTTGGCTCAGGAGTGAAGCTGCAGACCTTCGTGGTGAGTGTTACAGCTTTTAAGGCAGTGCGTCTGGAGTCGTTTGTTCCTCCCAGTGGGCTTGTGGTCTCGCTGGCTTCAGGAGTGAAGCTGCAGACCTTCGCGGTGAGTGTTAAAGCTCATAAAAGCAGCATGGACCCAAAGAGTGAACAGTAGCAAGATTTACTGCAAAGAGCAAAAGAACAAAGCTTCCACAGTGTGGAAGGGGACCAGAACAGGTAGCCACTGCGGGCTCAGGCAGCCTGCTTTTATTCTCTTATCTGGCCCCACCCACATCCTGCTGATTGGTAGAGCCGAGTGGTCTGTTTTGACAGGGTGCTGATTGGTGCGTTTACAATCCCTGAGCTAGACACAAAGGTTCTCCACGTCGCCACCAGATTAGCTAAATACAGAGTGTCGACACAAAGGTTCTCCAAGGCCCCACCAGAGCAGCTAGATACAGAGTGTCAGTTGGTGCATTCACAAACTCTGAGCTAGACACAGGGTGCTGATTGGTGTGTTTACAAACCTTGAGCTAGATACTGAGTGCCGACTGGTGTATTTACAATCCTGAGCTAGACGTAAAGATTGTCCACGTCCCCACCAGACTCAGGAGCACAACTGGCTTCACCCAGTGGATCCCGCACCAGGGATGCAGGTGGAGCTGCCTGCCAGTCCTGCGCCATGCGCCCGCACTCCTCAGCCCTGTGGTGGTCGATGGGACTGGGCGCTGTGGAGCAGGGGGCGGCGCTCACCGGGGAGGCTCCGGCCGCACAGGAGCCCATGGAGGGGGTGGGAGGCTCAGGCATGGAGGGCTGCAGGTCCCGAGCCCTGCCCCCCCGGGAAGGCAGCTAAGGCCCGGTGAGAAGTCGAGCGCAGCGCCTGTGAGCTGGCACTGCTGGGGGACCCAGTACATCCTCCGCAGCCACTGGCCCGGGTGCCAAGCCCCTCATTGCCCGGGGCCAGCAGGGCCCGCGGGCCGCTCCGAGTGCGGGCCCGCCAAGCCCACGCCCACCCGAAACTCCAGCTGGCCCGCAAGCGCCGCTCGCAGCCCCGGTTCCCACTCGCGCCTCTCCCTCCACACCTCCCTGCAAGCTGAGGGAGCTGGCTCTGGCCTTGGCCAGCCCAGAAAGGGGCTCCTACAGTGCAGCGGTGGGCTGAAGAGCTCTTCAAGTGCCGCCAAAGTGGGAGCCCAGGCAGAGGAGGCCCCGAGAGCGAGCGAGGGCTGTGAGGACTGGCAGCACGCTGTCACCTCTCATTAGGAGCTGCCAATATCAGTGGCACAGACCTGAGCACAGGGATAATTTGGGGTCAGAGGCTACAGTCTAAGTTAGCTAGATGCTGGCAGTGGGCAGAGTGGAAACAAGGCAGAGGCGGGGAAACTCAGGGCCTGACTCCAGAGCCGACCTTAAGTGTCACCGCTGATTCCTCCTTACTGTCTCCCACCAACCCTGCTTCAAAGCATCTCCAAATCCTGGGTTCAACTTCCAAACATGTCCCAGGAATGTCTCCTTCCTGTTCCCACTGCTTCTCCCCCTTACAGGCCCCTTCATTCCTTACCCCTCCTGATCTCCTGGCCTCCAGCCCATTCCCTACAGAAAAGCCATACCTATTTCTTCCATTTTAAAAAATGTGAGCTGGGCGCGGTGGCTCATGCCTGTAATCCTAGCACTTTGGGAGGCCAAGGTGAGTGGATCACGAGGTCGGGAGATCAAGACCATCCTGGCTAACACGGTGAAACCCCGTCTCTACTAAAAATACAAAAAATTAGCCGGGCGTGTTGGCGGGCACCTATAGTCCCAGCTACTCGGGAGGCTGCGGCAGGAGAATGGCCTGAACCCGGGAGGCGGAGCTTGCAGTGAGCCGAGATTGTGCCACTGCACTCCAGCCTGGGCGACAGAGCGAGATTCCATCTCAAAATAAATAAACAAATAAATATAAAAATAAAAAATTTGGCCAAGGGTCGGGGGTGGCTCATGCCTGTAATCCCAGCACTTTGGGAGGTCAAGGCAGGCGGATCACCTGAGGTCAGGAGTTCGAGACCAGCCTGGCCAACATGGCAAAACCCCATCTCTACTAAAAATACAAAAATTAGCCGGGAGTGGTGGCATGCGCCCGTAATCTCAGCTACTCGGGAGGCTGAGGCAGGAGAATCACTTGAACCCAGGAGGCAGAGATTGCAGTGAGCCAAGATTGCACCATTGCACTCCAGCCTGGGCAACAAGAATGAAACTCTGTCTCAGAAAATAATAATAATAATAATAATAATAATAATAATAATAATAATAATATCATTATCTATTTTTTTACAGACAGGGTCTTGCCCTGTCACCCAGGCTGGAATGCTATGGTGTTATCATAATGCTCACTGCAACTACAAGTGTGGGTGTGTCTGTGATTCGCTTTGTATGGTCCCCTCAAGGCCACATTTGAGGACTGAAGTTGCATATCATGGAAAATTGTGTTGTCTGGCTTATCTCCTACAGAGACAGTGCTCACTTTTACTGGCTCAACTCAGCCTGCCTCTGCTGAGCTAGCAGGTACCCCAAGTCCCAGGAGGTCAGACATTCGGGCTCTGGAGAGAAGCTTAAAAAAAAATGCAAAAAGTTGGCCGAGTGCGGTCGCTCACACCTATAATCCCAGCGCTTTGGGAGGCCGTGGTGGGTGGATTACCTGAGGTCAGGAGTTCAAGACCAGCCTGAACAAAATGGAGAAACCCCATCTCTACTAAAAAATACAAAATTAGCCAGGTGTGGTGGCACATGCCTGTAATTCCAGTGACTTGGGAGGCTGAGGCAGGAGAATCACTTGAACCCAGGAGGTGGAGGTTGCAGTGAGCCAAGATCACATCATTGCCCGCCAAGATCACATCATTGCCCTCCAGCCTGGGCAACAGGAGCAAAACTTTGTCTCAAAAAAAAAAGAAAAAAAATTCAAAAAGTTGAATTCTCCTCACCTACTCTGTCAGCTGTTATTTATTTATTCCTACCTACCCCTTCCTTATTTTTACATTTTTCAAACTGACAAATAATAATTGACCAGCCTGGGCAATATAGTGAGACCCTGTCTCTAAAAAAAAAAAAAAAAATAGCCGAGTGTGGTGGCGAGTACCTGTAGTCCCAGACTCGGGAGGCTGAAGTGGGAGGATTGATTGAACCTGAGAGGTTAAGGCTGCAGTGAGCTGAGACTGCACCACTGCAGTCCAGCCTGGGTGACAGAGCAAGACCTTATCTCAAAAACAATAATAATAATAATTTGCACATATTCATGGGGTACATAGTGATTTTTGTTGTTGTTGTTGTTGTTGTTGTTGTTGTTTGGCGGGGGGAGACAGGGTCTCGCTCTGTCATCCAGGCTGAAGTTCAGTGGCCCAATCTCGGCTCACTGCAACCTCTGCCTCCTGGGTTGAAACGATTCTCCCAACTCAGCCTCCCAGGTATTTGGGACTACAGGCGCGCACCACCAAGCCCGGCTAATGTTTGTATTTTTAATAGAGATGGGGTTTCCCCATGTTGGCCAAGCTGGTCTCGAACTCCTGACCTCAGATGATCCACCCACCTCGGCCTCCCAAAGTGCTGGGATCACGGGTGTGAGTCACTGCGCCCCACCCATAGTGATGTTTCAATACATATAACACATAATGATCAGGTTCAGTTCCTCATTCTTTATGCCCCTTACCTCTTGGGGCTCTCAGAATAAACTGTTTATCCCCAAAACCACATCTTTGACCTGGAGACCAGCAAATCCAAGAGCTTCTCCTCCCTCTCACTATTCCAGTGGGTGTGGGGAGCTGCTGACCAGCAGTGGATGATGGAGAGAAGGAGGGAAGCCTGTGTTGGGGTACCCAAACCACCCAGATCTGGGACACGCCCTACTGTTCTCTGAAGCAGAGCCCAAGAGGACTCACCATCTGCAGTGGGCCTCCCTATAGAACCCTCCAGCAGGGCTGGGCACAGTGGCTCACATCTATACTCCCAGCACTTTGGGAGGCCAAGGTGAGATCATCACTTGAAGCCAGAAGTTTGAGACCAGCCTGGGCAAGAAGGCAAGACAGTCTTTAATTAAAAAAATAAATAAAAAATAAAAAAAAAGCCCAGGTGCGGTAGCTCACTCCAGTAATCCCAGCATTTTGGGAGGCTGAGGCAGGCAGATTGCTTGAGACCAGGAGTTCGAGACCAGCCTGGGCAACATGGCAAAACCCCATCTCTACTAAACAACAAAATTTAGCCGGGCGTGGTGGCGCATGCCTGTAGTCCCAGCTACTCGGGAAGTTAAGGCACAAGAATCGCTTGAACCCAGGAGGTGGAGATTGCAGTGAGCCAAGATTGTGCCACTACCCTCTAGCCTGGGCAACAAAGTGAGACTCTGTCTCAAAACAAACAAAAAAAGACCCCCTTCGGCAGCAGTAGACGTGACAGTTAACCCACCTCGAGCACTCGGCCATCGATCTGCCTTCCTCCTGGACAGCAGACACTGGGCAACATCAAGTGTGCAGTCCCTAAAATACATCAAAGCTGGGATCACTTCCCCTCCTGGGTAGCTTGGGACCTCCAGTCCCTTTGGAAGAGTTGGTTCATTTTCTTTTTAGGAGGCCTTCTTGAATCTCTAGTCGTCGTCAGGCTTAGGTCACACTACCCATGCACTGATCAGCCCTGCCACGTGGGGGAGGCTCCAAAAAATGAAGCGGTTCCAGGGGTGCCAAGGTTCAGAGCAGAGTCTTGAGAGCCTGAGGGGCAGGAGGAGGCAAAGGTCTCTGAGGACGAAGGGGTTTGGCCACAGTCCCGGAAGATCTCAGGTCGTGGGGCTTCTGTGAGCGGGCACATCCCCTGTGCCTGTGTGATTGTGAGCTTGTGTGCTTGTGTGGTTGGGGGTCCTTCCTGGAGGAGGCATCTAGGTTGAGGGCCCCAGGCCGGGAATGGGGTGGGGCCTGTCGTCAAGGAAGGGACTCAGCCCTGGAGGTTTCTGTGAGAGCTCAAGCCACAGGAGCCACAAGATAAGAGGAGTGTGGCTGCAGAACCCAGGTGGCAGGGCTTTCCTCAGGCCCCTTACTCCTGACCTGGACGAGGCCGGGGCTTCCTCAAGGAGGTAGGAGGTATCCTGGCCAGCAGATCAGCCAGAAGCTCTAGGAGGAAGGTGCTGCGGCCGGGGACTCTGCTGCCCTAGACAAGACTTCATTTCCTTCCATGCAGATGGCTGTGTGGGTTCCTGCTCTGTTGAGTGAATGTTCCCTGGCAGTGGCCAGATGCTTGCTGCGCTCTCATCCCTCCACTGGGGTCCTGGGGAGGTGTGGCAGCTCCTTAGGAAGGAGCTCTTTCCTAAGGCTGATTGGAGAATGTGCGGTCGGGGCGGGGGGCGGAGGAGTGCTCCTGACAGGTCCTAGTAGCTGGGAGATTCCCCAGAGTATAGGCTTGAGGGCCTAAGTTACGGGAGAGAGAAGGTCAGGGCCAGGGGGCCCCTTCCTGAATCCAGTCCACAGGGTTAACCCCTCATTTCCAGAGCCTATCTTCTCCCCCACACCCACCCACACAACCCAGCACCAGGAAATCCAGAGCCCAGAGCACTGTGGTCACAGGGACACATGTGGCCCTGGGTGTGGCCGGGACACGTTGCAGGCGGTTGGGGACATGACGTGGTCTGCAGATCTCCCAGGGCAGGGCAGAGGGCCACTGTTTGGGGGAAGCACCCCAGGCCCTCTCTCTTAGAGAGAGAGCCTAGGGGCAGCAGAGGAGCCACCTGGGTCGGCCCCCTGGGGACAGTGGGAGGAGTAAAAGGGAGGGTGGAGGGCCCTAAGACAGGCCGCGAGTGGGCGCCCAGGACAGGGATCCGCCCAGCCGGCGGGAGCGCCCTTGGGGATGACGGCGGGAGGGCTGGGCGCCCCCTGGTGGCCGTACTGGGCGGTGCCGCCGCTCTCCGCACATCCTTCGCGGGGCCCTGTGACTTCGTTACCCTCCTCTTGAGGCCACGCCGCCAGGTGGCCTGAATCGAGGGTCGGGACTCCATCGTCGCGCTCTGCCCCTCGCCCGCCCCTCTCAGGCTCTCTGACTGCCACCCCTGCCTGCCTGCCCGGCCCTGCACAACATGCAGCCCTCCGGCCTCGAGGGTCCCGGCACGTTTGGTCGGTGGCCTCTGCTGAGTCTGCTGCTCCTGCTGCTGCTGCTCCAGCCTGTAACCTGTGCCTACACCACGCCAGGCCCCCCCAGAGCCCTCACCACGCTGGGCGCCCCCAGAGCCCACACCATGCCGGGCACCTACGCTCCCTCGACCACACTCAGTAGTCCCAGCACCCAGGGCCTGCAAGAGCAGGCACGGGCCCTGATGCGGGACTTCCCGCTCGTGGACGGGTGCGTAATTGCTGCAAGGGGGCGATGGGAGCTGAGCACACTCCTGGGCAAGGGAGGGTCCCAGAGTATGCAGGGCTGTGGAGGAGGCTCCCTCACACCACCCCTGGATGCCCTCTCTCCCGTCATGCATGGGTACCCTTTCCCCTCTGTCATCCCCTCTTGGGTGGGCACTCCTAGCCCGGGCCTCAGGGGATCTCAGTATAGTCATGTGACAATGAGGGATGGGGATCCCCAGATGTGTCCTTCCTGAACTGGAGGGCTAAGAGGCCCATCTGTCTGTTCTTCACCTGACCCTGGCTTGACATCCCTCCAGCCACAACGACCTGCCCCTGGTCCTAAGGCAGGTTTACCAGAAAGGGCTACAGGATGTTAACCTGCGCAATTTCAGCTACGGCCAGACCAGCCTGGACAGGCTTAGAGATGGCCTCGTGGGCGCCCAGGTACCACAGGGATACACGAGGTGCCACAGCATGGCTGCTGGGGGATGATGGGGAGAGTGGGGACCCCAGAGATCACAAGTTAGTCACATGAGAACTCAGTTACCATAGTGACCCAAAAAGTGTCATGATATGGATGCTGGGGGCTGCAGAGGCTACAGTGAGCCAGCTTGGTGGCCAGGAAGACCCTGTGGAAGAAGCAGTACATTACATGTGGCCTCCTGGCCCACTGGGTGCTCTGTCAGCTGTGGAGGCTGTGAGCAGTCCAGGGTCCTCCAAAGCAGCCCCCATCCAAGCCAAACCCTGGCCTTCCCCCCAGTTCTGGTCAGCCTATGTGCCATGCCAGACCCAGGACCGGGATGCCCTGCGCCTCACCCTGGAGCAGATTGACCTCATACGCCGCATGTGTGCCTCCTATTCTGAGCTGGAGCTTGTGACCTCGGCTAAAGGTAGGCAAGTTGATGGGAAGCGTTAGGAACTTGATTGAGCTACTCCAGCCCTGGAAAGTAATCACCTGACCTACCTGCCCCCAGCTCTGAACGACACTCAGAAATTGGCCTGCCTCATCGGTGTAGAGGGTGGCCACTCGCTGGACAATAGCCTCTCCATCTTACGTACCTTCTACATGCTGGGAGTGCGCTACCTGACGCTCACCCACACCTGCAACACACCCTGGTGAGCCTAGTGCAGATGGTGTGGGACCGCTGAGGCAGGGGCAGAGATCTGCCTGAGGTCACTGTGGGCCCAGAACAAGCTTTACCCATGGGATGTGGCACTGACTCTGGAGTGGGGAGGGGAGCTGGGATTCTGGTTTTCAGAATACGACTTGACCCCTGGCCAGACGCGGTGGCTCATGCCTGTAATCCCAAAACTTTGGGAGGCTGAGGCGGACAGATAACTTAAGGCCAGGAGTTCGAGACCAGCCTGGCCAAGATGGTGAAACCCTATCTTGAAGAAAAACACAAAAATTAGCCAGGTGTGGTGGTGCGTGCCTATAATCCCAGATACTCAGGAGGCTGAGGCATGAGAATCTCTTGAACCCAGGAGGTGCAGGTTTCAGTGAGCTGAGATGGCACGACAGCACCACTGCACTCCTGCCTGGGTGACAGAGCGAGACTCTATTGCCAAAAAAAAAAAAAAAAGAAAAGGAAAAAAAAGACTGGACCCAGCAGGGCCCTCCTGCTGCCAGGCATGGCCCATTTGCAGGGCCCATTTTGGATCCCTGTTTTTGTTTCAGGGGGGTGCAGGGATGGAGGGTGGGTAGGGCCTCTAGACTCTTGAGGCCGAGGAACAGCTACCAGTCAGACTGCTTCCTGGCCACCCTGCAGGGCAGAGAGCTCCGCTAAGGGCGTCCACTCCTTCTACAACAACATCAGCGGGCTGACTGACTTTGGTGAGGTGAGGACCCTGGTTCACACTCCACCCCAAACAAATGTGCACACCCCAGCTGTTTCTTACAAATAAATGTATACACATGTGCACCCCTGATACCCTTCTCCCAACATGTCCCTGCAGAAGGTGGTGGCAGAAATGAACCGCCTGGGCATGATGGTAGACTTATCCCATGTCTCAGATGCTGTGGCACGGCGGGCCCTGGAAGTGTCACAGGCACCTGTGATCTTCTCCCACTCGGCTGCCCGGGGTGTGTGCAACAGTGCTCGGAATGTTCCTGATGACATCCTGCAGCTTCTGGTGAGAAACTGCCCAGCCCAGGAACCTAAAGCAAGAGGTTCAAACCAGGAGCCCTTCGGCCAGGCATGGTGGCTCACACCTGTAATCCCAGCACTTTGGGAGGCTGAGGTGGGCTGATCACTTGAGGTCAGGAGTTCAAGACCAGCCTGGCCAACATGGGGAAACCCCGTCTCTACTAAAAATACAAAAATTAGCCGGGTGTGATGGCATATTCCTGTAATCCCAGCTACTTGGGAGGCTGAGGCAGGAGAATCTCTGGAACCTGGGAGGCGGAGGTTGCAGTGAGCCAAGATCACGCCACAGCACTCCAGCCTGGGTGACAGAGTAGGACCCTGCCATGGAAAACAAAAACAAAAAACAGGAGCCCTCAAACCTGAGGCCCTGCTCCCTCCACTTCTTCCAACTTCAGGCTGAACATCTTTTGCCCCACAACCCCACAGTCCACATCCAGGAGTCGGGGGTTCTAGATGGTAAATATGTATATTCCTCTACTCCTCAAAGCAAGTGCCAAGACACCTATGCCAGACCAGGGCCTAGACTCCTCCCTTCATACAAAACCAGAGAGGTGAAGTTTCTGCTGACTCCTGAAGTCAGAGCTGAACACCCTCTCCAGGGATCCAGAGGGTGGCAGGGCAGGAATGCAGTTTGCTGAGGGGCCAGGCTAAGTGTCCACTTGCCCGCCCCTGCAGAAGAAGAACGGTGGCGTCGTGATGGTGTCTTTGTCCATGGGAGTAATACAGTGCAACCCATCAGCCAATGTGTCCACTGTGGCAGGTAACTCCCTCTCCCGGGCTCTCTGAACAGTTCTGATTTGCACCTGAAGACTTGGGAGGGCCCCAGGACTGTCCCAGTGGTTTCACTGAAAAAAATGCAGTGATGGACAGTACACAGCACATTGGTCACATGGAGCTGCAGCCACAGAGTCAGTGCTGCGGTCCTGATGGGTATAAGGGAGGAAGCCACACATAGAACCTGAGTGCTAACTATCTGCGCCTCTGCAGGGGATCCCCAAAGCACCCTTCCTCGGCCTCTGGCCAAGAGACTAGAAGGGGAAGGCCCCTTAGGTCTCTGGGGTCTTTGTCAGTTGTACTCTTTGTCCCTCCGTCATCTCCCACAACCATAGAAAAGAGTTCCTACCAGGTTCTCAAAGAGACTAGAGGCAGGTTTAATCCTAGGTGGGAAATGGCCCAGACAAGTGGCTCTGTGGATCCACTCCAAACCTGAAATCCAGGCCAGAACCAGCTGAATCCATTCAGGTCAAACCTCAGGGTTCTCAGGTTGCCAAGCTATGTGGCAGGCCATAAAGGAATTAGCCTGCCTGGCCCACAGGCTGCAAGAAGGAGACTCAGTGCCATCCAGCCCCAGTGGCACCCCTGCCCTGGAAGCCCTACGCAGCTGACTGTCCACCTTCCCCCTCCCCAGATCACTTCGACCACATCAAGGCTGTCATTGGATCCAAGTTCATCGGGATTGGTGGAGATTATGATGGGGCCGGCAAGTGAGTGCCTTCCCTGTGGCTTGTCTTGGGCTAGCTGTACAGCAGTGGGGCCTTCACGGTCACCATAGCCATCACGTCCTTTAGGCCTTGACCACACTCCCGGGATCAGTTCTCTGGGCTCTCCTGTTTGTCTTCATCCCAGTGACCCCACTCTAGGACATTATACTTGGCCAAACCACCAGACAGAGCTCATCTGCCCAGCACTGCACGTACCCCCAAGCCCAGGAGACTCACTCTCCCTGAGCAGACCATCAGCAAGGTCTGGTGTGAGCCCTGTGCACAGTGGCTGTGTTTGCAACCACTGTTTTCTGAAGAAGCTCTTCCTCTCCTTCTCCTTCTCCTTTTCTTCCTCGTCCTCCTTCTTCTTTGTCTCCTCCTCCTCCTTCTTTCTTCCTTTTCTTCTTCTTCTTCTTCTCAGGGTCTTGCTCTGTTGGCCAGACTGGGGTGCAGTGGCGCAATCTTGGCTCACTGCAGCCTTGACTTTCTGGGCTCAAGCAATCCTGCCATCTCAGCCTGCAAGTAGCTGGGGCTACAGGCATGTGTCATCATGCCCAGATAATTTTATTTTTGGCAGAGATGGGGTCTCGTGTTGCCCAGGCTGGTCTTGAACTCCTGGACTCAAGTGATTCTCCTGCCTTGGCCTCCTAAAGTGTGGGATTACAGGCCTAAGCCACCTCACTGGGCCTTTTCTTCTTTTTTTCTTTTCTTTTTTTTTTTTTTGAGACAGAGGCTCACTCTGTTGCCCAGCCTGGAGTGCAGTGGCACAATCTCGGCTCACTGCAACCTCTGCTTCCTGAGTTCCAGCGATTCTCCTGCCTCAGCTTCCCAAGTAGCTGGGATTACAGGTGTGCGCCATGATGCCCAGCTAATTTATTTTTCCTTTCTTTCTTTCTTTCTTTCCTTTCTTTCCTTTCTTTCTTTCTTTCTTTTTTGTCTTTTTAGTAGAGATTGGGTTTCACCATGTTGGCCAGGCTGGTCTCAAACTCCTGACCTCAAGTGATCCGCCCACCTTGGCCTCCCAAAGTGCTGGGATTACAGGTGTGAGCCACCATACCTGGCCATTTTCTTCTTTTTAACTCTGGTTGGTAGGGGGGATCATTTGCATTCAGTAAAAGGCATAGATCTTAATAGTATGATTCAATAAGTTTTGATAAATATTCAAGGAGGTTTTGAGGCCTCCTTCTGAAGGATAAAGAGCAGAGGAGAATTACCTACTCTCTCCAAGTCTCCACTTCCCATACCTGACCAGGGCTGGGGTTTCATAGACCCTGGACTGTGGTTCTGAGTCATGATCAGGGAATCAGGTCTGAAACCCACTAGCTGGTGGCCACACAGATTCCCTCAGGGGCTGGAAGACGTGTCCACATACCCGGTCCTGATAGAGGAGTTGCTGAGTCGTGGCTGGAGTGAGGAAGAGCTTCAGGGTGTCCTTCGTGGAAACCTGCTGCGGGTCTTCAGACAAGTGGAAAAGGTACTCTGGGCTGGGCAAGAGAGTAGCCGAGGGGTCTGAGCAAGTGTATCAAGGAGAGCTGTGGAAGCTGAGCACCGACTGCCACCTCTAGGTACAGGAAGAAAACAAATGGCAAAGCCCCTTGGAGGACAAGTTCCCGGATGAGCAGCTGAGCAGTTCCTGCCACTCCGACCTCTCACGTCTGCGTCAGAGACAGAGTCTGACTTCAGGCCAGGAACTCACTGAGATTCCCATACACTGGACAGCCAAGTTACCAGCCAAGTGGTCAGTCTCAGAGTCCTCCCCCCACATGGCCCCAGTCCTTGCAGTTGTGGCCACCTTCCCAGTCCTTATTCTGTGGCTCTGATGACCCAGTTAGTCCTGCCAGATGTCACTGTAGCAAGCCACAGACACCCCACAAAGTTCCCCTGTTGTGCAGGCACAAATATTTCCTGAAATAAATGTTTTGGACATAGAAACAGACCTGAGTTTCCTTCTCTGCAATGGGGACTGGTGGCATCGTCTCCCAGTGCTGGTGGTTGGTGGGGGATCCTTCATTTCAGCCACCAGTTGTTTAAGGAAAGACTGTTGACAGGAGCCCGAGGTGACCCAGGTGATTGGGCTCAGCACTGGATGAAAACAGTGGTGGATCCGGTGGCAGGAGGTGGACCCTATTCCGTGTTCCCTCTGAGTAGCTCATCTCTTTTTATTTATTTATTTATTTATTTATTTATTTATTTATTTACTTTTGAGGCAGAGTCTCACTTTGTCACCCAGGCTGGAGTACAGTGGCGCAATCATAGCTCACTGCAGCTTTGAACTCTTGGGCTCAAATGAAGCTTCTGCTTCAGCCTCTCAAGTAGCTGGGACTATAGGCGTGCACCACCACACTCAGCTAATTTATTTTTATTTTAGCTTTCTGGATTTTTTTTTTCTTCGAGACAGAGTCTTGGTCTGTCACCCAGGCTGGAGTGCAGTGGCACAATCTCGGCTCACTGCAAGCTCTGCCTCCCGGGTTCAAGCAATTCTCCTGTCTCAGCCTCCCGAGCAGCTGGGACTAGAGGCGCCCGCCACCATGCCCAGCTAATTTTTGTATTTTTAGTAGAGATGGGGTTTCACCTTGTTGGTAAGGCTGCTCTCGAACTCCTGACCTCAGGTGATTCACCAGCCTCGGCCTCCCAAAGTGCTGGGGGATTATAGGTGTGAGCCACCGGGCCTGGCTTTTTGTTTTTTGAGATGGAGTCTTGCTCCGTCGCCCAGGCGGGAATGCAGTGGCGTGATCTCGGCTCACTGCAACCTCAGCCTCCCGATTTCAAGCGATTCTCCAGCCTCAGCGTCCTGAACAGCTGGGACTACAGGCATGCACCACCATGCCCAGCTGATTTTTCTTTTTTCAGTAGAGAAGGAGTTTCACCATATTGGCCAGGCTGGTCTCGAACTCCTGACCTTGTGATCCACCTGCCTCGGGCTCCCAAAGTGTTGGGATTACAAGCTAGAGCCACTGCATCCGGCCAGCTTTCTTTTTTTCATTACTTCACTTAGAAGGAGGATTTTTAAATTTTTTTATAGAGACAGGGATCTCCCTATGTTGCCCAGGCTGGTCTCGAACTCCTGGACTAAAGCAATCCTCCCACCTTGGCCTCCCAAAGTGCTAGGATTACAGGAGTAAGCCACTGTGCCCAGATGGAGTAGGGTAACTTTGATTTACCTAGCCAACCATAAGCAAACATTTTAAACTGTGCTTATGTATTATTTTGATAACATTTAAAAAATTAATTGTAACTTCATGCCCTGTCCTTTTCACATGTCTAATGTAGGAAATAGGGAGTCCTCTGAACCTCTTCCAGTTCTGGGGGCTGCCCATTAAAATAATACTTTTTTTATTTTTCCTGAGACAGGGTCTCTGTCACCGCTGGAGTGCAGTGGCACAATCATGCCTCACTGCAGCCTCAACCCCCTGGGCTCAAGTGATCCTCCCCACTCTGTTTCCTGAGTAGCTGGGACCATAGGCGCGCACCACCATGTCCAGCTAATTTTTGTATTTTTTGTAGATACGAGGTTTCACCATGTTGCCCAGGCTGGTCTCAAACTGCCAGACTCAAGTGATCCACCCACCTTGCCCTCCCAAAGTGCTGGGATTACAGGCGTGTGCCACTATGCCCAGCAAAACAATTTAAAATAATAGGCTGAGAGCGGTGGTTCACACCTGTAATCCCAGCACTTTGGGAGGCCGAGGCGGGCGGATCACAAGGTCAGAAGATCGAGACCATCCTGGCTAGCACGGTGAAACCCCATCTCTACTAAAGACGCAAAACATTAGCCGGCTGTGGTGTCACGCGCCTGTGGTCCCAGCTACTTGGGAGACTGAGGCAGGAAAATCACTTGAACCCAGGAAGCAAAGGTTGCAGTGAGCCGAGATCACGCCACTGCACTCCAGCCTGGGTGACAGAGTAGCACACAAAACAAAAAAAAAACACAAAACAAAACAAACCCAAAAACAACAAAACAAAACTAAGCTAAAATAATAATGATAATAATAATAATAATAATAATAATAATAATATAGGAAACAGGTGCACATGCAATGCTTCTGCACTTTTCTTAAACTATTAGCAAAGTTGCCATTCTTCATGTTGTTCCAAGTCACTTAAATAAAGACCTTCTGGGCAGGCCGGGGAGATTTATGGGAGACCAAAATAAACATGACCTTTCTCTGCCCTTCCTGAGAGAACCAAAGCTAGAAGCAGCTGGGTCACACTTGGCCATTAACCCCCAGGCATGAGGAGGAGCAGACAGCAACCAACAAGGGGAAGTGGTCGCCAGAGGCCAAGGCCCTTCTTGAGGTGCCCAGAAGGGGATGCCCACTTATCAGGGAGCCCAGGTGGAAAAACAAGAGACAGACACAGACGCAGAGGGAAGATAATTTAGATTCGGTCTGTGTCATTGGCCTTTCTCAGCAGCAACTGGCCCAGGAAGTTCAGATGCTACCCAGATTCAGGGTTTTTTTTGTTTTGTTTTGAGACGGAATTTCCTCTTGTTGCCCAGGCTGGAGTGCAGTGGCGCGATCTCAGCTCACTAGAACCTCTGCCTCCCAGGTTCAAGTGATTCTCCTGCCTCAGCCTCCCGAGTAGCTGGGATTACAGGCACCTGCCACCAGGACCAGCTAATTTTTTTTGTATTTTTAGTACAGACGGGGTTTCACTATGTTGGCCAGGCTGCTCTCGAACTCCTGACCTCGGGCGATCCACCCAACTTGGCCTCCCAAAGTGCTGGGAATACAGGCGTGAGCCACCATCCCCAGCGTTGTTTTTTTTTTTTTTTTGACAGGGTCTCACTCCCATTGCCCAGGCTGGAGTGCAGTGACACGATCTCAGCTCACTGCAGCCTCAACTTCCTGGCCTCAAGTGATTCTCCTACCTCAGCCTCTGGAGTAGCTGGGACCTCCGGTGCGCACCACCACGCCTGGCTAATACTTTGTATTTTTAGTAAAGACAGGATTTCACCATGTTGCCTAGGCTGGTCTCAAACTCCTGGACTCAAGCAATCTGCTTGCCTTGGCTTCCCAAAGTGCTGGGATTACAGACATGAGCCACTGCGCTGACCCAGATGCAGTTTTTGTTTGTTTTGAGACGGAGTCTTGCTCTGTTGCCCAGGCTGGAGTGCAATGCACTCGGCTCACTGCAACCTCCGCCTCCGAGGTTCAAGTGATTCTCCTGCCTCAGCCTCTTCAGTAGCTGGGATTACAGGCACACACCACCCTGCCCAGCTAATTTTTGTATTTTTAGTAGAGATGGGGTTTCACTGTGTTGGCCAAGCTTGTCTCAAACTCCTAGACTCAAGCAACCTGCCCGCCTCAGCCTCCCAAAGTGTTAGGATTATAGGGGTAAGCCACCGCATCCGGCCCCAGATGCAGTTTTGAGATCTATTTCCCCTGCACCAGGATTTTTTCAACAGGAAATGACGAGGAGCTGCTGGAAGCTAGCCTTGTATTGTCTTTAAGGAGGATTTCTGCCCCAGGTGAAATAACGTGTCAGACCAAGCCCCCTCATGCTCTCAGGACCAAGAGACCTAGTCTGATCTTGTCCCTCAACTCCATGCCTTAGAGAATCCACCTGTGCCTCCTCCACAACAGTTGTTGTAATGCCCAAACTAGACCTCTGCTGGGCTGTTAGCCAACCCTGGATCCCCTCTCCACTCCTCCATGCCCGATCCAGACCTTTGAAGCAAGGTTCAGCTACTGCTGTGGTGCCTCCCCCAACCCCCATGACCCTGATTAGCCCTCACCAGCACTACCCATGATTTCCCTTAGCCAGTATCACCATAATAAAGAAATGAGATGCAAACTGATCAGGGTGCAGGTAGATCTCTTCCCGAGAGGATAACTGCTAACTAACATTTGATGTGTAGACTCTTCTGGGGTCTTTTTGTGTCCGGAATTGGTGGGTTCTTGGTCTCACTGACTTCAAGAATGAAGCCACAGACCCTCGCGGTGAGTGTTACAGTTCTTAAAGGTGGCGTGTCCGGAATTTGTTCCTTCTGATGGTTGGATGTGTTCGGAGTTTCTTCCTTCTGGTGGGTTCGCGGTCTCGCAGGCTCAGAAGTGAAGCTGAAGACCTTCGTGGTGTCACAGGTCTCAAGGCGCCGAGTCCGGAGTTCTTCGTTCCTCTCCGTGGGTTCATGGCCTCGCTGGCTTCGGGAGTGAAGCTGCAGACCTTCGCAGTGAGTATTACAGCTCATACAGTATGGATCCAAAAACGGAATAGCAGCAACAGCCATTGCAAACAGCAAAAGAACAAACCTCCCACTGCCTGGAAGAGAACCCCAGCAAGTTGCTACTGAAAGAGCGGGCAGCCTGCTTTTATTGTCTTATCTGGCCCCACCCACATCCTGCTGATTGGTCCATTTTACAGAGAGCTGATTGGTCTGTTTTACAGAGAGCTGATGGGCCCGTTTTGACAGGGTGCTGACTGGTGCGTTTACAATCCCTGAGCTAGACACAAAAGTTCTCCACGTCCCCACTAGATTAGCTAGATACAGAGTGTCGATTGGTGCATTCACAACCCCGGAGCTAGACACAGGGTGCTGATTGGTGTGTTTACAAACCTTGAGCTACATACAGAGTGCTGATTGGTGTATTTACAATCCCTTAGCTAGACATAAAGATTCTCCAAGTCCCCACCAGACTCAGGAGCCCAGCTGGCTTCACCCAGTGGATGCTGCACCGGGGCCGCAGGTGGAGCTGCCTGCCAGTCCGGCGCCGTGTGCCCGCACTCCTCAGCCCTTGGGCAGTCGATGGGACTGGGCGCCGTGGAACAGGGGTTGGCGCTCGTCGGGGAGGCTTGGGCTGCACAGGAGCGCACGGCGGGGGTGGAGGCTCAGGCATGGAGGGCTGCAGGTCCCGAGCCCTGCCCGGCGGGGAGGCAGCTAAGGCCCAGCGAGAAGTCGAGCACAGCAGCTGCTGGCCCAGGTGCTAAGCTCCTCACTGCCCGGGCCGGCTGGCCGCTCCGAGTGCGGGGCTTGCCAAGCCCACGCCCACCCGGAACTCGAGCTGGCCCGCAAGCGCAGCCTGCAGCCACGGTTCCCGCCCACGCCTCTCTCTCCACACCTACCCGCAAGCTGAGGGAGCCGGCTCCAGCCTTGTCCAGCCCAGAAAGGGGCTCCCACAGTGCAGCGACGGGCTGAAGGGCTCCTCAAACGCGGCCAGAGTGGGCGCCAAGGCCGAGGAGGTGCCGAGAGGGAGCGAGGGCTGTGAGGGCTGCCAGCACGCTGTCACCTCTCATTTTTGTGTCTGTATACTAACATATATATAGAAAAAAATATTCGGCCCGGTGCGGTGGCTCACGCCTGTAATCCCGGAACTTTGGGAGGCCAAGGTGGGCGGATCACGAGGTCAGGAGATCAAGACCATCCTGGCTAACACGGTGAAACCCGGTCTCTACTAAAAATACAAAAAATTAGCTGGGCATGGTGGTGGGCGCCTGTAGTCCCAGCTACTCGGGAGGCTGAGGCAGGAGACTGGCATGAACCCGGGAGGCGGAGCTTGCAGTGAGCAGAGATGGAGCCACTGCACTCCAGCCTGGGTGGCACAGTGAGACTCCGTCTCAAAAAAAAAACCACGTCTCTAAAAAAGAAATAAGGCCGGACGTGGTGGCTCATGCCTGTAATCCTAGCACTTTGGGAGACCTAGGTGGGCAGATCGCTTGAGCTCAGGAGTTCAAGACCAGTCTGGGCAACATGGTAAAACCCTGTCTCTAAAAAAAAATGCAAATATACAAAAATTAGCTGGGCATGGTGGTGCATGCCTGTAGTCCCTCCCAGCTACTTAGGGAGCTGAAGCAGGAGGATCACTTTTACCTGGGAGGTCGAGGCTACAGTGAGCTGAGATGGTGCCACTGCACTCCAGTGAGACCCTGTCTCAAAAAAAAATTTGTTTTAATAAAATAAAAAATAACAATTAGCCATGCATGGTGGCACTGCACCTATAGTCTCAGCTACTTGGGAGGTGGAGGAAGGAGGATCGCTTGAGCTCAGAAGTTCAAGGCTGCAGCAAGCTATGATCAAGGCTGCAGCAAGCTATGATCACCCCACTGCAACTCCAGCCTGGGTGACAGATACTCTGTCTCTTGGAGAAGGAAAAAAAGCTAAAATAATGATCCCCAACAAAAATTGTTCTTAAATTTCATTTTCGGGGCCGGGCACGGTGGCTCACGCCTGTAATCCCAGCACTTTGGGAGGTCGAGGCAGGAGGATCACTTGAGGTCAGGAGTTCAAGGCCAGCCTGGCCAACATGGTAAAACCCCATCTCTACTGAAAATACAAAAATTAGCTGGGCATGGTGGCGGGCACCTGTAATCCCAGCTACTCGGGAGGCTGAGGCAGGAAAATGGCTTGAACCCGGGACGTGGAGGTTGCAGTGAGCCGAGACTGCATCATTGCACTCCAGCCTGGGCAACAAGACCCAAACTCCGTCTCAAAACTGAAATGAGATGAAATGAAATAATGAAATGAAATGAAATGAAATGAAATGAAATGAAATACCTATAGGGAATCTTTCTGTCCATCAAACCAGACAGACCGAATTAACTCTTCTGAGTCGCAGCTTAGAATATTTGACCTGCCTAGGAGCTGGGCACAAGCCGGCAGCTAACCGCCACGTGGGCCTGGGTAGGAGGTGAGATCAGGAAGATCCCTGGGCCCCTACTAGTTCCCTGCCTGGCCTCCTCCCCCACTCGTGTGGGGGTCTACGGAGCCAGCGCTGGGGGTGGAAGGGCGAGGAGTCCTCGACGCTGCAGCGGCGGTTCCGGCCCATGGGGGCGCTCTCCTGCTTGGGGGCGGAAAAGCCGTGGCGCCCCCTTGCGTGGCGCGTCGGTCTCAGAGTCGCGTGACTTCAACCCCCTCTTCGGGAGGCTGGGTCGTCATGATCCGGACCCCATTGTCGGCCTCTGCCCATCGCCTGCTCCTCCCAGGCTCCCGCGGCCGACCCCCGCGCAACATGCAGCCCACGGGCCGCGAGGGTTCCCGCGCGCTCAGCCGGCGGTATCTGCGGCGTCTGCTGCTCCTGCTACTGCTGCTGCTGCTGCGGCAGCCCGTAACCCGCGCGGAGACCACGCCGGGCGCCCCCAGAGCCCTCTCCACGCTGGGCTCCCCCAGCCTCTTCACCACGCCGGGTGTCCCCAGCGCCCTCACTACCCCAGGCCTCACTACGCCAGGCACCCCCAAAACCCTGGACCTTCGGGGTCGCGCGCAGGCCCTGATGCGGAGTTTCCCACTCGTGGACGGGTATGTAGGTGCAGCGTTTGGGCAACGCGGGGTGAGCACACCCTTGGGCAGGAGAGGAGGTTCTGAGCATGCTATCAAGGAGGCTATCAAGGAGGCTCCCTCACACCACCCCTGGATGCCCTCTCTCCTCCATCACCCATGGGTGCCCTTCCCCGCATTACTCCATTCCTGGTGGAATCTAACCCCCTCCCTCCAACCCAACCTCAGGAGGTCTCTATATGGTCTGTGTGAGGAGGTGCCTGGTGGGGTGGAGGAGGGTAGACCCAAGCACCTGATATATCCTGACTGATCTGGAGGCGGTGTTTCCATCTGACCTTCACACCCCCAGCCACAATGACCTGCCCCAGGTCCTGAGACAGCGTTACAAGAATGTGCTTCAGGATGTTAACCTGCGAAATTTCAGCCATGGTCAGACCAGCCTGGACAGGCTTAGAGACGGCCTCGTGGGTGCCCAGGTACCACAGGGACACACAGGGTGCCACAGCATGGCTGCTGGGGGATGTTGGGGTCACAGAAACCTGGGTCAGCCAGCCTCTGGGTGACTAAATACAATGGGGCATGCAGTGTGCCATCATGTGGTTTCTAAGGAGAGTGGGGCCTTGGAGGCCAAGACAGGCTAGCTGCATGTATGCCCAGGTTCTGTGGAAACACGCAGAAAATGACCAGAAAATCCCTGGTGAGTGTGGGGTCTGCCGTAACCACAAAGGACATAGTGGATTGGCCTTGGGGCATTCACATAGCACATGGACTAACAGCAGTTTTTTGCTTGTTTGTTTGTTTGCATTTTTGAGACAGTGTCTCCTTCTGTCGCCCAGGCTGGAGTACAGTGGCACGATCTCGGTTCACTGCAACCTCCGCCTCCCGGGTTCAAGCAATTCTCCCTGCCTCAGCCTCCTGAGTAGCTGGGATTACAGGCACTCGCCACCACGCCCTGCTAATTTTTGTAGTTTTAGTAGAGACAGGGTTTTACCATGTTGGCCAGGCTGGTCTCGAACTCCTGACCTCACATGATCCACCCTCCTCGGCCTCCCACAGTGTGGAGATTACAGGCATGAGCCACTTGGCCTGGCCGTAACAGTAATTTATGATGTGTCGTGAGTCCATCATTTGACTGCTGGCAGCAAACAGTCATCAAGGAACCAGGCTCGGTAGTTCACATCTGTAATGCCAACACTTTGGGAGGCTGAGGCAGGAGGATTGTTTGAGCCTGGGGGGTCAAGGCTGCAGTGAGCCATGATCACACCACTGCACTCTAGCCTGGGTGACAGAGCAAGACCCTGTCTCAAATTTTAAAATAAAAATAAAAAATAATTTTAAAAAAAGTCATCAAGGTACCATGGAGTCATGTAGTGCCTCACTTGGGGCCACTGACCCAAATGGGTGTTATGGGGTCTGAGGCAGGAGTGGCAGGCCTAGGGGGTTGAAGACCGCCCTGGCCTCATTCTGGACCCCTTGACCTACCCTCAGTTCTGGTCAGCCTCCGTCTCATGCCAGTCCCAGGACCAGACTGCCGTGCGCCTCGCCCTGGAGCAGATTGACCTCATTCACCGCATGTGTGCCTCCTACTCTGAACTCGAGCTTGTGACCTCAGCTGAAGGTGGGCCAGCAGATGAGAGGTAGTCAGGATGTCACTCTGGAGGTTCTGTTCCTGGGATCTAACCACTTGACTCTCTACCTCCTTCTAGGTCTGAACAGCTCTCAAAAGCTGGCCTGCCTCATTGGCGTGGAGGGTGGTCACTCACTGGACAGCAGCCTCTCTGTGCTGCGCAGTTTCTATGTGCTGGGGGTGCGCTACCTGACACTTACCTTCACCTGCAGTACACCATGGTGAGCATAACACCTGGCCAGGATGCTAGATGGCATGGTGTGGAAACTGCCCCATTCCTGGCATGGGTGTGACCAAGCCGTTGAGGATGAAGGGGTCCGCAGAGGGAGGCTGGACACCCAGTGGGTCCCTCACAATCCCAGAAAGCAGCTGGTTCTGCACCTGTTCTGGAAGCAGGATGGATGGATAGAGCCAGGGCCCCCAGGCTGTGATGGCCCAAGGTGTGATCAGCTAAATTGCCCTTCCATGGCTGTCCTGCAGGGCAGAGAGTTCCACCAAGTTCAGACACCACATGTACACCAACGTCAGCGGATTGACAAGCTTTGGTGAGGTGAGGACTCCTGTTTTGTACCCCAACCCACCTGCTGCCTACGGATATGTGTGTACACCTTTGCACCCCAACACCCTCCCCCACAAAAAAACCTAATTGTTTCTGCAGAAAGTAGTAGAGGAGTTGAACCGCCTGGGCATGATGATAGATTTGTCCTATGCATCGGACACCTTGATAAGAAGGGTCCTGGAAGTGTCTCAGGCTCCTGTGATCTTCTCCCACTCAGCTGCCAGAGCTGTGTGTGACAATTTGTTGAATGTTCCCGATGATATCCTGCAGCTTCTGGTGAGTGGCCATCCCAGCTCTCAAACTAGGCATGTGTTATCCAAAGGTTCTTGACCCTGAGCACAAAGCCACCAGCCCAGGTTTCACACACCCTTGGACCAAAGGCTGGTTAATCCTCCTCCATCCCTGAAACTTAAGGCCAAGTAATTTCCACTCAGGGACCCACAAACGCAGAGAGGTGAAGCCTCTTCCAACCCCTGAAGCCAGGATGGAGCACAGTCCTACCAGGGCCCCCACAGCACAGGAGGCATGTTCTCAGGCCAGAAGGGCTGAGATGAGTATCCCTTTATCCCTCTAGAAGAAGAACGGTGGCATCGTGATGGTGACACTGTCCATGGGGGTGCTGCAGTGCAACCTGCTTGCTAACGTGTCCACTGTGGCAGGTAAGTCCCACCTCAGCTTTGTGCAGTGCTGGCTTGGGCTGTGGCTGCCAGGGCCCTCAGGACGACTCTAGCAGTCTAGTGCACCTGTTGGGCAATGGGCAGACCTCCCAACGACCCAGAGGCAGCAGACACAGCTCTTCAGTGCCACCCAGATCTGGAGCCACAGAGTCAGTGCTGATGTGTTTGATGCCTCCTGGTTTTGCTCCCAATCCTTGAACTTCTCTCATTCCCCACATCTCTGGGCAGGACAGGCTCAGCCTGCACCAGGCTCTCAAGGAACCCAGAGGCAGGGTGGCTCCTGGGCAGGAAAAGTCCCAAAGGGGTGGCTCCAAGGTCCACTCTAGGTCCAGTGACCAGCCTGTACCCGCTTCAGGACTCATGACTGGCCATGAGCTAGCTCTGTGGAGCCAACTGCCACAGCCTGGAGTGCTGGGGACAGGGCTGGTGCCAGGGTCTAACTAGCCTAGTGCTGCCCACCCTCACCTCCACCCTAGATCACTTTGACCACATCAGGGCAGTCATTGGATCTGAGTTCATCGGGATTGGTGGAAATTATGACGGGACTGGCCGGTGAGTGCTTCCCTGAGGTTTCTCTTAGGCTGGGGTGCAGCAGGGAGTCCTTTAGTCTTCATTCCCATCCTGACGTCCTCCCATCCAGGCCTCAGCCACAGGCTCTGGTCTCCTATCCCACCTGACACTCCCCACTCTCAGGGCCTGTTTCCTAGTTTCTCCCTGTCCCTTCAGTGGCCCAGTGGCCCCACTCCAAGTTGTCATACTTGCTAAATACTCCCCTCCGCAGGCAGGGCTCATCTGTCCAAGATATGCTCCACTCCCAGCCTAGCAGACCTGCTGTGGGCTGACCATCTGCTCAGCAGGTGGAGGCTACAGAAGCCCAGTCCTCCAGGAGCCTCCAAGGTTGCATTCACTAGCCTGAAGAACTTGGCCTTCAGTTTCCCCTGTGTGACTAGGGCTGGTGGGCAGCGGGCCCCAACCCAGGATCAGGGCTAAGGTCCCACAGCTGGCTGGTGGGTGGCCACACAGGTTCCCTCAGGGGCTGGAGGATGTGTCCACATACCCAGTCCTGATAGAGGAGTTGCTGAGTCGTAGCTGGAGCGAGGAAGAGCTTCAAGGTGTCCTTCGTGGAAACCTGCTGCGGGTCTTCAGACAAGTGGAAAAGGTAAGCTGGGCTGGTGGACAGGATGGTTCAGTGGTTTGAGAAGGGGAGGGGATTGCTGTGGGAGCCTCTGACTGCGGACTTCCTCCCCCAGGTGAGAGAGGAGAGCAGGGCGCAGAGCCCCGTGGAGGCTGAGTTTCCATATGGGCAACTGAGCACATCCTGCCACTCCCACCTCGTGCCTCAGAATGGACACCAGGCTACTCATCTGGAGGTGACCAAGCAGCCAACCAATCGGGTCCCCTGGAGGTCCTCAAATGCCTCCCCATACCTTGTTCCAGGCCTTGTGGCTGCTGCCACCATCCCAACCTTCACCCAGTGGCTCTGCTGACACAGTCGGTCCCCGCAGAGGTCACTGTGGCAAAGCCTCACAAAGCCCCCTCTCCTAGTTCATTCACAAGCATATGCTGAGAATAAACATGTTACACATGGAGCCAGGTGCACATGTCCTTCCTTCTCCCTAGCGGGATTGGGGGCAGGTGGGCTCTTGGTCAGTGAGGGATCTTGTGGTCTAGCCACAGCTGCTCAAGGTGGGTGGTTCCCACTCACCTCCAGCTTTGACTGTCTCAGGAAGGCCAGAGGCATCTTATGAAATTCTTAAGCTAAAAGCTTGAGCCCACAGAAGTACACAAAAACGTTCAGTTTCAGTCCCTTCGTGGAGTGTGACAGTGGGGTGCTTCCCAGTTTCTCTTCGAAAGGTTAAATTTTTTTTTAGAAGCTGATACTGTTTATAGAGTAAATAATAACTCGGCTGGGTGCGGTGGCTCACGCCTGTAATCCCAGAACTTTGGGAGGGCGAGGCGGGCAGATCACGAAGTCAGGGGATCGAGACCATTCTGGCTAACATGGTGAAACCCTGTCTCTACTAAAAATACAAAAAATTAGCCAGGCGTGGTGACACATGCCTGTAGTCCCAGCTACTCGGGAGGCTGAGGCAGGAGAATTGCTTGAACTCAGGAGGTAGAGGTTGCAGTGAGCAGAGCTCGCACCACTGCACTCCAACCTGGGCGAAAGAGCGAGACTTGGTTCTCCTCCGTCCCCCAAAAAAAGAATAACTTGTTTGGAATTATCTGGAGAGTGCCTTTGTAAAAGATTTCTCAGATTAGGTCCTCTGATTTTTTTAAAAAACTAATTTTTAAATGGAGGGGATGCAGAATCACCAAATCTTTAAAAAAATTTTGAAAAGAAATAAAAGGAAACTCATGGGGTCTGTATGGCTCACTCGAGTGGCCTCTGTCTTTGGCTGCTTTCCTCTCCAGTTGAGCCAGAGCCAGATCTAAGTTCCTTCCATGGGAACTTGGAATTGGGAAAAAGAATGACTCCAGTGCCACCTATGTTATAAACAAGGGTCTATATATGTCTGGGTCTCTTCCATTTATTTGGACTATTTGTTTATCATATCAATACCACACTGTCTTAATTATGGCAACTTTAAAATAAGTTTTGAGGCCGGGCACAGTGGCTCATGCCTGTAATCCCAGCACTTTGTGAGGGCAAGGCACGCAGATCACTTCAGGTCAGGAGTTTGAGACCAGCCTGGCCAACTCAGGAGGTTGAGACGTGAGAATTGCTTGAACCTAGGAGGAGGACGTTTCAGTGAACCGAGATCACACTACTGCACTCCAGCGTGGGCAACAGAGTGAAACTGTGTCTCATAAAATATAAAATAAATGGCCAGGCGCAGTGGCTCACACCTGTAATCCCAGCACTTTGGGAGGCCGAGGCAGGTGGATCACGAGGTCAGGAGATTGAGACCATCCTGACTAACACGGTGAAACCACGTCTTTACTAAAAACAAAAAATTAGCCCAGTGTGGTGGTGAGCGCCTGTAGTCCCAGCTATTCAGGAGGCTGAAGCAGGAGAATTTCCTGAACCTAGGCGGAGCTTGCAGTGAGCCGAGATCACGCCACTGCATTCAAGCCTGGGCGACAGAGTGAGACTCCGTCTCAAAAATAAATAAAATAAAATAAATAGTTTTTAATTGGGCACAGAGTGGCTCATGCCTGAAATCCCAGCACTTTGGGAGGCTGAGGCAGGAGGATTGCTTGAACCCAGCATTTCGAGACCAACCTGAGCAATTTAGTGAGACCTCATCTCTGAAAAAAAAAAAAAATTTAATTAGCCAAGTGTGGTGGCCCGTGCCTTTGATCCCAGCTACTTGGGAGGCTGAGGTGGGAGGATCACTTGAGCCTGGGAAGCAGAAGTTGTCATGAGCTGAGATCGTGCTGCTACACTCCAGCCTGGGCAACAGAGTGAGACCCTGTCTCAAAAAAAAAAAAAGCAAAGAAATATTTCATATCTGATGCTGTACTTAGCAGTATTAGTTTATCCTTATAATTTCAGCAATTTGTTTTTATTGAAGTGTAATTCATATGCCATAAAATTAACCATTTTATTTATTTATTTATTTTATTTATTTATTTTTTTTTTTGAGACGGAGTCTGGCTCTGTCACCCAGGCTGGAGTGCAGTGGCGCAATCTCGGCTCGCTGTGAACTCCGCCTCCCGGGTTCATGCCATTCTCCTGCCTCAGCCTCCTGAGTAGCTGGGACTACAGGCGCCTGCCACCACGCCCGGCTAATTTTTTGTATTTTTAGTAGAGACCGGGTTTCACCATGTTAGCCAGGATGGTCTCAATCTCCTGACCTCGTGATCCGCCCACCTCAGCCTCCCAAAGTGCTGGGATCACAGGTGTGAGCCACCGCGCCCAGCTAAAATTAACCATTTTAAAGTAAGCAGCTCAGTGGCTTTAGTACATTCACAATGTTGTGCAGCCACCACTTCTATCTAGTTCCAAAACATTTTCATCTTAACAGGAAACCCTACACCCACCCTATACCCATGAAGCAGTTAACCCCCTTATGCTTTTTTTTTTTTTTTCTTTGAGATGGAGTCTTGCTCTTGTCGCCCAGGCTGGAGTGCAATGGCCAGATCTCAGCTCACTGCAACCTCCGCCTGCCAGGTTCCAGTGATTCTCCTGCCTTAGTCTCCCAAGTAGCTGGGATTACAGGCACGCGCCACCACACCCAGCAAATTTTTGTATTTTTAGTAGAGATGAGGTTTCACCATGTTGGCCAGGCTGGTCTCAAACTCCTGACCTCAGGTGATCCTCCCCCCTTGGCCTCCCAAAGTGCTGGGATTACAGGCATGAGCCACTCCGCCCACCAGAGACCCTGTCTTTAAAAAAAAATGAAAGAAAAAGAACAAGCAGAAATGTAAGACCCAGGCATGGTAGTGTGTGCCTGTAGTCCCAGGCACCCACCCTATACCCATTAAGCAGTTAACCACCACATGCTTTTTTCTGTTTTTTGAGACGGAGTTTTGCTCTTGTTGCCCGGGCTGGAGTGCAATGGTGCGATCTTGACTCACTGCAACCTCCACCTCCTAGGTTCAAGCAATTCTCCTGCCTCAGCCTCCCAAGTAGCTGGGATTACAGGTGCCTGCCATCACGCCCAACTAATTTTTGTATTTTTAGTAGAAACGAGGTTTCACCATGTTGGTCAGGATGGTCTTGAACTCCTGACCTCAGGTGATCCAACCACCTTGACCTCCCAAAGTGCTAGGATTACAGGCATGAGCCATGGTGCCTGGCCTGCTTTTTTTTTTTTTTTTTTTGAGACGGAGTCCTGCTCAGTCGCCCAGGCTGGAGTACAGTGGCATGATCTCAGCTCACTGCAACCTCCGCCTCCCAGGTTTAAGCAATTCTTGTGCCTCAGCCTCCGGAGTAGCTGGAATTACAGACATGTGCCACCACACCTGGCTAATTTTTCTTTTTCAGACAGAGTCTCGCTCTGTCTCCCAGGCTGGAATGCAGTGGCCCGATCTTGGCTCACTGCAACCTCCATCTCCTGGGTTCAAGTGATTATCCTGCCTCAGCCTCCTAGATAGCTGGGACTACAGGCACATGCCACCACGCCAGGCTAATTGTTTTATTTTATTTATTTATTTATTTTATTTATTTATTTTTATTATTATTATTTTGAGATGGAGTCTTGTTCTGTCGCCCAGGCTGGAGTGCAGTTGCCCAGGCAACTTGCACTGTTGCCCAGGCTGGAGTGCAGTGGTGCCATCTCAGCTCACTGCAACTTCCACCTCCCAGGTTTAAGCAATTCTCCCACCTCAGCCTCCCAAGTAGCTGGGATTACAGGTGCTTGCCACCACACCCATCCAAATTTTGTATTTTTAGTAGGGATGGGGTTTCACCATGTTGACCAGGCTGGTCTCGAACTCCTGACCTCAGGTGATCTGCCTGCCTCGGCCTCCCAAAGTGCTGGGATTATAGGTGGGAGCCACCACTCCCAACTGAATTTTGAATTTTCGATCTAGATATTCTAGATATTCCTGATTTATGGTTTTTTTTTTTTGAGACAGAGTCTCACTCTGTCGCCCAGGCTGGAGTGCCAGTGGCGCCATCTCCGCTCACCGCAAGCTCCACCTCCCGGGTACACGCCATTCTCCTGCCTCAGCCTTCCCAGTAGCTGGGACTACAGGCGCCCGCCACCACACCCAGCTAATTTTTTTATATTTTTAGTAGAGACGGGGTTTCACCGTGTTAGGCAGGATAGTCTCGATCTCCTGACCTCGTGATCTGCCCACCTCAGCCTTCCAAAGGGCTGGGATTACAGGCGTGAGCCACCGCGCCCGGCCTAATGTCTATGCTCCTCAAATGTCTTTTGAGTTTGGCCTGTGAGGTTATTTTTCCTGTGATGGCTGTGATATTGGAGAAGATGTGTACTGGCCTCGGAGTTCCCCATCGTCCCCTCTGTGTTTGTCAGTTGGGCTCTAGTGGCCTATCTCCCTGGCACAACACCCCACCCTACCCCTGAGGCTGCAGGGTGTGCAGTGCCAGGGTGGGAGCTATACGGAAACTTTGCAGAGCAAAGAGGTAGACTAAGAGGGCACCTGTTCATTCTTTATTTGAAAAATGTGTTGGGACCGGGAGCAGTGGCTCACGACTGTAATCCTAGCACTTTAGGAGAGGCCAAGGTGGGAGGATCGCTGAGCCCAGGAGTTTGAGACCAGCCTGTGCAGCAAAGTGAGACCCTGTCTCTATGAGAAATGAATAAATAAAATTAGCTGGGCATGGTGGCATCTTAGCTACTTGGGAGGCTGAGGGGAGAGGATCATTTGAGGAGTTTGAGGCTGCAGTGAGCTGTGATTGCACCACTGCACTCCAGCCCAAAGTGACAGAGCAAGACCCTCTCTCTAAATTAAAACAAACAAACAAACACCTCTAAGATCTTAAAAAAAAAAAATGTGTTGGGGCCAGCCAGGTTTTGAGGATACCAGAGTGACAAGACCGACAGGGTCCTGCCCTTGCAAAGTCCACAGTATAGATAGAATCTTAATCAGTGATTTCCACCAATCCATTTCTGCCTGCAATGGGAACTATGAAGGGAAAGGCTCAGGGCAGCCCAGTCCAGATGAGGGGTGGGGTGGGGTGGCAGGGCATGTGTCTGAGAAATCTGAGGGGAGGTGGTGCTCCCCACCAAGACCTCCTGGATCAGGAGGTTTTTTGTTTGTTTGTTTGTTTTTGAGATAGAGTCTTGCTCTGTTGCCCAGGCTGGAGTGCAATGGCACTATCTCGGCTCACTGCAACCTCTGCCTCCGTGGTTCAAGTGATTCTCCTGCCTCAGCCTCCCGAGTAGCTGGGATTACAGGCACCTGCCACCACACCCAGCTAATTTTTGTATTTTTATTAGAGACGGGGTTTCACCATGCTGGCCAGGCTGGTCTCGAACTCCCAGCCTCAGGCGATCCACCCGCCTTGGCCTCCCAAAGTTCTGGGATTACAGGCTTGAGCCACCAGGCCGGCCTTGGAGGTTTTTTGTCTGTTTGAGACAGTGTTTCGCTCTTGCTGGAGTGCAATGGCGCCATCTCGGTTCACTGAAACCTCTGCCTCCCGGGTTCAAGTGATTCTCCTGCCTCAGCCTCCCAACTAGCTGGGATTACAAGCACCCGCCACCACGCCCAGCTAATTTTTTTGTATTTTTAGTAGAGACGGGGTTTCACTATTTGACCACGCTGGTCTCAAACTCCTGACCTCAGGTGATCCTCCCGCCTCAGCCTCCCAAAGTGTTGGGATTACCGGCGTGAGCCACCGCGCCAGGCCTGGATCAGGAATTTGATAAGTGAGGGTAGGGACAGAGGCTAGGTAGATGTCCCCCAGAGTGAACAGTGGGTGATGCCCAGAAACTATAGGTCTCAGGTGAGAGAGAGAGATTTGAAGGGCTGAGGCTGCGAGGTGGGTGGCGAGGGATGCGCCTGCAGAGGTCGGGGTCCGGCCGCATTGGGCAGGGCCTTATGGGCCCGGAGCTAGTAGGATTTTCCTTCAGAAGAGGCGGCTCTACGTGAGCAGGGGCGAGGGCAGGGAGTCCAGTAGGAAGGCCGCTACTGTGGGCGGCCGAAGGTGGCGTGAGGGGCGGGGGGGTCAGGTCGGCGGGCCCGCTGCGGGGGCCCTGGGGGAGGGGTCAGAGGGTGGTAAGCTCGGGGGTCGTCTTGCGGGGCCCAGCGGCTCTGATTCCGTACCCCCCACCCCAAGGGCTGGAGGCTGGCAGTAGGCGTAGTCAGAGGACGCCACCCGAGCCACGCGAGGGAGAAGAGTGGAGATAGACAAGTAAGATGGGCTCTGGGGTTTTCTGATAGAGAAAAAAATAGTAAAGCCAGCTAGATAAGTAATCTGAAGCAGTGGAGAAGAAAGTGAAAGAAACGTTAAAAGCAAATAAGTAAACGGCTTGGATAGAGGAACACCCAGGAGGCGAGATAGAGAAAGTTAAAATGAAGGGACTTGGCTACAGCACCCAGTGCACTGTCCCAAAAAGGCAAGCGAGGCAAGCGGGGCGGGGAAGGGTGGGTGTGCGTGTTCTTCCTGCGGAGGACGCAGCAGCCCCTGGGGAGGGACCGAGAATCCCCAGCTGCCTCCAACAGGAGAGGCTGCAGCTAGAGGGCCCAGGGCTGGGACGGGACCTTCGCGGGGGTCTGGTTCCCAGGGTCGCGGAGAAATGGGATGCAGACGCTGGAAATGGGAAGGAGGTATACGGGGTTGGTGGGAGGCCCTGGGCAGGTGGCTTCTGCAGTCCTGGGCCGGTCCGGCCTACCCTGCCCCGTCCCTAAGTAACAGAGCGCTTCGTAAGCCCAGGGCGCAGAGCCAGGACACTCCGCGACCCATCTCACGGAGCCCTAAAACAACCCCGAGGTGGAAGTGTGTTTCCCCCATTTTACAAATGTTGCATCTGGGGCTCAGAGAGGGCGGCCTCTCACCCGAGGTCACACAGGAATCGGGCCCGCCCCCAGGCCGTGGAGCCACTAGGAGTGCTCCCGCCCAGGGGTCTTCCCGCCACCAGGGCCCCCGCTCTGGGAGGAGCCGGCCGAGCCCCTCCCGCTCTCCGCCCCCGAGGGGCGGCCCGGGGGGCGGGCGGAGGAAGTGAGCGCAGCGGGGAGGAATGCGAGCGGGCGGGGCGTGTCGGCCCGGGGCGGCGGGGACAGCGGCGGGGACAGCGGCGGGCGGCTGGGACGGCGGGTGCGGCGGGGCCGAGCCCGCACGATGCCTCACTTCACCGTGGTGCCAGTGGACGGGCCGAGGCGCGGCGACTATGACAACCTCGAGGGGCTCAGTTGGGTGGACTACGGGGAGCGCGCCGAGCTGGATGACTCGGACGGTGAGGGCGCGTTCTGAGGGGCCGTGGCGGGGCAGCGGGGCCTGCCACCCGGGGCCGCCATCCCGGGCCCGCGCCCGCACCTATCCCGGGACCTTGCGCGCACACGTCGGTGCGGACTCAACTTTTTTTGGACCGCGCCGCTGCCACTGGCTCCCCGCCCTGCGCGCGCAGACACGATTTTCCTCGGCCCCCGGCGCCCGCGCCCGGCCGCTTTCTCCACCCCAGCTCCTCCCCTGTGGGCCCCGGGCGGGGGCTGCAGACGTGGCCGCCCAGGGAGGCCAGCCGGCCGGGCCGCCCGGCTTGGGGACAGGGCCGAGACCCCATCTCAGGCCCTTCCCGGCCCTTCAACTTCGGTGAATCCCACATCCTTTTCTCGCCTCGGTTCCTCATTTGAGATTCAGCGTCTTTGCCTTTGAGACGATCCGCTCCCCAACTGCCCAAACCCCTCCGTGTGCCTCTCTGCGCCTACCTGCACTCTGGCCAGAGTGTGCCTACTGGGGGGTCTATGGGTAACTGCCCGTGAGTGCGCCGGTGTAGATCTGTAGGGACAGTGGGCCTCAGTGAAGCACTCACATGGAGCCGGACGTGTCTAGGCACTTGAAGTGAGTTAACTCGTTTAATCCTCCAGCATCACCCTTGGGATAAGTACTGTTACTCTCATTAGGAAGCAGTGAAGGGAGGGGTGGCGGTTATATAACTTGCCCAGGGGCAGTCAAGCCTGGGTTTGAGATTCCAGCACCTTAACTCTTTAACTTAGGTGCCAGGGCCGAGAGGTAAGCCCCATCTCCCTCCTCCTTCCTCCCAGGTGCCCGCGTCTCTCCACAGCCCTTTCTCTATCTCCTACCCCAGGAGGCCCCCCAGAGGGCTGTTCTTGTTAAGGCCCACCCTCGGAGCACGAACACGGCTGAGGACATGTGTCTGTGTACGTAGTGGCATATGCATGTGTAATTGTGCTTGTACAAGTGTGTAGCTGTGGGTATCACAGGGTGAAGGCTGGTTCAGGTCAGGGCATTCTCACAGCCCCTGTTTCCTGCAGGGTTGACAGTGATGAGGATGGTGATTTGACTGATGATAAATGCCTGTGATATCTGTGACCGATCATGATGGAGATATGTAGGAAGTGTGTGGTTGACACGTGTCAGGTGACGTTGTCTGGACCTCTGATCCATCTGTGATGGTGACACGACTGAGATGATCCATGCCCAATGTGAATGATGGCTATGTGTGTGTATCACTTGACTGCCATGTGCAGAGGTAGCACAGGACAGTGGCATGGGCTGCTGGACATTGCAGAGGTTTTACAGGCTTGACAGCTGTGTGAGTGCCCCAGCCTCCATGCCCTTGTCTGCCCCTAGCTTGATTCAAGTGGTCAAAGCAAAAGCCAGCATTCCTGCTTCCCTAACCCTGGGAGGACCTCTCTCCCCAGAGGGTAGACTGGGCTGCATCCCCAGGATCAGCCTGGACCAGTGGGCAGGCAGAGCTGAGCCTAGCTGCTGGCCCCACCTTGGCCACGCCTTGGCCCCTACAGGGTGACTGGAGGGACCTGGAGCTACATTGGCTGAGTCCTGCTAGATCCCCGCAAGCTAGGCCAGCTCCTCCCACTGCCTCCCTTCCTCTTTCTCCTCCTCTTACTCCTTTCCAGCCAGACCTTGGCTGTCTACAGGATGGGGGACACCCTGAGCCCCGGTGAGTGATTTTGATCCTTGGTGGGGACTGCAAAGGGTCAGAGGGCACAAAGCACAGTGAGCCTCAGATCTATCTCCTGCCCCTTCCCCAGTTCAGTGCCCACACCTCTGCTCTGGGAGGCCTAGATGGGCTTGCTCATCCAGCCCACCTTGGCCTGTGGGCAGGGGGTAGGGAGGTGCTGGAGGGGGCACCTCAGGCAGATGTCCGTGTACACAGGGATCAGGAGGGTCACCTGGATCCCCACCTGCCACTGGTGCAGTCACAGTTGCTGGTGGGAACACAGTTGTGTAGCTCACAGGCAGTCCCTAGGCCTAGGCCATATTCAGATTTACTGGGGATCTCAGGTGGTGTCTGAGCAGCTTCAGCCTGGCAGGCATGTCCAGACCTGCCCTGGAATTTTTGGAATGGCTGAGGCCAGAACAGGAGGTCTGAAGCCGAGGGCAGTACAGACATCCAGGCACTACTTAGACCCTTACATTCCCACAAGCCCTTGGGAGCTTTGGGGGAACTCCGAGGAGTGCCCACTGGGCGTCTGGCACTAACTGTCCCTTTTCTAGTGCATCTGGGCAGTTGGAAAAACAAGTGTTACAATCTCCACTTCATAGAAGAGGAAACCAAGGCCGCACAGGGAGTAAGCATGTCTCCCTGGGTCACACGGGGGAAGGTCTGGGAATCCAAGCCAGTCTGCCGCAGTCTGAATGCCCAGAGGCCTAGGTATGCGTACCCTGGCCAAATTGCAGCACTCTTCTCTATTTTTAAAGATTGTGCTGCATAGATGGACTGGAGTCTGTAGTAGGAACGGAACCTGCAGCTCCGCCCCTACAGGGCTCTGATGGACCCTGGGACCCAGATGTGGCCTTCTCCCTGGGTGACCTTGCCTCTGAACATCTTTGAGCTTCACTCTCCTTGTCCCTAAAAGGTAGTAAATGCTCTCTACTGGAATGTTGCTGTGAGAACTAGAGACAACTTTTGGAAGGGCCCCGAGCCATCCTAGAGTGATAGCTGAAGGGACAAGGGATAGGCTAGGTCTTAGAGGACCATTTACAGGCATTTGTGGGGAGCTGCTGTGTGCTCAGCTGTATATTTTCTGGATAGCAATACAGTCTACCCAGAAAGACCAGGCAACAGTGATGGGGCAGGCTGTAGTACATGAGTTTAGAATAAATTATAATTGATTTCCAGCCTACTTCCACAAAAGAATCAGAAGAAATAGCCAACAAAAGTGTCTCCCCAAGTGATTGTTACTCTCAGGAAGATTGAAAACCATGCAGAGGAAGGGGGCAAGCACTCAGGTGAGACAGATGGTGACTTTATCTAAAGAGTAAATTTAGCTTGGAGATTCCTGGCAGCCAAAGCAGAAAGAGAAGTAAGACGAGCTGTATAACTGGCATTTTCTGACAAAATGAAGCACCTGATTTATCAAAGGGAGACACTTTTTTTGTCACAAAAATCCAAAAGTAATTTTCAAAGGCTTTTCACTGAAGAGCCATTAATGTCATTAATGTAAGAGGCAGAGTGTTACTGGGTTTTCAGATTTTTCTTGGGACTCCTTCTGATCCTGAACAAGCATGGAGGGTACAGCAGATATCATAGAGTGTCCGACATGACCCCGCCTGGCTTTAACATGACACGGTGGACTGTCTTGACCTCTGGCTGCCTTTGTCCACTGTGCCATTGGCATTGACCTATGTGAATGTGGGGCTGAGCTGCTTGGCTCACTTAGCTAGTCCAGGTTGCTGGGTGTAGCAGGTGTGCCACTTTCACATGCTGTGGGAAGGAAGAACTGACTTTGCCCCAGAAACTGTCATGGGCACACTTGATTTGTTAGTTTCCTTGGGGGATAAAGAATCCACAGCACAGCACCTGCTGAGTGGTTGTTGGCTCAGAGAAAGCAATTGAAGCCTCATGCTGATAGCAAGAGATGTATCAGATACAGGAGGATGCCTCAATCAGCATTCTCAGCTGCAGTCAAGAAAAATGAATTGTGGCCTATGTAAACAGAAAAGGTTGGCGGGCATGGCCAGTGCATGGCCCAATCACACCACTAGCCTGGGCTGGTGGTGACAGTTCTGTTGCCATCTCCATCACTGGACACCATGCCAGTCCTTCTCATGTCAGAACTACATACTGCTGCCATCCAACACCAAGATGTGTGCTTTCCATTTGCTGTGAGGCCTTGAGCCAGGGCCGGGGCTGCGAGGGTAGCTGGGGTGGAGGGAACACTCAGCACCTAGAAAACGAGTGCTTGGCGTTCTGCTTGGTGGGAAGCTGGGAATGGCACCCACCGAGACTCATAAGGGACAAGAGTTGGAAAACAGGGAAGAATGAATGATAGGAGGCCAGAAAAAACAGTCGAGCTTTGGGAGTTGAGGCAGGCTTATTGAAAAGGAGCATTTCACTCCTTTTGGCGAGATTTCTCAGAGCTGGGGCACTGGCTCATCAGCCTAGGGCTGTAGGCGGAGGTTTGCCTGGGGCAAGCGGCGGGATCTGCGGGCAAGGGGGCCATTGTGTTGCTCCTGCCAGCAGTCCCAGCTCCCATTTTTCTCCCTGCTCAGTCCGACACCCACCCGTCCGACTTTCTTAGGCAACCCTAGAAGGCTCCTGGAATCCACTTCCGCTCTCCACGGCCTGGGGCTTGCCCCACCTCCCGGCATGCCCCGGGCTGCCCTGCAGGACGCCCCCCGCGCAGTGCATGGTGGGGTAGCCAGCCGGCCACCTTTGGGCCATGGCAGCCGAAGGTGCTGTGTGCGGCTTCGTCTATCTGGAGGGCACTGCCTGGGCGGTCCCTGAGGACACCGAACCCTTGGCATCCTGCACATTGGGTACTCCGGAAAGACCGGGAAAGGGACTGGGGCGTGGAGGCGATCTGGGGGCGGGTCAAACGCTGGCCCCGCCCCTCTGCAGGCCCCGTCCCTCAGTGTCCATACGTGCTTGTGCTAGGGCGCCTGCGCCCTCACCTGGATTCCCTTCACTGGAGGGAATGATGTCCCAGGTTTTGGTCACTGGCCTCTCTCTGGCTATCCCTGGGCCTTCAAGAGCATTGGCACGGTGCCATGTGAAAACTGAGTTGCAACCTGGTGACACTGCAGCTCCAAAGTGCTCCACAGAAATGATTTGGGGACTGGCTTTCTGGGAAGGGGCCCAGGCTGGGGGGCTCAGGAAGCAGGCCCTGATTGTCCCTCTCTCTTCACAGGACATGGCAACCACAGAGAGAGCAGCCCTTTTCTTTCCCCCTTGGAGGCTTCCAGAGGAATTGACTACTATGACAGGAACCTGGCACTGTTTGAGGTAGCTGAGGAGCCATTTTGGGCCACAGGTTTGGCACACAGAGGCTTTAGCTAAGCAGGCAGGCTGGACACGTGGGCCTCCTCTGTCTTGCTCTTCCTCTCATCTCCTCTTGTGTTCCTGGTTCTCATGGCAGCCGGGCTGCAGTTCCCTTGGCCCTTTCAACTGAAACTGCCTTTCCAGAGGCCACTCACAATCCCACCCCCATTGCTACCTCCAGGGTGGTTCACCTCTGACTTCCTTACAACCCCTCAGCAAGGAAACGCCCGCTTAGGATTTCCCAACTCAGGATTTCTCCTCTTCCTTCCACTCCTGGTTCTTCTCCAAGTCCATGGTTCTTCGCTCTCCCATGGATTCTTCCTTGTCTTTCTTGGTTGACCCTTCCAGCTCTGTCCCTCTCTAGTTCCCTGAGTCCTGGTCCATTTGCAGCTTTAGGGGATACGTCTCTGGAAAGATTCCCAAATATCTGCCTCTGTACTTGAGTTTTATCTTCTTCAGACTCAAGCTGAGCAGTGAGATCTGGATTTAAGACGTAGTTTAAGCTCCTAAACTCTGACCCATGCATTCAGCCACTGCATGGCTGAGTAATGGAGACTCCTTAATCTGCCTTTTTTTTCTCTTTCTTCATTTTGAGATGGAGTCTCACTCTGTCGCCCCAGGCTGGAGTGCAGTGACGCGATCTCAGCTCATTGCAACCTCTGCCTTCCAAGCTCAGCGATTCTCCTGCCTCAGCCTCCCGAGTAGCTGGGATTACAGGTGCCCACCACATGCCTGGCTAATTTTTGTGTTTTTAGAGACGGGGTTTCACCGTGTTGGCCAGGCTGGTCTTGAACTCCTGACTTCTAGTGATCCTCCTGCTCAGCCTCTCAAAGTGCTGGAATTACTGCTGTGAGCCACCACATCTGGCCGAGGCTCCTTAATCTCCACATGCCCCCAAGGGCCCTCGTCTTCCTTTCTCACACCAAAGCAACTTCTCCCTGTGTGTAGGTCAGAAAGGAGCTGACAGAGAGGGAAAAGCTAAATGTGGGCAGGAGGCAGGTAGAAGCACAGCCTCGAGAAGGCTGCAGGAGCAGGGATCATCGCCTAGACCCCGGTGGGGCTGGGGGACCTGAGCTCTGGGAGGCCTCCTGACCTGGGAAAGCAGCAAGGTTCTGCGGTGAAGGCCTTGGCCCAGCCCCGCCTGAGGATGGGCTGGAGGATCAGGATCCCATCTCCGCGATTGATGTGGGTACTTGCAGGACTGGGGTCAGGGGAAGACCATCCAGGGAGATCAGGGTTTGGGCAGACAAGGGAGACTTCACTTGTCCCAGACATCACTCTTTTGCCCTCTTTGGTTCCCTGAGGTGACTAGAGTGGCTTTTTTGTGGGGAGGGTAGGCGTGAGTCCTAGAGGTGCAGCCATAGCCAGGAGGTGGCTGGGCAGAGCAGGCAGGATGAAGTATGCCATTGCCCCCCTGCCAGCCGTGTTCTTCCCTGCCCTCTCTCCCCTGAGGCAGGTGGTTTTCACAAATGGGCTGGCAGTGATTGTAGCCAAGGCGGGGTAGAGAGAAGCAGCCGCGGGGCTGGGCCTTTGAGTGCCACGTGCTGGGGTGTGGTGTGCACACCTGTCCAGTTGGATGGCTTGGACTTCCCCAGGTAGGAACTGGGATCAGGCCCAGGCCTGTCTCAGGGCTTGGAACAGGGCCAGGGACCAGGCAGCTGGCTCCACACAGCTGGCACCCACCTGGCCCAATGCCATCTTGCCCTGTGGCTCTGTTTGCAGGAAGAGCTGGACATCCGCCCAAAGGTATCGTCTCTTCTGGGAAAGCTCGTCAGCTACACCAACCTCACCCAGGGCGCCAAAGAGCATGAGGAGGCCGAGAGTGGGGAGGGCACCCGCCGGAGGGCAGCCGAGGTGAGCTGGTTGGGGCGGCAGAGGGGCCACACCTGGGAAGACAGACACAGCACCATGGAATTGACTGTTTCCCCACATGGTGGTGAGCACACTGGGGGAAGTGGGTGCCAAGCATAGTGAGCAGGGAGGATGGGCACTGAATGCCTTGTCTCAGGAGGCTTTAAGAAGTGACCTAATGAGAATCCCCCCGGGGGGCAGAGGGCCAGGGAGCCCCTCAGGAATGACAGCAGGAGACACAGCTGCCTGTACTCAGCCTTTACTGTGTGCGAGGTACCACACCAGGCCTGGGTTCTCATATGTCATCTGTACAACAAAACCAAGAGGCAGGTGCTTACTATCATCCCCATTTTTCAGACAAGGAAATAGTGTCAGGGACATTAAGGAACTTGTCTAAGGTGACTGAGCTAGACAAGATCAATGTGTAATGCTGGGAGATGGATTCGTAGATTTTATGGGAGACAGATTTGTGGGATATGTAACTATGCAAAATGCCAGATCAGTGACATTGTGTGAGGCTGGCTAAGAGTGTTGCCCTTGGAGCCAGGAACCAGGTTGTCTCTCGGAGGTCATGCAATCCAGAGCAAGTCACAAACCCTCCTGCTGCTCGCAGTGTTGGCCCAAGGCTCTATTGGCAGAAGCCTCCAACAACCCCCTGGGTTCCTTGAGTGCCAGTGTCAGGGGACATGTGTATGTGATCGGAGCCTGATGCTGCCTTGTGGGGCTTTCCTGTCCCACTTTTTGGTCACTAATCCAGTTCTCTGGCCCTTCAGCCCTCTTCTCTTTGGGGTGACTGTTACCTCTTTGCCTAGCTCCTCTGTGTCATTGCGGCTCAGTGTAGCTGAGGGCTGGGGATTTTTCTACATTTTTCATTTGGAGGCTAGGGACCCTCCCTCTCCACACACTGACTCCCTGAGGTTTGGGAAGCAGTGGTGTTTTAAGAGGAGCTGACGTCTGGCACTGGCTGTAGTATTCTCAGAGGTCGGCACAAGCAGAAGGCGCTCCTGGCTGGGATAAGCCAGGCCTGCAGCCTCACACCTGGTCGTGAGATTTGGGCCTTTCTGGGGTGGGGCCAGCAGAGAAGGTAGACCCCACTGAAGCGCGTCTCTCACCTTGCCCTTCAGGGAGGCAAACCAGCCCACACTTCAGAGAGGGCAGCTGATACCTTGAGGTCGCACAGACCTGACCCTGACCCTGTGCAGCCAGGTGTGACTAGATAGCAGAGAACCCTAACTGCGTCTGGCCATGTCTGTCCAGCACTGCAGGGGTGTCTCAACCTCTGAGAGTGCTCTGCCCACAGTGGGTGACAGGATCCTTAGGTCAGAGCCTCATCCTTGTCCCTTCAGGCCAAGCCAGGGAGCTGGTGGCGGGGAGTGAAGAGGCCCCTGAGAACGGCTAGTGCACATCTCAGCAGGAATGTGGGAGGGATGCCTGGGCCAGAGAGAGCCCATCATCCCTTGGCCCAATGGGGAACCCGTGAGGATGCTTAGCTTAGCTATCCAGCTTACCTGGCCACAGGGTAAGGATGGGAGAGGGTGACTGGGTGTCTTAGCTGCAGTAGTTTTTTCATGGAAGAAGGAGGAGCTGGGTCAAGTCTTTAAGGAGTCAGTAGGAAGTTAGGGATCTGGGGCTGCTGAGCTGTGGTCCTCACCCAGGGCAGGCCCGAGCAGGGGCCTCGGAAAAGGAAGGCTTGAAGCAGGAAGGGTGGGCCTCCGACCAGACCATGCCAAGACCCAAAGCAGCCTCTCCCCAGCAGCTGCTCCAGCTCCAGCACCGGCTTGATGACCTTCTGAGGCTGCCAGAGGTTATTTGGGGATGCAGAAAGCATTTCCGGCCCACCCTGCCCTTTCCCACACTGTCCTTTTCTTAGAGTGACTCAGCCTGGGATGGGGGTGGGACTGGGAGCTCTTGCTGTCGCTATTCTGTGGGTGGCATCCTCTGAGAAGGGCTCAGACAAAGCCCAGATGAGGGGGATCCGTCCCCTGCACTGCTCCACGCAGGACAGGTTGAGGAGCCATTTGTTTTTGCTGAGGCTCTTCTGAAGTCCTTTAGGTCGCTCACAGGTCTTGCCCCAGGCCAGGACCCTTCAGGAGGGGCATTAAGGAACTTGTCTAAGGTGACTCAGCTAGACAAGATCATGGCCATGGAGTTCTCTTCTCCCTAGCTTCAGGGCAGCACGGGCACTGTCTCGTGGGTCTTCCCTGTCCCCTCTCCCCGTATGATTTTCACTAATCTAGTCCTTTGGATCAGTGAGGAGGCTTTGCTGGGGCTCCAGTGGAAGCTGTCAGGGCCACACTTCGGAGGCTGCACTCTTGGGGGCTCAGTGCCTCAAAAAGATGTCAGCCAGCCTCTGTGCTCTCAGCCTCTGCCCTGGCCTCCTGGCTGGCCCCTACTCTGCCCTGAGTTGAGAAAGCCTGCCTGGATTTGCGTATTAGATCTTCCTCACCTGCCCTACAGCCTGAGCACTTTCTCTGTAGGATTTTCCCAACAGGATGTCCCAGGGGCTTCCAAAGCACCACTCACTGGGTTCAGAAGCACCTTTTGGGTACCTGCAGGGCCTGCTGGTGATAGAACCATAAACAAGCCAAGCCTGCCCTAATATAGTAACAAAATATACAAGCACATTCTGTTACCATGACCTGTAGTGACCACTGTGATAGGGAGTATCAGATGCCAAAGGAATGTGAGAGGGAGAACCAACTCCACCTGAGGCAACCTTCGGACATCTTCCCGAGAGAGGTAACAGTTTCACTGAAGAGTTTGCCAGGCCGTGAGGCAGGGCCGACTCTCCCAGGCAGAGTCCAGCACATTCTCAGGTTCGCAGAATCTGAGGGACCCATGTGGTCAGGGGCTGGAGCTAATAAGAGAGGTGATGGGACACATCTGGTGGCCCAAGCCAAGGAGTTGGACGGCACACTGGATTACAAGACAACAGAGGGTTTTCAGCATGGGTGATGAGATTAGACTTGCTTTCAGAGACCTACTATAGCAGCAGAGTGGGCTGGAGTGTGGAGAGGTTGACAGGCTCAGGAGGGTACCACCCAGGTGCCCCAGGTTCAAGGGACTAAGGCTGGGACAAGGCAGGCTGATCTCAGGGCAGCAGGGAGACAGACTGGGTAGGAGTTAGTGTCTACCGGGACTAGAGTTGGGGGTTGAGAGGGAGGGCCAGGGATGACTTCTGGGACTTTGGCTTGGGTGACTTAGGGCCTGCTGGGTGAGAAGGTGGAGATCTGAGACAAACCTCTCTTTCTAGAAGTTTAACAGAAGAGAGGAAGGGAAGGAGGCAGTACCTTGAGAGAGAGTTAAGGTTCCAAAGTTCAATGTGGGTTTTTAAAAAGAATCAGGTTTTACACCTTCCCAGACTCAACTGTCTTCCTATATGAAAGTCAATAGAGACATCCTAGCTGTCACCCCTACTCTCTGTGTTCCCTGGGGCCCCACTGGGGGAGGGGGCCTGCTGAGTGACTAGGGCTGACTCTCCATGGTGCATCCCTCTGATGCTCTACTCGCCCCCTCCCTTTGTGTTCGCATAGGCACCCAGCATGGGCACCCTCATGGGGGTGTACCTGCCCTGCCTGCAGAATATCTTTGGGGTTATCCTCTTCCTGCGGCTGACCTGGATGGTGGGCACAGCAGGTGTGCTACAGGCCCTCCTCATCGTGCTTATCTGCTGCTGTTGTGTGAGTGTCCTGGCGTGGGAGGGTTGGGCTGGGCATGGGCCACGGCTGCCCCCACAGAGCCCACCCAGCTGAGCCGCTCACCCAGGCCCTCCTTCCCACAGACCCTGCTGACGGCCATCTCCATGAGTGCCATCGCCACCAACGGTGTGGTTCCAGGTCAGTGAGCGCCACCCAAGGCCTGGTGGAAGAGAAAAGGACCCAGTATCTGCCTTGACCTACCTGGGAACCCCCATAGCACACCCCTGCCCCAAGCAGTTCTGTAGTGGGCTCCCAATCCCTGATGCCAGGACAGTGCCCACGTAGGAGCTTTCCTGCTTGACAGAGTTGGAGAGTGCCATTGTGGTTTTTGTTAATATAAAAGCAATACCAAAAAAGAAAAAAAAAGGGCAATGTATGTTTACTGTAAGAGGGTTTGAAAGTGCAAAAAAAGGCCAGGCGCGGTGGCTCATGCCTGTAATCCCAGCACTTTGGGAGGCCGAGGTGGGTGGATCACAAGGGCAGGAGATCGAGACCATCCTGGCCAACACGGTGAAACCCCATCTCTACTAGAAATACAAAAAATTAGCCGGGCGTGGTGGCGGGCGCCTGTAGTCCCAGCTACTCGGGAGGCTGAGGCAGGAGAATGGCGTGAACCTGGCAGGCAGAGCTTGCGGTGAGCCGAGATTGCACCACTGCACTCCAGCCTGGGCGACAGAGCGAGACTCCGTCGCAAAAAAAAAAAAAAAAAATTAGCCAGGCATGGTGGTGGGCACTTGTAATTCCAGCTACTTGGGAGGCTGAGGCAGAGAATAGCTTGAACCCAGGAGGCAGAGGTTGCAGTAGTGAGCCAAGATCATGCCACTGCACTCCAGCTTGGGTGACAGAGCAAGACTCCATCTCCAAAATAAATAAATAAATAATAAAAAAGTGCAGAAAGGTATAGAATGGAAAATTAAAAGCACCCATAATCCCACCATCCTGAAATCACTACTGTTCGCCTTTTGGTATATATAAGTCTTAGGGTCTTATGAAGTATTGCACACGCACACTCTATTTACATAAATTGTATATATATATATATATATGTGTGTGTGTGTTTGTGTGTATTTCCCAAAAGTATATGTGTGTATATATACATATGCATTTATGTGTATATGTTTACGTGTGTATGTGTGTGTGTATGTTTCCCAAGTGTTGAAAACAGTTTTTTGATTTTGGTTTTTTGGGTTTTTTTTGAGACAGAGTCTCTCTCTGTCACCCAGGCTGGAGTGCAGTGGCATGATCTCAGCTCACTGCAACCTCCATTTCCCAGGTTTAAGCAATTCTAAGTGATTCTCATGCCTCAGCCTCCTGAGTAGCTGGGATTACAGGCGACCACCACATTTTTGTATTTTTAGTAGAGACGAGGTTTCACTATGTTGGCCAGGATGGTTTCGAACTCTTGACCTTAACTGATCCACCCACCTCTGCCTCTCAAAGTGCTGGGATTACGGGTGTGAGCCACTGCACCCTGCCGAAAATGGTTTTTTGAAAACAGGATTCTCCATGGTACACCATAACCTAATTAATGTGATTATTCTCCTGCCTGTGGGTTCCACTTTTTCACCATTGTATACATTGTTGTCATGAACATCCTTGAACATGAATCTTTGTTCATGCCCCAGCAGTTCCCTTAGGAGAGGGTCCTGGAGGTGGATTACGGCATGAAAAAGATTGACTTTTCGTTTATTTATTTATTTATTTATTTTGAGACGGAGTGTGTCGCCCAGGCTGGAGTGCAGTGGCACGATCTCAGCTCACTGCAATCTCCACCTCCCAGGTTCAAGCGATTCTCCTGCCTCAGCCGCCCGAGTAGCTGGGATTACAGACATGCACCACCATGCTCAGCTAATTTTTGTATTTTTAGTAGAGATGGGGTTTCACCATGTTGGCTAGGCTGGTCTCAAACTCCTGACCTCAAGTCATCTGCCTGCCTCAGCCTCCCAAAGTGCTGGGATTACAGGCGTGAGCCACTGTGCCCAGCTGACATTTTTTTTTTTTTGAGACGGAGTCTCACTCTGTCGCCAGGCTAGAGTGAAGTGGCATGATCTCGGCTCACTGCACCCTCTGCCTCCCAGGTTCAAACGATTCTCCTGCCTCAGCCTCCTGAGTAGCTGGGACTACAGGTGCACACCGCCACGCCTAGCTAATTTTGTATTTTAGTAGAGACGGGGTTTCATCGTGTTGCCCAGGCTGGTCACGAACTCCTGAGCTCAGGCAGTCCACCCATCTCAGCCTCCCAAAATGCTGGGATTACAGATGTGGGCCACTGCACCCGGCCTTTTTTTAAAAATGTATATTTTTATCATTTCCTTTTTTTAGTAGAGACGGGGTCTCGCCATGTTGCCCAGACTGGTCTGGAACTCCTGAGCTCAAGCAATCCACTCACCCCAGCCTCCCAAAATGCTGGGCTTACAGGCATGAGCCACCACGCCCAGCCAAGATTGACTCTTTGAAAGAATTTCTTGATCCCTGTTCCCAGATTTTCACCAGAGACATTGTCTCAGCAGCAGATACAACCAGCAACATGAGATGACTCTTGTCCCCCTGTGCTTGTCACCCTGGGGCCTGGTCATGACTCTCTGAGTCTTTTAAGGGTGTTAGACTTTGATAGAAGCACAGATTCAGGGCAGGGAGCCGTGGACACTCACCTGGTGGCAGGCACTGTGCGGGGCCTTAGGGCCAAAAGGCTGGATGAGACAGTCCCTCCTCTGGTCTGGAGGAGTCAGACTAACAAAGGCACAGGCCTCAGGAGGGTGAGGTGGGCTGAGATAGGACACACCCAGCCAGAGGAGGCTGTGGGCTGTGCACAGGGCATTGGAGGATGGTGGCCAGTCAGCCACTGCTGCAGACTAGAGCTGCTCCCGCAAAGCAGTTATTTCCACGGGCCGTGCTGGACATTCGAGTCAGATGGGGATAGGATCGAATGTCAGCCTAGATGCTTACCCACCGTGCAGCCCTGGGTAGGTCTCCCAGCCCCTCTACTCATCCACAAACAGGAAAAGCAGTCCCTGTCCCTCTGGGTGGTTGTGCAGGCTTGTCACAGGGAGACCCCTTGAAGAAGAACCAGCCTTGACCTGTGCACACTTTCATTTCTCTGCTGTAGCTGGGGGCTCCTATTTCATGATCTCTCGTTCACTGGGGCCAGAATTTGGAGGTGCTGTGGGCCTGTGCTTCTACCTGGGAACAACATTCGCAGCAGCCATGTACATCCTGGGGGCCATCGAGATCTTGCTGGTGAGTCAGGCTGAGCCCTGGCCAACTCTGGCCATGTCCAAACAGTCCCTTTGGACTCCAAACAGAAGGCTCAGGCTGTTCATCCCCACATGTCTGGCCAAGGCCTGGGTATTATAAAGTAGGAAGCCTCTTCGAGAGACAAAGACCTTTACTCAGGCTGGTCTTCCTTTCACCTCCATGCCAGTTTGGGCCAGGCAAGGCAGAGGCCTGGCTGCCTTCACCTCGGCCCTGGATGTTCCATCCACCTGGGCACCATTGCAGCCATGGCAAGGGTTCCAGGAACTGTTGTATTCAGCTCAGTGACAGATCTTGGTGGTGATGTAGGCTTCCTTCTGGGCTTGTGTGAGCTCTGGCCAGCTCTGTGTCCTCCGGGGCTCTGTGCCAGGGCACTTCAGATCCACCTTCTCCTTGTCCTTCAATCAGGGTAAGCAGCCACAGAACCCTGCTGGAGGTCGGCGCTCCCTCCACGAGCCCCATGGGAGCTCTGTCAGCCTCAGCTTCTCATTCCCCAGTGAACTGCCGTACCAGTGGGAGAAGAGGCAAGGAGCTGCGGGAGGCATGGGGTGACAGGTGCCCGCCCCTGGGGATCCAGAGGGTAGGAGATACCTGGAGGGACTGCCTGGCTGTTCTTGTCTCCAGGTCCTCTACCTGCAGCAGGACCCTGCACCTGAATCTTCTGATTTGGGGGGGCTTTGGCTTGTTTTCATTTCTCATATCCCTTCTACATTCATTATGTGGGATTTGTCCCTTCTCCTGTTTATCTATTCAGCCATGTCATTATATCTGTATGGACTTCTGGATATTTACTTTATTCTTTGGGTTGTAATCCAATACTATCATTATTTATTTTCTTGCTCAAACTGTTCCACTTTGGCTATTTAACGATTCAGGTTGGCATCTATGTTTGGATCCTTTTTGTTTGCTTGTTTTTAAGTAACAGCTTTATTAACATATAATTTACATACCATGCAATTCCCATACCAATTTATATACCATTGAAAGTGTACAATTCAATGTTTTATAGTATATTCACAGAGTTGCGCAGTCAATTCTAGAACATTTTCATCATCCCAAGAACCCCCATTAGCAGTCACTCTCCATTCCCCGCCAGCCCTGGCAACCAGGAATCTGCTTTCTGCCTTGGGATTTGCCTATTCTGGGCATCTCATATAAACAGAATCATATAATATGTGACCTTTTGTGACTGGCTTCTTTTAGGTACTCTTATTTTTTATTTTTATTTATTTATTTGTTTTGAGATGCAGTCTCACTCTGTCGCCCAAGCTGGAGTGCAGTGGCATGATCACAGCTCACTGCAATTTCCGCCTCCTGGGTTCAAGTGATTCTCCTGCCTCAGCCTCCCGAGTAGCTGGGATTACAGGCTCATGCCACCACGCCCAGCTAATTTTTTGTATTTTAGTAGAGATGAGGTTTCACCAAGTTGCCTGGGGTTGTCTCGAACTCTTGAGCTCAGGCAGTCGGCCTCCCAGAGTGCTGGGATTATAGGCATGAGCCATTGCGCCCGGCCTATTCATTTATTTTTTTGAGACAAGGTCTCACTCTGTCACCCAGACTGGAGTGCCGTGGTGTGGTCTCTACTCACTGCAACCACCACCTCCGAGACTGAAGTGATTCTCCTGCCTCAGCCTCCCGAGTAGCTGGGATTACAGGCGTGTGCCACTACTACCAGTTTTTGCACCACTAATTTTTGTATTTTTAGTAGAGATGAGGTTTCACCATGTTGGCCAGGCTGGTCTCAAACTCCTGACCTCAAGTGATCCACCGCCTCAGCCTCCCAAAGTGCTGGGATTACAGGCGTGAGCCACGGCGCTGACCTATTTTTTATTTTTTTTTGAGACGGAGTCCCCCTCTGTCACCCAGGCTGGAGTGCAGTGGTGCGATCTCTGCTCACTGCAACCTCTGCTTCCTGGATTCAGGCGATCCTCCTGCCTCAGCCTCCAGTTGCTGGGATTACAGGCACGTGCCACCACGCCCGGCTAATTTTTAGTAGAGATGGCGTTTCCCCATGTTGGCCAGGCTAGTCATGATCTCCTGACCTCAAGTGATCCCCCACCTCAGCCTCCCAAAGTGCTGGGATTACAGGCGTGAGCCACTGCGCCCGGCCTCTTTTAGGTACTCGTAAAAAGAAAACCAAAACGACAAGTTTCACTTTCCAAATAAGAAATAAAACCCTCCTTATCCATCTTCTTGTTTCAGACCTACATTGCCCCACCAGCTGCCATTTTTTACCCATCGGGTGCTCATGACACGTCGAATGCCACTTTGAACAATATGCGTGTGTATGGGACCATTTTCCTGACCTTCATGACCCTGGTGGTGTTTGTGGGGGTCAAGTATGTGAACAAATTTGCCTCGCTCTTCCTGGCCTGTGTGATCATCTCCATCCTCTCCATCTATGCTGGGGGCATAAAGTCTATATTTGACCCTCCCGTGTTTCCGTAAGTAACCCAGGAATTTATCTGGGCATTGCATGGACATCCCTCCCATGTAGCCAGCCTTTGATGCCCCAGATCCCAGAGACTGCAGGGTGGGCACAGGCAGGGGCTTTGACCTGAGCAGGTGCCGGTGCTTCTGTCCCTCACAGGGTATGCATGCTGGGCAACAGGACCCTGTCCCGGGACCAGTTTGACATCTGTGCCAAGACAGCTGTAGTGGACAATGAGACAGTGGCCACCCAGCTATGGAGTTTCTTCTGCCACAGCCCCAACCTTACGACCGACTCCTGTGACCCCTACTTCATGCTCAACAATGTGACCGAGATCCCTGGCATCCCCGGGGCAGCTGCTGGTGTGCTCCAGGGTGGGTCCTCCCTCCCGTCGTCTTGCTCTTGAGCCCACAGGCTGAGCAGGGGCACAGAGCACAGAGCTGTCCTTGTGTGGCCAGCTTGGGAACGGGGGCAGGACTGGCCGCCTTCCCAGCCCCCCAGTGTCCTCCCAGCCTGGCTCCTGGCAGCCGAGTTTGGAGTGAGTGGAGCCTGTCTGGCCAGCGTCCAAGGCCTGCAGCAGCCTGTCTTCCCCAGCCACCAGCCCCTGACACTGCCTGGGGATGTTCCCACAGGATCCATAAAGGCCTCTGTGGAAGGCGGGCAGTGGCGGGCTCTGGGTGACGGTGGTTCAGCCACCTTTGTCTGTCGACTTCTAGCTGGGCAGCTCCTTCTCTGTGGTCAGGGTAGCCCTGTGGCTGACGCTGCAGTCATTGGGCTGAAGCTGTTCCCTGAGTCCCCAAAGTTGCCCTGCATCTGCGCCTCTGGCTAGGCTGCCCCAAACTACCTGGGGTAGTGGGGGGCAGCTGTGGTGGTGACACAGCTACCCCTGCAGAAAACCTGTGGAGCGCCTACCTGGAGAAGGGTGACATCGTGGAGAAGCATGGGCTGCCCTCCGCAGATGCCCCGAGCCTGAAGGAGAGCCTGCCTCTGTACGTGGTCGCTGACATCGCCACATCCTTCACCGTGCTGGTCGGCATCTTCTTCCCTTCTGTAACAGGTGAGCCCTGCCTGCCTACCCACCCAGCCCTGTCCCCAATCCCGGGGAGCCCCTGAGGGAGTCTCATCTGTTTTTGGAGGCATCATGGCTGGCTCAAACCGCTCTGGGGACCTTCGTGACGCCCAGAAGTCTATCCCTGTGGGGACCATTCTGGCCATCATTACAACTTCCCTCGTGTGTATCCTTTCCCAGGCCTGGGGCAGGTGGGGCAGAGGACGGGAAGCGCTTGGCCTGTGTACGTTGCCAGGTCACATGCACAGACACCCCACACACTCATATATAGCTCCCCTTCTCATGCACACATGCACATACACACCACGAGACTCCCAGCTGTAGGTGTCCTGGTAGTCTGGCTGGGGTGGGGGCACGTGGTACTATTCAGGGACAGTGGGGTGGCAGAGGCCGAGTTTTCCTTGACGCCGCCGCAGACTTCAGCAGTGTGGTTCTCTTTGGTGCCTGCATTGAGGGTGTGGTTCTCCGGGACAAGTGAGTGAGCTGGGCCCCCCTCTTTAGCAGCGGCTGGGCTTTGGCCTGCCCTCACACCAGCTCCCAACCCCGTGGGTGGTCCTAAGCCTGCTGGCTGCCTTTGGTGGTCTGTGCCATCCTTCCGGACCCCTGACATCCCTCACTCTGGTGGCCCCTGCAGGTATGGCGATGGTGTCAGCAGGAACTTGGTGGTGGGCACACTGGCCTGGCCTTCACCCTGGGTCATCGTCATCGGCTCCTTCTTTTCAACGTGTGGCGCTGGCCTCCAGAGCCTCACAGGGGCACCACGCCTATTGCAGGCCATTGCCAAGGACAACATCATCCCCTTCCTCCGGGTGAGCCCCTCTGCACTCCCCCATGGCCTGGCTGCTCCCAGGCCCTCGCCCGGCTGGGGAGAGAGATAGGGAACACAGATGCAGCACGTCCTGCCCTTATTGGCCCCCGGGGCCAGGCGGCCATCCATGAGGAGCTACTGAGAAGTGCCCTGGGCCTGGCACTCACCTGGGCCTGGAGCTGCCTGGACCCAGAATCTTCATGGCCTGTTTAGGGCTCATCCAAAGGAGAGAGGCCTGGTGAGGTGGAATCAGGGAGACTGGTGACACCCATAGGGATAGACACAGGGGCGGCCTGAGCCCCCAAGGCGGGCCCTGGGGGTGAGGGAGGCCAGGCTGGGGTCTGGGGCCCAAGGTGTGGAATGGGGGTGACAGGACCCAGCTTCCTTCCTGGTGCACACAGGTGTTTGGCCACGGGAAGGTGAATGGTGAACCCACATGGGCACTCCTCCTGACGGCACTCATCGCCGAGCTGGGCATCCTCATCGCCTCCCTCGACATGGTGGCCCCCATCTTATCCATGTGAGCTGGGGCCGGGCAGGGCAGGGGGATGGGGAAAGGCTTCCTGAACCCCAGCACCTCCCCGTGGCTGCGTCTGGTGTTGGAGGTCCAGCTGGGAGATGTGGCAGGCTGCATGGGGAGATGTGGCCTGACAGGGCTCAGCCCACCCCTGCATTTAGGAGCAAGCCTGGCACCTATGCCAAAGCTATAAGGTGACCAATATGTCCACACCTCCCTGAGGCCCCCAGAGCAGGTGGCCGGCAGACCTTCCCACTGGACAGGGCAACCACCGCGTCCCTCATGCCTCCATGAAGCCACTGCTGCCCCTTCCATCTGTTAGTTTGTTTTTTGGTTTTTGTTTTTTTTTTTTGAGACAGAGTCTCACTCTCTCACCCAGGCTGGAGTGCAATGGCATGATCTTGGCTCACTGCAATCTCCGCCTCCTGGGTTCAAGCAATTCTCCTGCCTCAGCCTCCTGAGTAGCTGGGATTACAGAAATGCACCACCACGCCCAGCTAATTTTTTGTATTTTTAGTAGAGATGGCGTTTTACCATCTTGGCCAGGCTGGTGTCGAACTCCTGACGTCAGATGATCCACCTGGCTCGGCCTCCCAAAGTGCTGGGATTACAGGCGTGAGCCACCATGCCCAACCCATCCATTTTCAAAGTCATTTGCTTTTAACATTCTGGAATCAGCCAGGCAAATCTGCGTGCCAGTGCCTTGCAGGGAGTGGCCAGCATGTGGTGACTCCCAGGGACCCCGAGGCAGCGCTTGTTTGGTTGACTCTGTCCAGGCTGGGGTCCTCGCCCACCCTGCTCCGTGGCTGACGCTCCTTCTTGCTTGTGCGGTTATGAAAGGCCTCCTCTTCCCTGCCCACTCAGCCTGCAGACTTGACAGGGGCCCTGTACCCCTGAGCAGGCTCCATCCCAGCTACAGCCAGGCCTGCTGGAGCCAGCACCCTCTTGTCCACCCCCCCACACCCCTTCCTCTCACCCAAGAGCACACCTGAAACTGTTTTGCCACAGCCATCTTGGGTGGTGACCCCCCTTGTGCCCAAATCAGAGGCTACATCTCAGCCTTTATCTCGGGCCTCCTGCTGGGAGCCCCTGCCCCCTGGCATGCCCTGTGTGGGTCCTCCTGCCTTCCTGCGCACCCGTCCTCGGGTGCCTTCCTGGAGGGCTCATGCAGCTGGCCCTGCCCATGCGTGGGACTCCCACGCCCACCGCAGTGACTCTTAAGTATCTCTGACTGGTTGCATTCAAATGGTCCAGCTTATCTTCCATCCTCCCCTTCATGCATGGCAGCCTCTCATCCAGCTGGTCACTCAGGCCAGAGGCCTGAATGTGGCCTAGAGTCTCCAGGCACTGAGCTCTTCCTGCTGCCCCTGCACCACCCTCTTCAGCTCTGCCCTGTTACTCCCCTTCCTACCTCCTCCAACAGCAAACCCTTGCCCATCCTCTGCGATCTGGCTCCGAGGACTCCTCCACAGTAGTCTCATTGCCTCAGGCCATGGAGGTGGCAGCAATGAGGTTGAGAAGACCTTGCTGAGCCATGCAGGGCAGGGCCGGGCCACGCCCCGTTTCTGGGCCAGGCCCAGCCTGACATCAGGTCCCCAGCTGCCGAGGAGGCTGCTCTTCGCCAACCGCCCTCTGTGCCGCAGGTTCTTTCTGATGTGCTACCTGTTCGTGAACCTCGCCTGTGCGGTGCAGACACTCCTGAGGACCCCCAACTGGCGGCCCCGGTTCAAGTACTATCACTGGTGAGCCATGCCTCTGACACGGGAGACCCTGGGGAGGCCAGGAGCCTCATTCTGGGTGAGGCTTGGGTTTCCTGGGTAGGGAGCTCTTGAAACACTGTGGGGAGGGAGATTATAGGGCTGCGGGGGACTGGACCTAGGTCTTACACCCAGTGACCTGACCACCCACCTGGGACCTCCCACCCGGGACCTGACAGGGCTACCAGGGCATGGGCCAGGCTGTGGCCAGGGGTCCTCCTGGTCCTGCCCTGACTCTGCCCTCCCCTCTCGTCCAGGGCGCTGTCCTTCCTGGGCATGAGTCTCTGCCTGGCCCTTATGTTTGTCTCCTCCTGGTACTATGCCCTGGTGGCCATGCTCATCGCCGGCATGATCTACAAATACATCGAGTACCAAGGGTGAGTGAGCACTGCCACCTGGCCTCTGCCAGCTGAGGGGGCCCGGCCGAGCAGGCAGGGTGGTCTGGCATTGGGGTGGGCAGGGAGCTGGGCCACCGTGGGTGCCAGGACTGGGGACTGTAACTCAGGACCCCTGGGTGGTCTTGAGGGGCAGAACCCCTCCACCTCGCATCCACATAGACAGAACCCCCTGGGCGGCACCAGGGGCTCACCAGCTGTGGTGGAATCTGCAGGGCTGAGAAGGAGTGGGGTGACGGGATCCGAGGCCTGTCCCTGAGCGCTGCCCGCTACGCGCTGTTGCGGCTGGAGGAGGGGCCTCCTCACACCAAGAACTGGCGGTGAGTTCCCGCCAGACCCTGGCCAGGGCGCAGAGGTTCTTAGGGGTCGCTGTCGGGGTCAGAGGGTCGAGAGGTGCCGGCTCCCCATCCTGGGGCTGCCCGGGGCACCCTCCTGGGCCATGCTACCCAAACCTGCAGGGACCACGACCCGAGAAGGGAAGAAGAGGAGGGGCTCCCTAGAACGGCCGGCCCTGGTCTCAGGCTCCCCCCACCCGGCCACTGCAGGCCGCAGCTGCTGGTGCTGCTGAAGCTGGACGAGGACCTCCACGTGAAGTACCCGCGGCTCCTCACCTTCGCCTCCCAGCTCAAGGCTGGCAAGGGCCTGACCATTGTTGGTTCTGTCATCCAGGGGAGCTTCTTGGAGAGCTATGGCGAGGCTCAGGCCGCCGAGCAGGTACTTGCTTTGGGGAGGGAGAGCTGAGCCAGACTACAGGGGTCTGGACTGCAGCTGGCACGGAGGGGAGGGCCCAGTCTTGGCCAGGGTGGCCAGCCAGGCAGCCAGCACTGCTGCCACCTGAGAGCTGGCACAAGGGGGAGCCAGCAGTCCCATCTTGAAAACTTGGCCTCTGGGTAGGCAGCTTGTTGCCCCCAGGCCCTCCTCCACCCAAAAGTCGTTTTGTTCCCGAGGGGCCTTGGGAGGGAGCCCAGAGGCAGGAAGCTGATGGCCTCCCATTGGCCCTGGGTGTGTTCCCCACAGACCATCAAGAACATGATGGAAATTGAGAAGGTGAAGGGCTTCTGCCAGGTGGTGGTGGCCAGCAAGGTGCGGGAGGGGCTGGCCCACCTCATCCAGTCCTGTGGCCTGGGAGGCATGCGGCATAACTCCGTGGTGCTGGGCTGGCCCTACGGCTGGCGACAGAGCGAGGACCCCCGTGCCTGGAAGACCTTCATTGGTGTGTGAAGGCCTGGGGCCTGGTGGGCAGGGGTGAAGTGAGGTGGCAGTGGGCGGAGGGCCACAGACTGGTGGTCAGCCGTGCTCCTCCTCCCCAGACACCGTGCGCTGCACTACGGCTGCCCACCTGGCCCTGCTCGTGCCCAAGAACATCGCCTTCTACCCCAGCAACCACGAGCGCTACCTGGAGGGCCACATAGACGTGTGGTGGATCGTGCACGATGGTGGCATGCTCATGCTTCTGCCCTTCCTGCTGCGCCAGCATAAGGTAGACCAGGGGGTGGGTGCAGATGAGAGGGGCTAGGCCCTTGGAGGAGCAGCTGTGACCAAACCGCCCACCTGGTCCCTTGCCTCAGGTCTGGAGGAAGTGCCGGATGCGCATCTTCACAGTGGCCCAGATGGATGACAACAGCATCCAGATGAAGAAGGACCTGGCTGTCTTTCTGTACCATCTGCGCCTTGAGGCCGAGGTGGAGGTGGTGGAGATGGTGAGCCCTCTGCCCTGCCCTGGCCCCGTGGATACCATGTCCCGTGCAGCTGGGTCCTCACGGCCAACCCTGTCCCCAGCATAACAGTGACATCTCTGCATACACCTACGAGCGGACGCTGATGATGGAGCAGCGGTCGCAGATGCTGCGGCAGATGAGACTGACCAAGACTGAGCGGGAGCGAGAAGTCAGTGCCCTTTGTGGTTCACGCCAGGGCGGGTGGCAGGGTCAGGCCTTTGGAGACCGCATCGGTGGGTGCGGAGGAATCAGAATGACTCACCGCAGCCCTACCCAAGCTAGTGCTCATTTCCCGGAGGCAAGGTGGTCACATTGGGCCAGACAGGCCCCATCCCCCTTTTCCTATGGGACCAAGGCTATCTCCTGCAATTGTCCTCAGGCCCAGCTGGTCAAGGATCGGCACTCGGCCCTGCGGCTGGAGAGCCTGTACTCGGACGAGGAAGATGAGTCTGCAGTGGGGGCTGACAAGATCCAGATGACGTGGACCAGGGACAAGTACATGACTGAGACCTGGGACCCCAGCCATGCCCCTGACAATTTCCGGGAGCTGGTGCACATTAAGCCGTGAGTGCAGCAAAAACAGCCCCAGCGGCACTGGAATCTAGGGGTGGAGGTGGGGTGGGGCAGACAAGTAGTGTTAGATGGGCCAGGGGTGGGGACCCTCCTTGCAGGATGGCTCATGGCGACCTGTGACTGGCTACACTACGTGTAGGGACCAATCCAATGTGCGGCGCATGCACACTGCTGTGAAGCTCAATGAAGTCATTGTCACGCGCTCCCACGACGCCCGCCTGGTTCTCCTAAACATGCCTGGCCCACCCAGGAACAGTGAGGGCGACGAGAACTGTATCCCTTTGTGGAGAGGCAGGCAGTTGGGAGGTGGATAGCATGGGAGGTCAAGCCAGCGGCTTCTCTCCTGGGCACCCCTGGGTGGGCATGGCCCAGGTGGCCCGGGTTGCCCGTTGATTCTGTTGTTGCCTCCTTGACTTGAGGCCCTGCAGACATGGAGTTCCTCGAGGTGCTGACCGAGGGCCTTGAGCGGGTGCTGTTGGTGCGCGGTGGTGGCCGTGAAGTCATCACCATCTACTCCTGAGCCCAGTGTCATCTTGTGGCCTGGAGTCGAGGTCTTGGCCAGGACATAACAAGCTGTGGTCTGGGGTAACAGCCTCTTCCCAGCACCCACCTGCCAGCCCTGCTTGCCTGGCCCTGTCCTGGACCCAGCTTTGCTAGGTCTCCTTGGAAACCAGGCCTGGGCCTCAAAATGGAGATGGATCCCAGGTCTTGTGGGACCCTGGGATGTTTGGGGACTTTACTATCTAGCACCCCAGTAGGCCTGTCCTGGCCAGAGAAGACTGGTAGGGGCCGAGTGGGGTTTGAAGGCAGCCGGCCCGGCCCAGCCCAGGAGCGCTATTTATTGCATATTTATTGTTTGGATGTCACCATCAGAGACGAAGGGAAGGGTAGCCAGGGAGGGAGTCCAGCCCAGCTGCCTGCAGGAAGATCTGGCTCAGTCTACTATGGGCAGGGCCCCCCACCAAGCTGAGCCGAATGGAGACAGCTGAGCTGAGGCCTGACTTTTTCAATAAAACATTGTGTAGTTCTGGGCCTCCTGCTGCCCCGGCTCTGTTTCCCCTGGCGCCAAGAGAAGAAGGCGGAACTGAACCCAGGCCCAGAGCCGGCTCCCTGAGGCTGTGCCCCTTTCCGGCAATCTCTGGCCACAACCCCCACTGGCCAGGCCGTCCCTCCCACTGGCCCTAGGGCCCCTCCCACTCCCACACCAGATAAGGACAGCCCAGTGCCGCTTTCTCTGGCAGTAGGCACCAGGGCTGGAATGGGGCCGCCCGGCTCCCCATGGCAGTGGGTGACGCTGCTGCTGGGGCTGCTGCTCCCTCCTGCCGCCCCCTTCTGGCTCCTCAATGTGCTCTTCCCCCCGCACACCACGCCCAAGGCTGAGCTCAGTAACCACACACGGCCCGTCATCCTCGGTAAGCCCCCACCAGGCCCCTGATGCACCACGCCAGACCCTGGGGAGCCTGGGCCCCAGCCCCTGGCAGCTGACCTGGCCAAAGCCCTTCTGCCCTGCATAAGCCCCGACATAAGTACCTGCCCTGGTGTGGGGAGGGGCCAAAAGCTTGTCCCTTAGAGGAATGACGTCCCTTCTCCCACCACACTGTGACTCTCAGTTGTCTAACCCAGGGGGGGCGGAGTGGGGGACGGGGTGTGCCTGAGGTCTTGGCTGGGGCATCACAAGCTGTGGTCAGTCACAGCCACACCAGACTCTGGGCCAAGCCCCACCACTCCTTCCTTGGCCCCCACCCACCAAGGACAAGATGCCCAGCCCAGGATCGGTGAGCAGGAGAGGCCCATCCATGCCCGGCCCCTATTAGGCCCAGCCCCCATGCCCCCAGACCTATCTGTTCCCACCTTGGACTTTGGCAATAAAGGAGCGCCAGACTGGGTGTTTGCTCTGCAGAGGCAGGGGTCAGCGGCCTTGGCCTCAGCACCTCAGCGCCTTCCCTTCCTCAGGGAAGCCTGGGCTTTGGCTACTGGGGGGACAGCAGGGAGAGGGGGTGTAAGCAGGGGAGGGTAAGTGTGCTTTGTACCTGGGGGTTGAGGGTATGGGAGGTGGGGGGTGGGTCTGGTCACTGCAGCATCTGGGGTGACGGGGGTAAGGGTCACGGGGGGAATCCAGAGTCCAGAGTGAGGGCTGCTGCTCACAGTGCCCGGCTGCCTGGGGAATCAGCTAGAAGCCAAGCTGGACAAACCAGATGTGGTGAACTGGATGTGCTACCGCAAGACAGAGGACTTCTTCACCATCTGGCTGGATCTCAACATGTTCCTACCCCTTGGGGTAGACTGCTGGATCGATAACACCAGGTACAGCCATGTGCTCCACCCTAGCCCCAACACGCTGCCCCTTGGCTACTGGCTGCTGAGTGGCACCCCCGCCCCGCAGGGTTGTCTACAACCGGAGCTCTGGGCTCGTGTCCAACGCCCCTGGTGTCCAGATCCGCGTCCCTGGCTTTGGCAAGACCTACTCTGTGGAGTACCTGGACAGCAGCAAGCTGGCAGGTTTGTGTCAGAGGGCAGGGCTGGGGCTCCAGGCCTGGGTGCTGGCCCACAGCAGGCATGGCCCAAGCCCCCGGTGCTGCTGGTCCCCCCACAGGGTACCTGCACACACTGGTGCAGAACCTGGTCAACAATGGCTACGTGCGGGACGAGACTGTGCGCGCCGCCCCCTATGACTGGCGGCTGGAGCCCGGTGAGTGTCTCTGCGGATGACCGGCTTGGGGTGGGGCAGGTGCCCCAGACCCCAGCTGCCCTGACCCCTTCCACCCGCTGCAGGCCAGCAGGAGGAGTACTACCGCAAGCTCGCAGGGCTGGTGGAGGAGATGCACGCTGCCTATGGGAAGCCTGTCTTCCTCATTGGCCACAGCCTCGGCTGTCTACACTTGCTCTATTTCCTGCTGCGCCAGCCCCAGGCCTGGAAGGACCGCTTTATTGATGGCTTCATCTCTCTTGGGGCTCCCTGGGGTGGCTCCATCAAGCCCATGCTGGTCTTGGCCTCAGGTGAGAAGGCCTCGAACACTTAGGTCCAGCGATGGGTGAGACCAAGCTGATCCTGGGCCTGCCTTCATTGCGGCTCCTGCTCACAGTGGCCTCTAGGGGTGCTATCTACCACTCCTGGGCTGGCATGCTTGCTGTCACTGGCCCCCAGAGCAGTGACCCTGGCCTGAGCAATTAGGGTGGCTCCTTCCAGAGTCTGTGTCAGTGATGGCAAAGGGGCAGTGAACACAGAAAGTGAATCCCAGCTATCTGCTCCCAGGGTTTGTTCTTGTAGCCCCAGAGCCTGCCTGCCCAGCCCTTGCCTGCCTTCCACTTGCTCGCAGGAGTGCCTTTGCCCAGGGATGTGCTTCACTGAGGATGGATCTGCCAGAGCTAGGGCCAGACCCCCCGAGGCCCCACCTGCTCTTCCCTAGGGAGTGGCACCAGGGCCCAGCACTGACACAGCTACCACCTACTCCCCACCCCCTGTACCCTGGGAGCTGGTCTGGAGAGAGAAACACAGTCTGGACAAGAGAAACGCTCATCAGACACCACCAATAAACATCAAACAGACACCATCTTGTTTCCCCCTTTCTGGAGCACAACTCTGTGGCCCCCATTGCTGCATAAGCCACACAAGGAGCAGAAAGACACATGCCCGAGGGAGGACAGCCAGCACCGCCCCCACCATCCCCACACATCCTGGGCCTCACCCACCATCCCCACACACCCTGGTCCTCAGGAAGCCCCGCCTACTTTTTTTTTTCTTTTTCAGACAGGGTCATTCTGTCGCCCAGGCTGGAGTGCAGTGGCGTGATCATAGCCGCAGTCTCAATCTCCCTGGCCCAAGCAATCCTCCTGCCTCAGCCTCCTGGTTAGCTGAGACTATAGGCACACAACACCACACCTAATTTATTTTTGTTTTTTAGTAGAGATGAGGTCTTGCTATGTTGCCCAGGCTGGTCTCAAACTCTTCACCTTAAGTGATCTTCCTGCCTCAGCCTCCCGAAGTGCTGGGATTACAGGCGTGAGCTACTGTGCTGGGCCTTTTAAAAAATGTTTATTTGTTTATTTATGTATTTTGAGATGGAGTCTCGCTCTGTTTCCCAGGCTGGAGTGCAGTAGTGCAATCTCCACTCACTGCAACCTCCATCTCCCCAGTTCAAGTGATTCTTCTGCCTCAGCCTCCCTAGTAGCTAGGATCACAGGCATGTGCCACCACGCCTGGCTAATTTTTATATTTTTAGTAGAGATTAGGTTTCCCCATGTTGGCCAGGCTGGTCTCGAACTCCTGACCTTAAGTCATCTGCCTGCCTCGGCCTCCCAAAGTGCTAGGATTACAGGTGTGAGCCACCGTACCCGGCCCTATTTATTTATTTTTTAAGCTGGAATCTCACTGTGTCACCCAGGCTACAGTGCAGTGGTGCGATCATAGTTTACTGTAACCTCAAATTCCTAGGCTCAAGCAATCTTCCTGCCTTTGCCTCCTGAGTAGCTAGGACTAGAGGTGCACTCCACTAAGCCCAGCTGATTTTTTTTTTTTTTTTTTTTGTAGAGACAGGGTCTCACTGCATTGCCTAGTCTGGTCACGGACTCCTGGCCTCAAGTGATCCTCCTGCCTCAGCCTCCCAAAGTGTTGGGATTACAGGGGTGAGCCATGGTGCCTGTCCCTGCCATCCTTTTGAAGCCCTACAGCTCCACCCAACAGAGGTCTTATCAGGGCTTCTCATTGAGTAAGCTGACACTGAGCATCATTGAATATCAGGCCTGCTCAAGCCTGTGGCTTAGAGTCTGTGTCTAGATTGGGCAGGGACAAGATTGAGCATCTGGCTGAGCCTACACTCAGCAGGTTGTGGGCCAGGGGTAGCCAGGCCTGGCTCCCTGTCCCACCTTGCTCCATATCCACAGGTGACAACCAGGGCATCCCCATCATGTCCAGCATCAAGCTGAAAGAGGAGCAGCGCATAACCACCACCTCCCCCTGGATGTTTCCCTCTCGCATGGCGTGGCCTGAGGACCACGTGTTCATTTCCACACCCAGCTTCAACTACACAGGCCGTGACTTCCAACGCTTCTTTGCAGACCTGCACTTTGAGGAAGGCTGGTACATGTGGCTGCAGTCACGTGACCTCCTGGCAGGACTCCCAGCACCTGGTGTGGAAGTATACTGTCTTTACGGCGTGGGCCTGCCCACGCCCCGCACCTACATCTACGACCACGGCTTCCCCTACACGGACCCTGTGGGTGTGCTCTATGAGGATGGTGATGACACGGTGGCGACCCGCAGCACCGAGCTCTGTGGCCTGTGGCAGGGCCGCCAGCCACAGCCTGTGCACCTGCTGCCCCTGCACGGGATACAGCATCTCAACATGGTCTTCAGCAACCTGACCCTGGAGCACATCAATGCCATCCTGCTGGGTGCCTACCGCCAGGGTCCCCCTGCATCCCCGACTGCCAGCCCAGAGCCCCCGCCTCCTGAATAAAGACCTTCCTTTGCTACCGTAAGCCCTGATGGCTATGTTTCAGGTTGAAGGGAGGCACTAGAGTCCCACACTAGGTTTCACTCCTCACCAGCCACAGGCTCAGTGCTGTGTGCAGTGAGGCAAGATGGGCTCTGCTGAGGCCTGGGACTGAGCTGGGCACCCTAGATGTACAGCTGCCCACTCTCCTGGTCGAGCTGTTGAGGCAGTGTGCACCGTGCCTGCCTCTGTGCTGGGCGCGGGGACTGGAGCTGGCTCCACCCACAGCCCTGTCAGAGGAGCACGGGGCGGTGGGGGGGCGGTGACAATTTGAGCTGTCTCTCCCAGCTCCCAAAAGGGCAGGTGAGACGACCTTTTGAGTGCTGGGTGAATGACAGGGCCACAAGTGTTTAGAGGCCGGGCACGGTGGCTCACGCCTGTAATCCTGGCACTTTGGGAGACCGAGGCAGGCGGATCACCTGAACTCAGGAGTTTGAGACCAGCCAGGCCAACATGGCAGAAACCCCCGTCTCTACTAAAATACAAAATATTTGCCAGGCGTGGTGGCATGCATCTGTCGTCCCAGCTACTCAGGAGGCTGAGGCACGAGAATCATTTGAACCTGGGAGGTGGAGGTCACTGTGAGCCGAGATCACGTCGTTGCACTCCAGACTGGGCGGCAGAATGAGACTGTCTCAAAAAAAAAGAGACTGGGTCTCAAAAAAAAAAAAAAAAAAAAAAGTTAGAATTAAAATCTGGGAGTGACAACCATTAATCAGATCATTTCACTAATGGAAGTTTAATTACTAATGAAGCTAAATGCTCTGAGAAAAGCTTAGGAAGCACAAGAGGCTGAGCCTTTCAGGTCAGCAAAGACTTCCCAGAGGAGGCAGTGCCTACACTGAGGTCAGAGTGACAAGAAGAGTAATGGACCACTGTAAAGACTTGGGTTCGGCCGGGCGCGGTGGCTCACGCCTGTAATCCCAGCACTTTGGGAGGCCGAGGCGGGTGGATCATGAGGTCAGGAGATCGAGACCATCCTGGCTAACAAGGTGAAACCCCGTCTCTACTAAAAATACAGAAAATTAGCCGGGCGCGGTGGCGGGCGCCTGTGGTCCCAGCTACTCGGGAGGCTGAGGCAGGAGAATGGCGTGAACCCGGGAAGCGGAGCTTGCAGTGAGCCGAGATTGCGCCACTGCAGTCCGCAGTCCGGCCTGGGCGACAGAGCGAGACTCCGTCTCAAAAAAAAAAAAAGACTTGGGTTTGACTTGATTGAGCCCAGGAGTTCGAGACAAGCCTGGGCAATATAGTGAGACCTCATCTCTACAAAAATTTTAAAAATTAGCCTGGTGCGGTGGCTCATGCCTGTAATCCCAGCACTCTGGGAGGCCGAGGTGGGCGGATCACTTGAGGTCAGAAGTTTGAGACCACCCTGACCAACATGGAGAAACCCCGTCTCTACTAAAAATACAAAATTAGCCGGGCATGGTGGCGCATGCCTGTAATCCCAGCTACTCGGGAGGCTGAGGCAGGAGAATTGTTTGAACCTGGGAGGTGGACGTTGCGGTGAGCCAAGATCACACTATTGCACTCCAGCCTGGGCAACAAGAGCAAAACTCCGTCTCAAAAAAAAAAATTTATTTTTAAATTAGCCAGGTGTAGCCACAGCTGTAGTCAAATCTACTAGGCAGGCTGAGGTGGGAGGATTGCTTGAACCTGGGAGGCAGAGGTTGCAGTGAGCCAAGATGGTGCCACGGCATTCCAGCCTGAGCAACAGCAAGACCCTGTGTCCAAAAAAAAAAAAAAAAAAAACCGTAAAATAGGCCAGGCACAGTGGTTCATGGTTATAAGCCTAGCACTTTGGAAGGCTGAGGAGGGTGGATCGCCTGAGCTCAGGAGTTCAAGACCAGCCTGGGCAACACGGTGAAACCCCATCTCTACCAAAAAAAAAAAAAAAAAAAAAAATTAGCCAGGCATGGTGGTGTGTGCCTGTGGTCCCAGCTACTCAGGAGGCTGAGGTGGAAGAGTGCTTGTGCCTGGGAGGCAGAGGTTCCAGTGAACCGAGATCACACCATTGTACTCCAGCCTGGGCAACAGAGTAAGACCCCATCTCAAAAAAAAAAAAAAAAAATTAAGATAAACCCTTTGGCAGCTGCGTGCTGCTCTTAGCCTCAAACCCAAGTCTTTTTTTTCCCCCTTTGAGACGGGGTCTATTGCCCAGGCTGGAGTGCAATGGTATGATCCATACTCACTGCAGCCCCGAACTCCTGGGCTTCCAAAGTGCTGGGATTACAGGTGTGAGCCACCAGGCCCAGACTGCTGAAGGGTTTAAACCAGAGAAAGAATGTGACCAGATTTCCAATTTAGAAAGACCCGCTCTCTGCAGGGTAAGGAGTAGCCTGGGGGTCGGGGGGCGGGGGGCAAGAATTGCAAGGTAACCAGGGAGGCCAGTGCAATGTCCAGGTGGGAGAGGATGCTAGCTGAGACTAGAAGTGCTAGGAAAAGGATGTGTGCAGACAAGAGGTCACTGGGGAGGTGAAATAACAAGGCTTGGCCATGAGTGGAACCCAACACCCATGGTGCCCTCTTGAGAGAGGGAAGATGGCACCTGAGATGGAAGATGGAAAGACCAGGGTCCCTGTGACTGAGGACTGAGCCTCTGTTTGAGGTTTTTGCAGAGGAGTAAAGGCAACAAAAGAGGCAAGAGTTGGAAGAAAGGTGACAAGGAACAAAAGTCAGCTATGCCTGATGCTACTGGGTGGCCAGCAACAATGCTGACTTGGCCAAGGCTCTGAGAGCTTTACTATGCTGGGACTGGAGGTCAGAGTTGAGGCTAGGGTAAGAGCAAGGGGCTCAGATGGAGGGGGAGGAGGACCTGAACAAGTCCAGAAGGGAAGAGATTTGTCCCTCTATCCAACAGAGTACCCAGTGAGCAGCACAGAGGGCACAGCAAGGGACATCACCCGGTTCCCCAAATGCTCAGAGCCACAAGTGAAGCCAAAAGTGAAAGACAAGATGCAGAAAACCGCCACGGGCCTTTGAGGAAGGGTAAAGGCGAAAGCGAAAGCAGGAAGTACAGACGTGAAGCCTAGCAGAGGACTTTTTAGCTGCTCACTGGCCCCGCTTGTCTGGCCGACTCATCCGCCCGCGACCCCTAATCCCCTCTGCCTGCCCCAAGATGCTGAAGCCAGCCCTGGAGCCCCGAGGGGGCTTCTCCTTCGAGAACTGCCAAAGGTGAAGCGGGGGCGCGGGGGGCGGTCACTCCTGAGCCGCCTCTGCTTGCTCGTGGCCTTTTTTCCTGGCTGGGGGTGGGGGAGGGTGTGTTGGTCGACTTGGGTTCCAGGCTTACCCCGGAAGATGAGGGAGACGGGGACCAGGTTAGGGGAAGCAACAGGGGTCTTGAAAGCAGAGCCGAAACATGGGCGCCCTCCTCCGTTTCCAGAAATGCATCATTGGAACGCGTCCTCCCGGGGCTCAAGGTCCCTCACGCACGCAAGACCGGGACCACCATCGCGGGCCTGGTGTTCCAAGTGAGCAGCGGGGAGGGACGGGGAGCTGGAGGGGAGCCGAGAGTATCGAGCAGGCACTGAAGCTGCGGTCCCTCCCTCTCCTCAGGACGGGGTCATTCTGGGCGCCGATACGCGAGCCACTAACGATTCGGTCGTGGCGGACAAGAGCTGCGAGAAGATCCACTTCATCGCCCCCAAAATCTAGTGAGACTCCCGAGCCCAGTTCCCGTACGCAAAAAAGAACGGCCCCCTCGTTCCCACTCCGGTCCCCGCACGTCCCAGCCCTGCCCACACCGATCCTCCCTTTTGCCTCAGCTGCTGTGGGGCTGGAGTAGCCGCGGACGCCGAGATGACCACACGGATGGTGGCGTCCAAGATGGAGCTACACGCGTTATCTACGGGCCGCGAGCCCCGCGTGGCCACGGTCACTCGCATCCTGCGCCAGACGCTCTTCAGGTGCGGGGGCAGGGCTAACAGGACCCCGGCAGGGGTAGTTACGGGGTTGGGGCCATTGGAAGGCGGGACAGAAAGAAGGGCGGGACCGCGACGGGCCAGGTGACCGGAAGAGGCCGGCCCAAGAGAACCTGGGCTACAGGAAAAGGCGATGTCAGTCATCGGGCGCCAGCCCACAGGAAGGGGCGGGGATAGCACCTAGGAGCTGGGCATAGAGAGGTGGGGCCTAGGCCCCAGCTTGTGGCCGACCCCGCCCATCCTCGAGCAGGTACCAGGGCCACGTGGGTGCATCGCTGATCGTGGGCGGCGTAGACCTGACTGGACCGCAGCTCTACGGTGTGCATCCCCATGGCTCCTACAGCCGTCTGCCCTTCACAGCCCTGGGTGAGCGCTTCTGTCCCTTCTCCTCGAACTCTGCCCCTGTGACCTTGGCCTCACTCCAAACGGCGTCGCAGCGGTTGACTTCAGATGCTTCTCCTGCCTTCAGGCTCTGGTCAGGACGCGGCCCTGGCGGTGCTAGAAGACCGGTTCCAGCCGAACATGACGGTGAGCGGCCTCTGTCCCCGACTTTGTGGTCGCTGGTGGGATGTGCACCCGGGAGCTGGGGGAGCACAGGACCCTGGCCCAGTGCGGGTGGCTAAGGCTTGTCGGAGGAGGTGACCACTGAAGGGTGAGTGGAGTAAGGGCAGAGAAGTGCGGTCCCGACATAACACCGTCCAATACCAAAGCCTGCACGGCTGGGAGAAGTCGAAGCTCACAGAGGATCTTTAGGAGCCGAGGGCGGAGAGAAGGACCAGTAGGGTCCTACTTATATCAACGTCTGGAGCCTAGATTTTGTTTGGGGTGGGATGGAAGCAGGTGATGTTGCCTCAGAGGTGGCTAAGGCTCAGAGGGAGAAACACAGTGGGGGTTTGGAGGGCAAGACCAGATTGGGTAAGTGGACAGGCAAGTCCCCAGGCTGTAGCCTAAGTTAACAGCAGAGAGAGCCCGTTAGGTCTCACACACCCATCACCGCAGCTGGAGGCTGCTCAGGGGCTGCTGGTGGAAGCCGTCACCGCCGGGATCTTGGGTGACCTGGGCTCCGGGGGCAATGTGGACGCATGTGTGATCACAAAGACTGGCGCCAAGCTGCTGCGGACACTGAGCTCACCCACAGAGCCCGTGAAGAGGTGAGAGCTGGAGATCGGGGACCACAGGGATGTGTGGGGCTATAGCAGGGGAGATAGGGGGCTGCAAAAAGGGGATGGGCCACATGACAGGCCCATGTTCAGAGGCTGTCCCTCCTCCCTCCCAGGTCTGGCCGCTACCACTTTGTGCCTGGAACCACAGCTGTCCTGACCCAGACAGTGAAGCCACTAACCCTGGAGCTAGTGGAGGAAACTGTGCAGGCTATGGAGGTGGAGTAAGCTGAGGCTTAGAGCTTGGAACAAGGGGGAATAAACCCAGAAAATACAGTTAAACAGATGGCTGTGTCATTCTTGAGTGGAATGGGGTGGGCAGGCAGCCAGCAGGGCTCTGTAGCTAAGGCGTCCCTGCAGGGGCCATTACCTACCATAGCTCTAGTGTCTGGCCTAAGAGATGCCCTTCACCCATAACCTCAGGCACCTACAACTCCAGAACCCCAGCCCTGGCCAGCATTGCAGGCTTGGTCTCCACCCAAACCTTCCTTCTGACTCCACACTTGAAGGCTCCCCCACCACTCCACTGTCTTGCTCTTGCCCTCTAGTCCACTGGAGACTTGTAAATTATGAAATACCCCATGTACTACCCCCTCCTAGAGACTTTCCATGGCTCCTCAGTGGCCCAGGACAAAGCTCATACCTTTCAATCAGGCCCCCACAGGCCCCACTGAGGGCTAAAGTGCTGACAAGAGGAGCCGCTCCCTGACTCCAAGGCAAGTTCTCACCAAGCACTCCTCAACCTCGCAACATCTTTACCTGTGACACCCCTTAGATGACGAGGCATGCCTGCACTGCTCACGTGAAGCTCGTCTTCTGTCTGCACATGCTGGGCTTGTGACTCCAAGTTTTCCAGGCTAATAAGGGTCACAGGACTCACATGGGGAGAGATGACACGTTTCTCCAACAAACCTTTGCTGGGCCCCTGCTGAGTCTCAGGCCTGGCTGCTGGGTGCCAGCAAGAGCATCCTGTCCTCAGCGAGAACGGCTGAACTCCGCTGGAGCTTCAGAAATGTCAGGGAGAGTCTACCCAGGGCCCAGGGAGGGTCTATGCCGGGCTGCACATCCCCAGGCCGCTGAGTGTGCTCCCTGCACCCCAACATTCTATTAATGAACATTTGTAAATGTAACAGAAAAGTAGAAAGAGTTGTATATTGAATACCCTTATACTGTCAGGTCACCACAGACCTGACAGTATTTTGTTATATTTGTTTTATCATCTATTCATCCCTCTATCCATTAATTCATCGCTCCTTTTTTTTTTTTTTTTTTTTTTTTTGAGACGGCGTCTCGCTCTGTCACCCAGGCTCTGGAGTGCAAATATTTTGTTATATTTGTTTTATCATCTATTCATCCCTCTATCCATTAATTCATCGCTCCTTTTTTTTTTTTTTTTTTTTGAGACGGAGTCTCGCTCTGTCACCCAGGCTCTGGAGTGCAGTGGCGCAATCTCAGCTCACTGGAAGCTCCGCCTCCCAGGTTCACGCCATTCTCCTGCCTCAGCCTCCCGAGTAGCTGGGACTACAGGTGCCCGCCACCACGCCCGGCTAATTTTTTTTTTTTTTGTATTTTTAGTAGAGACGAGGTTTCTACTGAACCTGTTAGCCAGGATGGTCTTGATCTCCTGACCTCATGATCCGCCCGCGTCGGCCTCCCAAAGTGCTGGGATTACAGGCGTGAGCCACCGTGCCCAGCCAATTCATCTCATTTTTTGGCTGATGCTGTTTCTTTGAGATGGGGTCTAGCTCCATCGCCCAGGCCGGAATGCAGTGGTGCACTCATGGCTCACTGCAGCCTTGAACTTAAGGGCTCAAGTGATCCCTCCTGCCTCAGCCTTCTGAGTTGCTGGGACTACAGGTGTGTACCATCATACCCAGCTCATTTCTTAATTTAAAAAAATTTTTTTTGTAGAGACAGGGTTTCATGATGTTGCTCAGGCTGGTCTCGAACTCCTGGAATCAAGCCTCCTACGTCTGCCTCCCAAAGTTTTGGGATTACAGGTGTGAGCCACCACACCCAGCCCTGATCTGTTCTTGAATCAGTTAAAGCCCTCACACTCCCAGAAGGCCGCCAGCCAATGCACCTGTTGGAACTTTGCACACAGGGTGTCTTCTCCCTTCAAGCTTGGTCTGCAGCTCAGTAACAAATGGGCTACAGACACCAGGGGCTTGCCCATGGGAGCCCCAAGGCCTAAAGAGGGTGGCAGAGATTTGATGTCTGTCACTCTCCACCTGCAGCCTCAGTCCACGGTCGGCCAGGCACCAAGAGCTCACACTTTGCCCTCCTAAATGCCAGGCCCTTCATAAGTATCATCTCATTGTTAAGAGCGGAGGCTTCAGCGCCAGACAAATGCGAGTTTGTGTACAACTCAACCACGTGCTGGTGGGAGAGTCACCATCTCTGAGCAGACCTGTGACTCCTGTTCCAAATGGACGAGGAACCACTGCGATGATGTGTTAGGACTCCCAGCCTGCCAGAACCTCACAGCCCCTGGCCCTTCACAGCAAAGTTGACCGCAGTGAGCATTCCATCCACCAGTCAGAACACCCTGGACGCTGAGCGGCCTTCTCTGAAAGCCTGGTGCCTTTGTTAGCCCTGGGTGACTCCTGTGATCCCAGCCACCAGGTTGTCACTATAGACCTAATTTAACCATCTGTCCTCAGTACCGAGGGCTCAACATTTGGAATGGGAGGTGGTTCTGGGAGCCAATTAGAGGCCAGGCTTTGGGAGGTGGCAGAGGTGAGTCTCACACCTGGGCTCTGTCTGATAAGTCTAGGTCTCGGTCAGGGGACCTTGGCCTAAAGGGCCTGTCTTGCCTGGAGCGTGGGAGGGGGCTGAGTCTACACAGCTGGCCTGGCCTCAGGCCTGGAGCTTTAGCTCAAGGACGAGAAGACCCATAAAGCCAGACCCAGCTCCCAACCTCACATCTGCCACGATGTTGCTGCTCAGCCTGACCCTAAGCCTGGTTCTCCTCGGCTCCTCCTGGGGTGAGTGGGCCAGGACCAGCCCTGATTCAGCCCTGGGAGCAACTCAGCTCCCAGCAACAGCCCAGGGAAGGAGCTAGGCTGGCTGGAAGGGACGAAGGTGGACAGAGTGGGCAAAAGAAACAGGATATGCCAGGGCAGTGGAGCAGGGAACAGGCCTGCAGGGCTGGGAGGGGGCAAGAGGTGGGGTGGTCTCACAAATAGGACCAGAGATTGAGCCAGGCCCTGGAGCCCGGGAGGGTTTAGGAAGCTGAGACAGGAAGACCTGTCCATGTCTTTTAGAAAGAACCTTCTGGCTGCATGAAGGGTATGAACTGTTCAGGTCGGGAGGGGGCAGAGAGACCAGGGGTAGAGATGGGGAACAGCGGGGACTAGGCTGGAGACAGATGTAGGAGAACAGCAGGGCTGGGGGACTGGGTGGATAGGGATAACCAAGATAGCTGTGGGGCCCGAAGGTGCTTGCATGTACCCTGTTGGGGAAGGGGTAGTGCTGTACCCTCTCGACAGACCTCTCTGGGGTGCACAGCCTGGGGCACCCAAAAGGAGGTGGGGAAAGATGGGCTGAGGCATGGGAAGCAGGTCCTCATTAGCCCAATGGCCAGGCTGCGGCATTCCTGCCATCAAACCGGCACTGAGCTTCAGCCAGAGGATTGTCAACGGGGAGAATGCAGTGTTGGGCTCCTGGCCCTGGCAGGTGTCCCTGCAGGTACACCACCAGAGGGGTGGGCAGGGTCCTGGGTACGTCATGCCTAGGGGCAGCCTCAGCAGCCCACCCCCACTCTGACCTCTGAGCCCTGACCACAGGACAGCAGCGGCTTCCACTTCTGCGGTGGTTCTCTCATCAGCCAGTCCTGGGTGGTCACTGCTGCCCACTGCAATGTCAGGTGAGTGCCTGCATTCCACCTGCCCCGCCCCTCGCCTCTTCCTGCCTCCTCCCCTGGCTGTCCCCCTCTCGCGCTGGCCTCCCTGCAGCTGCCTAATCCCACCCCCTTGCAGCCCTGGCCGCCATTTTGTTGTCCTGGGCGAGTATGACCGATCATCAAACGCAGAGCCCTTGCAGGTTCTGTCCGTCTCTCGGGTGAGTGCCTGGGCTGCAGACACGGAGGAAAAGTGGGCAGTGCAGGTGGGTGGGTGCTGGGAACGAGGAATTCAGGACATGCCCTGGCCTACCCTGCTCAGCACCCATCAGAACATGGACTGTTTCTGACCCCACAGGCCATTACACACCCTAGCTGGAACTCTACCACCATGAACAATGACGTGACGCTGCTGAAGCTCGCCTCGCCAGCCCAGTACACAACACGCATCTCGCCAGTTTGCCTGGCATCCTCAAACGAGGCTCTGACTGAAGGCCTCACGTGTGTCACCACCGGCTGGGGTCGCCTCAGTGGCGTGGGTAGGGACTCAGGCCAAAGCTCAGGGTGGGAGGACTGGGGTGGGGACCAGTGTTCTGGGCCCCATGTGACCACCCCTCCTGGCCCACAGGCAATGTGACACCAGCACATCTGCAGCAGGTGGCTTTGCCCCTGGTCACTGTGAATCAGTGCCGGCAGTACTGGGGCTCAAGTATCACTGACTCCATGATCTGTGCAGGTGGCGCAGGTGCCTCCTCGTGCCAGGTAAGCCCCAGCACCCGCTCCTCTGCGCTGTCCTGTGGTATACCTCCCCAACCCCCCCTACTCAATTCTCCCTCCCTCTTCCCTCTCAGGGTGACTCCGGAGGCCCTCTTGTCTGCCAGAAGGGAAACACATGGGTGCTTATTGGTATTGTCTCCTGGGGCACCAAAAACTGCAATGTGCGCGCACCTGCTGTGTATACTCGAGTTAGCAAGTTCAGCACCTGGATCAACCAGGTCATAGCCTACAACTGAGCTCACCACAGGCCCTCCCCAGCTCAACCCATTAAAGACCCAGGCCCTGTCCCATCATGCATTCATGTCTGTCTTCCTGGCTCAGGAGAAAGAAGAGGCTGTTGAGGGTCCGACTCCCTACTTGGACTTCTGGCACAGAAGGGGCTGAGTGACTCCTTGAGTAGCAGTGGCTCTTCCTAGAGTAGCCATGCCGAGGCCGGGGCCCCCACCCCTCCTCCAGGGCAACCCCTTGGTCCTACAGCAAGAAGCCAGAACTGTTGGAATGAATGGCAGCCCTCCCTGGAGAGGCAGCCTGTTTACTGAATACAGAGGATACGTTTACAAACTGAATACGCATAATAAATAACTGCACATTCTCCATCCACAGGCCATGGCATGAAGGCCCAAGTGGGTCTATCAAAGGCCCACATCTCCAAACCCCCTGTCCTGCCCTCAGGACCAGGCCCACCCTGGGCAAGAGAGAACGTAAGCCCCAGGGCTTCAGGTCCCCAGAGACACTTGGGGAACTGGGGGGAAATTCTGAGGCCATGGGGCTTGGTTCTCCACTGCCTCCTGCCCAGGGGGCATTGGGGACGGTAGGAGGATGTGTCTAAGGCATAGTCGACTTGGCACAGAGTGGTCTCTTTAGTTTTGTTTCCCACTGGAGGTGGCACATGCAGGAAAAGGGCCTGGCCCAGGCTGCCGACCGGCAGAAGCTGAGTGGGAACCAAACCCTCCTGCAATGGCAGGGGCCCTGCCGTCAAGCTAAGGCCAAAGCTGGGCCCTGGCCCCATTCTACCCACTGAAGGCAGCTGTGGAGGAAGGGGCTTGGGTTCCAGCCTGGTTTGTGGTAGGGGGAGATACCACAAAAGAAATGGGGATGGTTCTGGCTCAGGCCTCTGGGAAAGCAGCCACCCAACCCCACCCACCTCCCGCAGGGGCTCCTTCCAGCTTGAGGCTCAGTGGGACCCAGACTGGAAGGTTAATGCTGTGAAGGGAAGCAGCACAGGGTGGACGGGGCAAGGCCAGCTGTGAGAAGGCAGTGCCCCTGGCACCCTGGTTTCAGAGGCAGGTCACACAGTATGGCTAAGTTCCAGGGAGGGGTGCGCAGAAGCTCAGCAGAAGGGGAGAGGTGAGCAGCCCGGGACCCTCCCCCAGGGCGGCAACTCCTACCTTCCCATGTCCTCATGGAGGACTACAGGTGTGCACCATGGGTGGGTGTGCACGATGGGCAGGTGTGCACGATGGGCGTGCAGTGATCACTCCCAGGCTGCCAACACCCATGCAGACACCAGATGGCGCCTTCGTGCAGCTGCAGAGGAGGGAGCAACAGAGCCTGAAGGGAAAAGGCAATGGGGCTGCACCAAAGGATAGAACCCAGGCTGACACTCGACCCTAATCGGGAGGACCCCCTTCCCTCTGCCTTGGCCCCCAGGTGCCCCATTCCCCAGGTAGCAGCAGTGGGGCTCCCTTTAACCACCCCCAGTTGGGAAGGAGGCACCTGGGGAATGGAATGGACATCCAACGGGGAGAGGGAGGTAGCGGTGGGCTCTACAAAGAAGGCACCAAGGGCGGTGGGCTGAGACCCCTCAGAATCTGGAGAGGCTGGAGCCTGGGCAAGCCGATGACCAGCATGGCCACACAGTCCAGAAGGGTGAAGGTCCACGCCATGGCCCTCCACCAGAGGTCCTGGGACCAGGAAGGCTCCCTGGAGGCACCATGAAGGAAGACAGATCTTGGCTGGGAGGTGGAGGGCTGTTTCGACCTAGCCAGGGGCTACGGGTCCAGTCAAGGCACAAGCTTTGTGCCTACCAGGGTCTCCCACTGGAGCATAATCTTAAGGATCAGGATGCATGGGAATGTGTGAAACCAGGGAGAAGGGCTCTGTGGAGGAAAGGGGGTCCCAGAAGTAACTGTCCCAAAGGGTCCTGAGGCCACAGGACACTCCACCCAGCACTGCAGTTCCCTTTGATTGGGGAAAAGTCAAAGGGCAAGGGAGACAGTGAAGGCCAGGTCCTATCCCTTCCCAACTCCACCAGAGCAGCTGCCCACCAAGAGGGGTATCAGTGCCAGGCCAGGCTCCCAGTTCAGGGGGAGTCACAGCCCCCTGTGCTACCTCTACTCTGTCACACCTGGCCCAGGCCCATGGTGAGGACAGGGGCTGCTGAAGGCACAGAGAAAGGGCTGGAGCCAGACATTCTTCACCTACTGTGGGCCACATAGGCCTATCTCCAGAGAGGGCATCGGACCCAGATGGCACCACAGTGTGTGGCCAGGCTGGGTCGTGCTGCATGTGTGCACAGCCAGGCGGCTCAGCCATTGTATTGCTGCTGGTAGCGCAGGTTGAGCTCCCGCAGCTCCCGTTCCCGCACACGGCGTGACTTATTGGAGCGTGTGGAGCGGCTGGAACGCGTGGACTGGGCAGATTTGGTGCTCTGGCAGCGCGAGGAGGCACGTTTAAGGAGGTTCTGGGATATGGAGCGGTGCAGGTTCTTCATGGATGAAGAGGCAGCCATGCTCACCACCCACGGGTGCCTCAGGGCCTGCAGTGCAGTCATACGGGCTCCAGGGTCCACTGTCAGCAGGCGGTCAATGAAGTCCTTGGCCAGGTTGGACACACTAGGCCAGGGCTAGAGACCAAGGACAAGCATTAGAGTGAGAGCATCTGACACTGCCCACCCCATCTGGATGAGGCCACTACTCAGCAACCCTCCCCTTTCCAGAGAGAGGTGCTGCCCCTCCTCTCATGTAGCACTTGGGGCCTCCCCGCCCAACGCTGGCTCAGGCTGAACAAGGGCTGCTCTCCAGGTGATGGAGTCTGGCAAGGAAGGAAAGGACCTGTGCACTCTCCCAGGGAGCAAATTCTATGGTGCACTGGACCCAAAGCCTGGCTCAGGGAGATGGCCTCTGCCAAGACCCCCCCGAACTTGTCCCAGGAGTATCATAACTCAGGGGACTGTTAGAGAATGATTCAAACTTTCCCACCACATCCTAAGTCAGATTGAAGCTCCAATCTCTGGATGACCAGGATCAGGCTACTTAAAGGGGAACTTCCTAGTCCTTACAGAGAAGATCCAACCTCTCTCCAACTGCCGAAGCAGTGGCAGAAGACCACTGCTCCCTGCCTCTGCCTCCCGGCATGGGGAGGAAAGGAAACAATTCAAGGCAACTAGATTTCCCAGTCGGCTGAGGGCAGGCGATCCCGGGACCAGGAAGGAACCAGGACCCTTCTCAGTGGCACCCTCTGGCCCGCATTACTTCTCTAAGCCACAAAGGGCTCCTGGCAGTGCTGTGCGCCAGCCTCATTTTAGTACATTCTGTCCCCTGGGAGGAACTCCATAAAGCCCACTCTGCCACATGCACCCCGGGCTGCCTCATCTCAGCCCCGAACCCAGCAGCTGTCTGTCTCAGGGCCTCAGGTTGTACGGCTGTCTTCACCTGACTGGATCCTCAGGTTCTCAGGGTAAAGGACACTTGCTCAGACTCCCTCTTAGCCCCCAGTGCTTCCAGCAATTATTCCAGCTGTAACGTGAGACTGCAATTTCATGTTCGTTTAGTATTCCCATGAGATCATGCTGAGCTGGATGAGCCCGTGCCTGGTGCTGCGCATACAGGAAGCACTCAGTAGGCACAGGCTCAGACAGTAAACAACCCACGGTGCTGCCGGATGGGTGCCCTTTCCTGGAGCTGCTTCCAGGCCTTGGGGCTCAGCCAGGTGAGTCCTTGCGTCCCTGCATCTCCTAGGAACACTTCTGGCACGGGCTCTGAGGCTCCCCCAAGGATAGGCAGCTAGGACCTTTCCTGAGCCTGCTGCAGATGACTCAACAGGGATGCTAACGATCCCCTCACTTTCCTTCCTGCCAGGTGAGGTCTGCCTGTTCCACCCATGGTACCCTTCACCACCCATGGTACCCTTCACCTTGAGGAACCCCTGAACATGCCCTCCAGGGGGTTCAGGAGGATCTGAGAGACCACCTTCAGGGCAGGTGCACAGCCATCTAGCAGACACACACACTCACTGACTACTGCTACTCCCAGTCTGGCTCGCCTGACCTCCAACTCTTTCCCTACCCCCTTCCCCACTGCCACAGAGGGATGAGGCAGGGAGAACACGCTTCCACCGTCCTGAGGAAGGCCTGGGGCTACCTGCAGCTGCTGTCTTCACCCACTCTTTGGAAGGTTATTCCAAGTTTTACTGAGCTGAAGTGGGAGCAACAGGGGAACCATATTCCCAAACACACCTAACAGGGTCATCCTCATCAGTGGGCCAGCAGCACCCAGTGACTCCTGGGGAGATGCTGGCCCCCAGGAGGAGGAAAGTCAGGGTCCAGGAGCATGCAGCCAACGAAGGCCCATAGATGCCTTACTATCCAAGGGCTGTGGGTGGGCGCAGAGAGCAACAGCCCTCCCCGACAGGCAGGTAAGTCTCCTGGGGGCTTGTGTAGTTCAAGATTCATATTGAGGGCCAGGCGTGGTGGCTCATGCCTGTAATCCCAGCACTTTGGGAGGCTGAGGCAGGTGGATCACAAGGTCATGAGATCAAGACCATCCTGGCCAACATGGTGAAACCCCGTCTCTACTAAAAATACAAAAATTAGTCGGGCGTGGTGGCGTGCCTGTAGTCCCAGCTACTCAGGAAGCTGAGGCAGGAGAATTGCTTGAACCTGAGAGGCGGAGGTTGCAGTGAGCCAAGATCGCACCACTGCACTCCAGCCTGGCAACAGAGCGAGACTCCGTCTCAAAAAAAAAAAAAAAATATTCATATTGAGGTATTAAGGCCAATATGCAGGGCAACTGGACTAGACAGCTGCCACAATAGCTTTTGGATCACAGCTCAAGAAAACCCCAAAAGCCAGGAGCAGTGGCTTCCGCCTATAATCCCAACACTCTGGGAGTCTGAGGCAGGAGGACTGCTTGAGCCCAAGAGTTCAAGATCACCCTGGGAAAGATGGTAAGACTCCGCCTCAAAGAAAAAAAAAAATTAATAAATTTTTTTTTAAAAAAGAAAGCTCCATGGTTGCCTCCTGAACACAAGGAACCACTACTGGGGGCAGCCAGTCCAGACCACAGACATTCACTGTAGCCCCCATCACCCACCGGAGAGACAGAAAGAAGCTTGATGGAGACAGCACACACACAGCTGAACAGAGTGGGTCAGGGGACACCTCTGCTGCCTGCTGGCCTTCTACAGTCTCCAGGAAGAGGAGGACTCACTAGGAAGCAGGCTGCAGCTCAGTCTGGCCTGTTGCTGGAACAGCCCCAAGACAGGGCTGACAGCCCAGGGTGTCCCAACAGGGCTGGGAAATGGATTCTGCCCCTGCCCCTTGGTCCAGCCAAGACAAAAGAGGGGCAACTCCCCTACAGAGGCCAGGAGCCTGAACATGGATGGACTGGAGGTTTCACCACTTCACATCCACACCCAGCGAAACCGTGGACCTGAAACTCCAAACCAGTCACCAGTGCAGTCTTGGAGGGGCCTCTCCCCAGACCAGCCCTATGGTCTTAAGTGTCTCCATCTTCAGAGTGGCACAGGCTCACACCAGCAGGCATCAACCCCTGCTGCTCATGGAGCGGCCGGCCTGTTAGTGCCAAAGCGAGCCAGATTGATCCCTCTCCCCGCTGCTCCCCAAGATTCTCGCCTCACCAATTACTGTGGGCATGTGGCTGTGCGCAGAATGCAGATGGACTCATTTGTCTGAGGGCTGGCCTGGCCTCTCTGGCAGGTCCCAGCTCTTCCCATCTTTGAAGAGCTGTGAGCAGCTAGGCCAGGTGGGTCCCCCAAGCCAAAGTGACTCAAGTCGTCCTGAACTGGTCCCCAGCCTAACCCTTGTACACAGAGGAAAGTCAGGCTGAACACAAGAAGGTGGTCCTCATCCAGCTGACAGTGAGGCAGGGGCTTAGGGTGACCTTCAGAATAGCAGCCTCTGGAAGCCCTGCTGAGGCCTCCCACAGGGCTTAGAAAAGTAAGGCTTTCCACACTCGCCCACAGCCAGGCTTCAGGCCTCACATCAACTCAGCACCTCCTAAGAAAGCACTCAACGCCAGCAGCCCAACCCACCTGCTTCCCCTGGAGCCACGTAAGTATGTGTGTCAGCCAAGGGCTGACTGGCTGGGAAGCATTCTAAGCAGGAGAAAAGGGAAAATGATGAATAGTCATGCTCTTCAGTCTCCACAACTCTGTTTGTTCTAGGTGAAGAACTGAACTCGTGCCTCAGTATACTTATTTGAGCCATACCAGGGACACACATGGCCTCAGTTGGCTGACAGATGGCACAGGTGCCAAGACCCACCTGGGCAGTCTCTGAGGCTTCCACCTGCTTCTGGGCCGACGTGGAGCACGAGGCACAGAGGGAAACACTAAGATGTCAGCTGGCTCTACGCCCAGACTCTCAGGTCTTCCCTTGCTCTGGGATCAGAGAACAGCTTCCATACCCAGGGTGACAGCCTCCACTCTCTCCTTTCCACAGTCTCTGGGCAAGTCAGTGGCTCACACCTCTAATCCCAGCACTTCGAGACACTGCTGCGTGAGTGAGGGCTGGGTCCTGCTTCAAGAGGAAGACAAGCAGGGGCTGTAGGAGGAGGGCATCACCTCTGCTCTGATTCTGACCATCAAGCTGGCTGCCTTCCTCCTGAGTCCATGGCCCTCAAAAGAGTCCTTTTCCCCTTGCAGTTAGGGTACCTGCTCCTGATGTTGGAACAGCAAAGATGCCAATAATGGGTATGGGAAGCGACCTCTTCCGTGAGCACCTCCTTACCAACTAGCCTTCCTCATCCCCCTACCCATGCTGGGCCAAAGCCACTCCTAGGCAGTGGAGTCCTACTCCCCCTGGAGAGGGAGAGGCAGCACAGCAGGAAGGGCTTTCCGCTCCCGCCTGAGGACCCCCCGCACCAACCCTTTTCGTTTGCTCTAGCTCTAATGTCTGGCACAAGGGCCTGGCATGAACACTACCCAAGCCACTGCCAGCGGTCTCACCTGGAGCCTAAGGGCTAATGAAACAAAGAACAGCGCCAGCTCTCTAGCAGAGGCTGCAGACAGAGGAGGAAGCTGCTTCTTTCTGGCAGCAAACACAGCTTACAGGGCGGCCCTAGACTTCCTCTGGCAGGCAGGGCTGCCTACTGGCAAGTGAGGCTGGGAGAGAAAGGCCCCTTGGTGTGTCTTCTGAGTGGCATCTGGGATACGTTAAAGGGTTAGATTGCAAGCCCAGCAACCTGAGTTCTAGTTCTACCTTCTCTGTCGGCCTTAGAGAAATCACACCGCCTTCACTTTTAACACGAGGAAGGGGCTGAATGTCATGAACTCTAAGTCCCTTCCAGTTTATAAACTCCTGGATTCCTTTTTCTCCACCTTTTCCTTCACGTGGCCACATGTGAAGCGCAGAGTTTAGCATTTAAGCTGACCTCTTGAGCCCTGGGTTCCTTATCTAACCAATGATGATTCTGGGGCAGGCTGGCTGACAGAGGAGGTGGCCCCACCACAGTGCTTCTAGAGAAGGGATGGGAAGGGAGGAAGAAGCCTGGGCTTTGCTACCATGACTCAGTTCTTCCCTCAGCTCTATTTCAAGATGTATTTTCAGACCCACTATTCCCACCTTCAAAGGCCTCCTTTCTGTACTTACGTGGGCCTGAATGAGAGCAGAGAAAAGGGCACAGAGGAAATTCTGGAAACAGAGCTTTGAGTTTACTCAGGAAAGCAGCATGACAACAAGAACGGCACCCTGTCATGCTGCCCACGACGAAGAGCATCAGCAGAATTAGACACTGTGTGGCAGCAGAGCCAGCATCCCCTCCTGTGGTCAAAAACCCATCATCCTGGTGCCTGGGCTTCCAGACCAGACAGAATCTACCACCCTGGGACTCGGCAGAGGGCGGGTGAGGGGCAAGCAACAGAAAAGGGAAGGGTGTGGGGGGAGAGAGCCTGAGGAGAGAAATAGAGGGAAGATAATGCAGTTTTAAAAACAAGTAGAGAATTAAAAAAAAAAAAGCAGAGAATAAAGATTAAAATGAGAAAAGGTGTGACAACTTAAAGGTTAGTAAAGCTGTGTTCTGAAACTTGAAATGGATAACAAAATGAAATCGTGTGCCCCCACCTGTCCCTGCCCAGAGCCAGAGTGGAGGGGAAGGAGAGGAGAGAGACAGGACACAACTCAAGATCGAGAAGGATGCTATTTGCTCGCTTTGCAATAGGCCTGTGCCACCAACATAGCGATGTCTGCTTTTAACAATGTCCTGGAGTAGCCCTGGAAGGTTCCAGATTTAGAAGCCTGCTGCAGCGTGATCTCTTTTATCTACACTCATCAAGGGTTCCGCTGAGGCCAAGTGGTTCCCAGGGCCCAGCCTGGTTTTTTGATTTTTGTTTTTGTTTTTTTTTTTAAGAGAGACAGAGTCTCACTCTGTCACCCAGGCTGGAGTGCAGTGGCGCGATGTGCAATCTCAGCTAACTGCAACTCCGCCTCCCAGGTTCAACCGATTCTCCTGCCTCGGCCTCCCAAGTAGATGGGACTACAGGTGCATGCCACCATGCCTGGTTAATTTTTTGTATTTTTAGTAGAGACGGTGTTTCACCGTGTTAGCCAGGATAGTCTTGATCTCCTGACCTCAAGATCTGCCCGCCTCGGCCTCCCAAAGTGCTGGGATACAGGCGTGAGCCACAGCACCTGGCATTATTTTTTTTTTCTTTTTTTGAGACGGAGTTTTGCTCTTGTTGCCCAGGCTGGAGTGCAATGGAACCATCTCACTGCAAACTCTACCTCCTGGGTTCAAGCAATTCTCCTGCCTCAGCCTCCCAAGTAGCTGGGATTACAGGCATGCACCACAATGCCCAGCTAATTTTGTATTTTTAGTAGAGATGAGGTTTCACCATGTTGGTCAGGTCGGTCTCAAACTCCTGATCTCAGATGCCACCCACCTTGGCCTCCCAAAGGGCTGAGATTACAGGTGTGAGCCACCGTGCCCAGCCTTTTTTTTTTTTTTTAACTTCCTCCCATCCTAATTTCTGAGGCAGTTTGGAGGCTCAGTGACTGTAACCATCTCATCCACACTGCAGTCTCTGTCCCTGGAACCCCAGGCTTAGGGCCAGTGGTAGGTCAATATGGGATGGAGGAAGAATGAAGAGATGAATGTGACTAAGCCTTCTGCTCCAAGCTGGCTGGGCCACAAGGGAGCAGAGCTCTCTGGGCACCACACATCTACCGAGGGACGTCAGGCACGATGGAGAAGGGTAACCTTGTGTGATGGGAGGACTGACTAGGGAAGGTGAGCTTGGAGAGGCACAGCCAGTGAGGATGGCTGGACCAGGTCACCATCAGCTATGCCATGCAATTGAGAGCCAGCCTCCACCTCAGTAGGTGTGGGAGGAGGATGAGCATGGGATGCTATGAGTGGATCTAAAGAGGTCAGGGCTGGGCACAGTGGCTCACGCCTTTAATCTCAGCACTTTGGGAGGCCGAGGCAGGAGGATCACTTGAGGCCAGGAGTTCAAGACCAGGCTAGGCAACATAGACCCTATCTCTACAAGAAACCTAAAAAATTAGCCCGGTGTGGTGGCCCACACCTGTAATCCCAGCTACTCGGAAGGCTGAGGCAGGAAGATGGTTTGGGCCCGGGAGTTTAAGGTTACAATGAACTATAATCACACTACTGCACTCCAACTCTTGTTCCTCTACAACAAGACCTTGTCTCTATTAAAAAATAATAATAAATAAATAAAGAGGTCAGAATGTGGGAGAGATACAGTCCAGCAGCTCCCAGAGGAACTTGAGGGCCCAGAAGCGACAGAGCCTGTGAAAGGCAGTGCTCTCCAGGTGGAGACAGACAATGAAAAGACAGGAGAGGGAGGGGATGGCTGACGCACCAGGGATGGCTCTGAGTGCAAGCCACCACACCCTGCTCTTTGTTGGCCAGGCCTCAAGGGCTGGAGGTGGAAAAAGTGATGAAAGGCAGCTGTGACCCAGGGTGACGTGATGCTATGGGTGGTCAGCAGGAACGGCTGAATGCAGCAGCGTGGCGGGTGGGTCTGCTCCTGCCACTACAGGGAAGTTGCTGCTTTCTGGGGTGTATGCAACCAGGGCAGCAGTGACAAAGGGAAACCTAGAGGACAGGGCTCTGGGGAGCCCAGTGGTGGCACAGAGGTGACACAAGATGGGGCTGCTGCTCTTCTCCACTCAGAGCTTCCTCTGGCCTCACATGGAGAGAGCTTCCTCTGCCTTCCTGCCAGAGGTCTCCAACCAAGGGCAGGTCCCCAGCCACAGTGACCAACTGAGGGTCCACTGCCTCCATCCAGTGGCCCAAACCATGCCACCTCCCAGTGACTAGTCAGGAATCCAGCCTGAGGGCATTGGCTCCTGCAGTGAAGGAGGGAGACTTAATCTGTTGAACACTTCGTGTTTTGGTGAAGTGGGGATGGCTTTTCCCAAGGGAACCTTCCTGGCCAGGTATGGGGGCATCTGATCATCCTCATGGGATCCTCACACACAGACAGCACAAGCATCCAGCACTTGACATGCAGCAGCCCCAGCAGGCTGGCAGGGAAGAAGGGCTTAGGGACAGATGCCTCATAGCAAAGAATTCTAAACTGATTTGTGTTTGCTCGTGCTGTCAGCTATTGAGACAGTCGTGGGAAAGCCATCCTCTGACTCTGGGAGCAGGGGTCAGTGAGAAGAGAGTTGAGCTGATGGGTCCATCACAGTCCCCACCCACACTGAAGGTGAGAAAAGTCAGGCAATTAAAGCATCCAGGAGAATCCAAGCATAAGCCAGGAAACACGCTCCCCGCTTCCCTGCCTCCACTCTGCCACCAGCATATACATTTGGTCTCCTGCTCTCCAGACACCCGGACAGCGCTCCCCATGACTCTGGGATGAGGTCCTATCCCTGCTCACATGGCTGCTCCTTGTGACATATGCGGGGAGATGAGGGGCAGGGAGGGAGACAGAAAGTCAGAGCATAGGACCAGGCTGCATAACCAAGCCCCGTCACCTAGAGAGCACTGAGACATGCCACATTCTCTGCATCTCATTTTATCTTCTACATCCCAAGGCATGTTAGAGTCACTTTAAGAAGTGGGGAGGTCGAGTGTGGTGGCTCACACCTGTAATCCCAGCACTTTGGGAGGCCAAGGCAGGCAGATCACCTGAGGTCAGGAGTTCCAGACCAGCCTGGCCAACGTGGTAAAACCCCGTCTCTACTAAAAATACAAAAATTAGCCAGGTGTGGTGGCTGGCACCTATAATCCCAGCTACTTGGGAGGCTGAGGCAGGAGAATTGCTTGAACCCAAAAGGTGGAGGCTTTGGTGAGCCGAGATCACACCACTGCACTCCAGCCTGGGCGACAGAGTAAGACTCCATCTCAAAAAAAAAAAAAAAAAGAACTACAGGTGGTCAAGCTCATTGCCCCTTCAGGTATACTTAGCCCCAGATCAATGTATGGTCAACCTGCAGACCAGACACCCAACCCTGGGAGGCCACCTCCCACCAGCCCTTGTCACCCAGGTAGCAGCAGAGTGGCTATGAAGGTGGGCTTCCTCTCCCAACAGTACTCTGTCCCCTGCCCAGCAGCACTCACAAGGCTCTGTGAGAAATTCTACCCAAGCCCACCTGTTCCTAGTACAGTCACCTGGGCTCACCCACAGCTCAGAGACTGGCCAAGCAGAGGAGGGTGATAATTCAGGATGCTGAATGCAGCAGACAGCAAAGCTCCTAATGGCATCACTCTAATATCAATCCTACAAGAGCCCCTTCATCCGTCCTGCCTCTAGGAATAGAACTCTTGACAAAAGCACTGACATCAAGGATGTCACATTTCATGTCAAGTGAATCACAGACTCTCTGCATTGGAGGACCCTGACAGTTCTCTAGCATGAGTCTGTAGCTGATGACTCACCTTCTGTGTCATCCTTTAGAAACAGCTCCTCCAGGCCTCCTGTGATAGGAAGCCGCCTCTCAAGGTGACTGTGTCCTCAAACTGCTCTCACATTCACACAGGCCTTCGCTACCTCTCCCAACCTGTGTCTCCCCACCACTTCCAGCATGCCCTCTCCACTCCAGCGTGCCCTCTCCACTCCAGTGCCTCTGGGTGCTGGGTAAACATTCAGATTTTTCCTTTCCAGTCATCTCCTCCTCAGCATTTACCCCTCTTCCAAGAGTCTTGTATTTGCCCTAAAAGTTGACAAGCACACACCAGCCCTGGGCCTTTAAATCCTCCCCCTGCCTGTGCCCACAGGCAGCTGTGGCCAGCAGCCCCCTAAGCGCATTGCCAGCAGGCTCTCTGCTTCCTCCTGGAGTCTGGCCCCTTGAGGGGAGCACTCCACTGGCTGCACAGCCTGTCTGCCTGCCAGCAGTCACATTTGGGACGCTTCCCAGGGCATCACCAATAGCCACTGGTGCTTCCCTCAGGAGAAGCCAAGAGAAAATTCCCCCACCAGTTATCACTTATAAATACTGCAGTTCAACCCAGCATACAGGTACCACTGTGCACTAAGCCTGGACACGACAGTGGACAGCATATGTATTGATGTACATGCTGTCCTCAAGGACCCTACAGGCTAGACAGGAGAGATGTGTCCACTGATCAGCAGCCAGAAAGCACTGAAACAAGAAACCAGCAACGTGCTGAGGCACACATACCAGGGAGAGCAGACTGCAGCACTAGACAGGCCAAGAACTCTGAAGCCAAGACAGCCTGGAATCAAATCCCAGATGTGCCACCCTCCAGTCGGGAGACCATGGCCAAGTTATGTAACCTCACCATCCTCAGTTTCCTCATCTGTAAGGTGGGGGATTACGTACCACCTGGCAGGGTTGTCATAGATTGGAGATGGGGGGTGTAGAACATTCAGCCCTGGGTCTGCTACTTAGTGGGCACCACACAATGGCAGTAGGCAGCATTATTTCTAAAGGAAACAACTAAGACCGATACTGGGAGCAGCGTGAACAGTTGAGGCAGAAGCTTGGTGTGGAGAGTGAATGGGGGCAATGGCTCAGGCCTGTGGTGTGCAGGGAGTGGGGTGGGGTCTAGGGCATGGGCTTCAGGCTGGGGGATCTGGAGTGCCAGGATGGTAGGCAGGACCCCACATGCTCTCCAGGTCAGAGGGTAGCCTGGAATCCTCTCCAAGTCTGCCCATACAAGCTGATGTCCCTCCTGCAGAGCTAGGACTCTGCTCCATACTCCTTCACCTCCTATACTGTGGCTTACATATGCCATGTGGATCCCACTCCCTGGGATCCCTGATCTGCCCCAAACATCCCCAGGAGGACAGGATGGAATTATTCCAGTAGCCTCCAGCTAGCCTTCCTCCTGCCAGGCTCCATTCCCACTTTCTGCTGCCTTCCTCCTCCATTACCCAGAACCCAGAGGGCTCCTCCCACAGTGCAGAGGGCTCCCAACAACAAACACCAGACCTGCCCCAGCCTCTTCAACCTCTGCTCTGTCACTCCCAATCTCCTGTTTATTCTGGAGCACTCAGCAATGCTCCCTTCTCTGGGCCTCCTCCTTCTCAAAACTCATCTTCTGCAGGAAGCTTTCTATTCAAGTCCATGGATGCCACTGAGCCTGACAGAGGACTGGGGCTGCATGGACAGAGCTTGCAGGAAATAGGCACACCAGACCCGGCCTGGTGTACAGGGGAGAGCACTCTATGGGGTCAGGGAACAGGAAAGGTGCCCCTAGAAAGGCACCAAGCACCACGAGACACTCGCTGGTGAAGAATGCATACCTCCAAACGCTGCTGCGTCAGAGGTCCTTCATTCACACAGCAACAACCCCCTCATCATGGAACACTCTCTCTCTCACAGGTTATCCTGGCAGAGGCTTGCTCACTTACATGGCCTTCCTAATGGCAAACACCTATTACACATATAGGACAGATGGCTGGAGTGGGTGGGGTCAGGGCCCAACCACCTGACCTGAGCACCATAGTCCATGTTCCAGACTGCCCAGGCCCAGTGGCTCTATGCCAAGGCCTGTGTTCACATGTGTCTGCCAATGCGGGTTCATTCTATGGCCATTCCCTATTCTAGTTCCTTCTCCCCAGGCAATCTCAACCTCTAGGGATAGGAAGAACAGGCCTTCACGTCTCTTGCATTTTCCCCAGGTGTGAGCAGGTGTGCTTGTGGGTGGGCAGTGGCCAGGAGAACAACAATAACAAAAAATGCCTGTCCTAGTGTCCTGGGATAGAGCTATAAAAGCATGCCAGGTTGCTGGCAGGAGCTTGAAGGAGGTGCTGCCTCTGCTTACCAGGAGACCGTCTAGCTGTGAAGTGAGTGGCTGGAAGGAGTGATTGCTGGGTCCCATTCTAGCGATGTCTGTCCTCACCTCCATGCAGAAAAGTAAAGAGAAACCAGGGCTCTGCCAGGGAGTGGCAGAGGCTGGTACTTCTCAGACTCCTGATGTTTATGCACATCCCCTGGAATCTCATTAAAATGTAGATTCTGATTCAACAGGTTTTGTGGGGCCTGAGGGTCTGCTGGATGTTCTCCAGCTGAGAGAGCCTGATCTCATGATAAGGACCCCTCCCCCAGGAAATGTCCCAGACGGATCCCTCCCAACCCAGAGCTCTCCACAGCGGGTGATAGAATCTGATTTTTGGGGTCAGGCAAGCTCCTGGTCACAGATAAGGGCCACCAGAACCTGCCAGGATTTGCCTCTGGAGCTGGAAACTGATGCTTTTCAGCTCCAGGTAAAGGGTAGTGGGAGCAAAGGCTGAGCAGTGCCTCTCCAACACACACACACACACACACACACACACACACACTCTCTCTCTCTCTCACTCACTCACTCATTCACTCACTCATTCACTGTGAGCTGCAGAGTCCTGCCCTGTGATTCCAGCAGAAGAACAACAGAATCTAAGGACCCAGTCTTTCGGCTACAGTAGGAGCGGGCAGGAACCCACTCCCCACCCCATTCGTCATTTTCCAACCCTCAGGTAATCAATAGCCAGTTAGCAAGACTGTGCAAGCTCCAATTAGATTAGCTGCCAGGTCAACGACTGCCAGAATCAGGAACTCAGGCAAACCTACAGGCTTGTAGCAGAGTCCTTCCTCTGTCAGCGTATCTTGGGAAATCTCTCTCCCTCACTCCTGGGCTAAGTTCAATGCCCCCTCTGCCAGCTGGACCCTCAACAGCCTGGCACCATGCAGTGCTCCCAGAACACAATCAGCTTCTCAAGCTTCAGACATTCCCAGATCTATCTTAAAATTTCAGTTTCACCGGGTGCGGTGGCTCACGCCTGTAATCCTAGCACTTTGGGAAGCTGAGGCGGGCAGATCACCTGAGGTCAGGAGTTTAAGATCAGCCTAGCCAATATGCCGAAACCCCGTCTCTACTAAAATACAAAAATTAGCCGGGCATGGTGGCACACTCCTGTAATCCCAGCTACTCGGGAGGCTGAGGCAGGAGAATCGCTGGAACCTGGGAGGTGGAGGCTGCAGTGAGCTGAGATCGTGCCACTGCACTCCAGCCTGGGCGACAGAGCGAGACTCCATCTCAAAGAAAAAAAAAAAATTCAGACCGGACACAGTGGCTCACGCCTGTAATCCCACCACTTTGGGAGGCTGAGGCAGGCGGATCACCTGAGGTTGGGAGTTCGAGACCAGCCTGACCAACAAGAAGAAACCCCATCTCTACTAAAAATACAAAATTAGATATCTGGGCATGGTGGCGCATGCCTGTAATCCCAGCTACTTGGGAGGCCGAGGCAGGAGAATCGCTTGAACCCAGGAGGCGTAGGTTGCAGTGAGCCAAGATCGCCCCATTGCACTCCAGCCTGGGCAACAAGAGCGAAACTCCATCTCAAAAAAAAAAAAATTCAGTTTCAGCTACAACTTCACGTGGTTCTCCAGAGCCTGCTATTAGGACAACTGAACTTCCCAAGTACCCTGCAGGGTCCTCTGACGGACCACAGCTATATATGAACCTGTCCCTCAGGCCATTGCCCCCAGGCCTGCCTCCTGCTTTCTCCCTCCTATACTTCTGTAGCTATCATTCCCTTTTTCTTGGTCTGACTCCTCACAGCCATGCTCCAAATTCCAGGTTCCCTCTTCTCTAAGACTGTCCCTCACCACCCCAGCCCACTTTTAAGGCACCTGCCTAAAAAACCTGCTCCTAAAGCATGTTCTTATAGGTCAGTGTTATCAACACCACCTGGTGTTTATTAGAAATGCAGACCCTCAGGCCCTACCTAGACCTATTAAATCAGAATCTACATTTTAACGAGATTCCAGGGGATGTGTATGAACATCAGGAGTCTGAGAAGTACCAGCCTCTGCCACTCCCTGGCAGGGCTCTGGTTTCTCTTTACTTTTCTGCATGGAGGTGAGGACAGACATCGCTAGAATGGGACCCAGCAATCACTCCTTCCAGCCACTCACTTCACAGCTAGACGGTCTCCTGGTAAGCAGAGGCAGCACCTCCTTCAAGCTCCTGCCAGCAACCTGGCATGCTTTTATAGCTCTATCCCAGAACACCAGGACAGGCTTTTTAAAAAAAAAAATTTTTTTTAAGACAGGGTCTTGGCCAGGTGTGGTGGCTCACATCTGTAACCCCAGCACTTTGGGAGGCCAAGGCAGGCAGATCACCTGAGGTCAGGAGTTTGAGACCAGCCTGGCCAACATGGTGAAACCCCATCTCTACTAAAAATACAAAACATTAGCCGTGCGTGGTGGCGCATGCCTGTAGTCCCAGCTACTCGGGAGGCTGAGGCGGGAGAATCACTTGAACCTGAGAGGCGGAAGCTGCAGTGAGCCAAGATCGCACCCCTGCACTCCAGCCTGGGTAACAGGGCAAGACTCCGTCTTCACACAGGCTGGAGTGCAGTGGCACATTCACAGCTCCCTGCAACCTTGAACTCCTGGGCTCAAGTGATCCTCCCACCTCAGCCTCCTGAGTAGCTGGGACTACAGGCATGTGCCCACACCTGGCTAAAAAAAATTTTTTTTAAGAGATGGGGTCTCGCTATGTTGCCCAGGCTGGTCTCAAACTCCTGGCTTCAGGTGATCCTCCTGCCTCAGCCTCCCAAACTGTGCTGAGATTACAAATGTGAGCCACCATGCCCAGCCTGGGAGAGGATTTCTTTTTTTTTGTTTCTTTTTTTGAGACAGAGTTTCGCTCTTGTTGCCCAGGCTGAAGTGCAATGGCACAATCTCGGCTCACTGCAACCTCTGCCTCATGGGTTCAAGTGATTCTCCTGCCTCAGCCTCCCGAGTAGCTGGGATTACAGGCATGTGCCACCACGCCCGGCTAATTTTGCATTTTTAGTAGAGACGGGGTTTCACCATGTTGGTCAGGCTGGTCTCGAACTCCCAACCTCAGGTGATCTGCCCACCTTGGCCTCCCAAAGTGCTGGGATTACAGGCGTGAGCCACCGTACCCGGCTGGGAGAGGATTTCTTATTGCCAGTTTATAGCCACAGATTGTGCCAACCTGATGGCCAATCCATATCTGAGAACCAAGTAAACATCAAGGCATTGCCCCAACGTTACTGAGGGGATCATCATCAGGATAAAGGGGCTTGTCTTTAAATTGTTCCCTCTATCACCACCTGTGCCTGCTCCTCTCACTCTTCCCAGTGCCTTCCATAGACACCAAAAGCTCACACTTGCCATGATGATGCTGGGAACCAAACCCAAAGCTTTATCTGAGCCTTGAGTCAAATCTAATTAGACTGGAATGGTCCCGAGTGTAACAGTTAATTCACTGTTGGGCACTCCTGACTTTTAACTGAGTATAAGGGACTATTCTCTGGCTTCCCAGGCTCTCATTCAGTACCAGTATGGTCCCATTTACTGCTCAGTGCTATAAGCATGTGACAGCCAGATTTTCTGCAGAACCCACCTGTCCACATAAAATCTGAGAATGACAGTGGGCCAGGACTGAGTTCTCCACAAGGCTGACCACTCTGCAGTAAGCATCTAGTGGTCTACAGTGGCCCCTTCACCCCTAGGCCCACAGATCCCAGTTACTGGTATAAATCTTCACCACCTGCCTGACTCCTACGCAACGATCTCCTAAGAGTGGTACAAACAGATACCCTCCCTTGTGCCTGTGACAGAGTCAGCCTCAGGAGGAAAGCTTCCCTCCCTTCCTTGTGCCACCTTTGAGAGGCATGACATGGGGATGCCCCTAGAGAATGCCAGCCCCCTCCCCAGCAGGAGGAAGTCCCCGATGGACCCCATAGCCACATCCAGAAGCTGTCAGGGAAGGTGATACAGCACAGGACCTCAAGTGCTAAAGGCAAAGTAAGTGGTGTGAGGCTGTTGGGTGACTCTTTTTTTTTGGGGGGGACAGAGTTTCACTCTTTTTGCCCAGGCTGGAGTGCAATGGCACAATCTTGGCTTACTGCAACCTCTGTCTACTGGGTTTAGGTGATTCTCTTGCCTCAGCCTCCCGAGTAGCTGGGATTATAGGTGCCCGCTGCCACACCCGGCTAATTTTGTGTTTTTAGTAAAGAGGAGGTTTCACCATGTTGGCCAGGCTGGTCTTGAACTCCTGACTTCCAGTAATCCACCTGTCTCGGCCTCCCAAAGTGCTGGGATTACAGGCGTGAGCCACCGCACCTGGCCAGCTGTTGGGTGACTCTTGAAGGAAATGCTGGCTGGGGCCAGAAAAGGCCCAGCCCACACCCCTGGGAGGAAAGCTGGGCCACAGAAGGAAGCTGCTTCCAGAGCTCCTTCCCCTCCACAGAAGATTTACAAGAGGCATGGATAGCACCTCAGCAGGTCCATATCTGAAGGAAACACCCTATGGGGAGCCCCCTAGAAGAGGGGGTTCTCACTGCCTTGGCAAAATCTTGTCATCCTGCCAAGCTCACCTCCCTCCCACATAAAGCCGACACAGACTCTCTTCTTCACAGCCTTCCCAGCACACCACTAGGCTCCAGCTGCCATGCTTGCTGCTTCCTGCAGTCAGCCTTGTCTTTTACCCAGTCAGCATCCTTCCTAAGGACCAACCAGCCCTCACTTTTTCTGTACCTTCCATCAGCTCCCAACAGTGCTGAAACCTCACACATTTTTGGAGGCATCAGGACTATCAATGGATCCAAAGACACAAACTGACAGCCTGGCGGTTGAATGTGACCTGCAGGTTAGTGTTTGCTGGCGCACAAGAAGCTGCTTAAATATGTGAATCAGAATATTCTAACATTTTAAGATTAGATTTTCTGGCCAGGTGCAGTGGCTCACGCCTGTAATCCCAGCACTTTGGGAGGCCAAGGCCGGCGGATGACCTGAGGTCTGGAGTTCGAGACCAGGCTGGCCAACGTCGCGAAACCTCATCTCTACTAAAAATACAAAAATTAGCTGGGGGAGGTGATGCGGGCCTGTAATCCCAGGTCTGTAATCCCAGCCACTTGGGAGGCTGAGGCAGGAGAATCACTTGGACCCATGAGGTGGAGACTGCAATGAGCCAAGATTGTGCCACTGAACTCCAGCCTGGGCAACAGAGCAAGACTCCATCTCAAAAAATAAAAGATCAGATTTTCTGGTTTCTCTTCTAAAAAAAAATCAGATCTGGACACACGAGGTCCTCATTGTGTGGTGAAACTGGACAGTGATGAGAAGCTGCTCTCTGAGATGGGCATGTTCAGTCTAGCTTGGCTGGGGCCCCACAGAGCAGATGCTGGGAAGGCCCTGCCCACATCCTCTCAGCCCACCCCCTGAGCTCATCTGCAGCTGTGGCACACTGCTTGGTGCCTGGCAACAGCTTCCCACCGCCAGTGCCTGCATCTCTCTGCTTCTCTGCCTGAAGACTTTCTCTAGCACTAGTTGGTATCAGGACAGCCCAGAAGCACCAGAGATTTAGTGTCCTCAAAGAAATTCTCAACCCATGAAGTACAGGAGTCAGTGGATTAAAAAAAAAACAAAACAAAAAGAAACTCACGTTCCTGCTCTTTGGTGGTACAACTATGAGGCACATTCCACATGGTTATTACCAAGGTTCCCAGTGGCCCACAGTGGCAGTCCATTTCTCAATATACTCTACTGACTTTCTCCCTTCCTGCCTCACTTTTCCCACTCCTTCACTTTTAGTTACTCAAATCACATCCCAAATAAACTATCTGCTCCCAAGTCCTTGTCTCAGGGCTCACCTTGAGGGAACCCAAACTACATTCTGATAGTCTCACTTTGTCCCTTTTATATGACCTGCCTGGCCCTCACGAGCATGGCCCTGAGGACATACCTCTGACTGAGAGCTGCAGGATATACCTGCCCCCGCAGGTGCCTCCCCAACATCCAGGACAGGGGCAGGACAGACTCACCTCCCCAGAGTAACTGTACTTGCCCCTGAGGATCTGCCGGTACAGCCGGGTACGGTTGTCATCCTCAAACGGCATGGTGCCACTGAGTAGGATGTAGGCAATGACGCCCAGCGCCCACATGTCCACTGAGTTGGTGTATGGCTTGCGGACCAGGACTTCTGGGGCAATGTACTCAGGCGTGCCACAGGTGGTCTTCATCAAGCAGTCATCACCCTTCTTGCGAGCACTGGCCAGGCCGAAGTCGGTGATGATGATCTTGGAGTCAGTGCCCGGATGGTAGTAGAGCAGATTCTCAGGTTTGAGGTCTCGGTGTGTGATGCCCAGTGCATGCAGATACCGGACGCCATCCAGCACCATCTGCAGCACCCGCGTGGCGTCACGCTCGGTGAAGGAGCCCTTGGCAATGATGCGGTCAAAGAGCTCTCCACCAGTGGCCAGCTCCATCACCATGTACACCCGCTCCTGTGTCTCGAACACCTCCACCAGCTGGATGATGTTGGCATGACGCACCCGACGCAGCACACGCAGCTCCGACTCACACACCTCCCGCCCCTCCCGGTACTTGGTCTCAATCATCTTGATGGCATACGGCTGCCGGGTTGCCCGGTGCTCTACACGTACCACTCGGCTGAAGCTGCCTCGGCCAATTAGGGCCTTGATGTCATACTTAGCTGTAACACGTGGGTCAAACTTGGCCCTGTACTTAGCTACCCTGGCCCTGCGTGGTGGTTCTGAGGGAGGCTCCGTGTGGCCAGCAGTCGGGGGACCGGGGCAGGGGTGTGCATACTGACTTGCTGCTGGGAACCCGGCTTTGACAGGGCCAACACTGTCCACCTCTGTGATGAAGTGCTTGTACACGTCACTCTTAGTGCCACTGAAGGGCTCCACCTTCTTGACCAGATCCAGCTGGACATCCTTGGGTGGCTCGGGAAGGACCTTGCTTGTCCCACAGCCCATCACGGACACGAGGGCATCCTCTCCAGCGAGGCTGGCAGGACCTGCTCTGAAGGCAGTGCCCCGTCTACACCTACACACAAAGAGAGAACAAGTCAGCACAGCCAGGCCAACTCTAAGGAAATCAGCCATCCTCCTCAGCCCTCCCTCTCCAGAAACTCAGTCTCATTAAAACCAAACTCCTGGCCAGGCGTGATGGCTCACACCTGTAATCCCAACACCTTGGGAAGCTGAGGCAGGTGGATTACCTGAGGTCAGGAGTTCAAGACCAGCTGGCCAACATGGTGAAAACCCATCTCTACTAAAAATACAAAAATTAGCCAGGCGTGGTGGCACACATCTGTAATCCCACCTACTCGGGAGGCTGAGGCACAAGAATCGATTGAACCCAGGAGGCGGAGGCTGCAGTGAGCTGAGATTGCACCACTGCACTCCAGCCTGGGTGACAGAGTAAGACTCTGTCTCAAACAAACAAACAAAAAACTGAAGTCCTGGCTCTCATTTATTTCCCTGGTCGGGAGTATGGCTTTGCTGTTCAAGAGCCCAGACTCAACACAGGGTCTAGCTGAAAAGATGGCCCGAGCTTCACGGCTTTGACTCATCTCCCTGGGCCTCAGTCTCATGCTGCTCTTCAACCCTGAGAGGGGGCAGGAACACGCATAGCCTCAGCTGTCAGGGCGCCCACCCTCCTCACTCCTCTGCCTGGGCCCCTTATCCTAGCCGAAGGCCCATGTTTCTAAAATGTTAAAATCATTCCTCTTATTACTCTTGACTCATCTTTTCTGAAATGGGGGTGTGAAGTGTTGGAGGCCTGCTCTCTAACACCATCACCCACCAGGGCTCAGAAAGCTGCTTCTCCAAGGCCTCCTTCATGCATATCTTTCCCAGCCCTTTAGGCTTCCTACAGGGGTTGGTCCCTCTGTAACAAGCAACAAACCACTTCCCTGGGGCTCTCCCTCATTCTCCTGGAAGGCTTCCACTCCTTTGCTAATGCACTGTCCCCACCCTGGCAGTTTAACTCCCTATTCCAGGGTCTCTCACTTCCCCAGCACACTACATGGATGGCTGAAATCCCACACAAGGCCCAGAGCTGCTGGAATCAACCCCAGTGAACTTGGGACCACAAGCCTCAGCACACTGCCACCAAGTGACTGCAAAACTCGCCTGGTCTTCATTCAAGAGTCAGAGGCGGGGCCGGGCACAGTGGCTCATGCCTGTAATCCCATCACTTTGGAAGGCCGAGGCGGGCAGATCACCTGAGGTCAGGAGTTTGAGATCAGCCTGGCCAATATGGTGAAACCCCATTTCTACTACAAGTACAAAAATTAGCTGGGTGTGGTGGTGGGCGCCTGTAATCCCAGCCACTTGGGGGGCTGAGGCAGAAGAATTGCTTGAACCCGGGAGGCAGAGGTTGCTGTGAGCTGACACTGCGCCACCCCACTCCAGCCTGGACAAAAGAGTGAGACTCCATGTCAAAAAAAAAAAGAGTTGGCCAGGCGCGGTGGCTCAGGTCTGTAACCTCAGCACTTTGGGAGACCGAGGCGGGCGGATCACAAGGTCAGGAGATCGAGACTATCCTGGCTAACACAGTGAAACCCCATCTCTACTAAAAATACAAAAAATTAGCCGGGCGTGGTGGCAGGCGCCTGTAGTCCCAGCTACTCGGGAGGCTGAGGCAGGAGAATGGCGTGAACCCGGGAGGCGGAGCTTGCAGTGAGCCGAGATCCTGCCACTGCACTCCAGCCTGGGCAACAGAGTGAGACTCCGTCTCAAAAAAAAAAAAGAGTCAGAGGGGCTTGAGCTCAGAGAGGACACTGGCAGTTTCACCCAGATTTAACTCAGGATGAAGATCAGGGTATCTTGCTTCCTTATGATGGGGATCCAGGGTCCCTTCCAGTTTGATTCCCAGACAGAGATGTTCCAACCATGAACTAAATACCCTGGGGCTGGTGGGGCCCTGGACAAGGTGCAGTGCTGAAGTTACTGCTTCCAGAGGTCACCACCTTTCTAATGAGAGGGCTCTTCTCTATGTCTGAGGACCCCAAGGGTTGAAGAGAGATAAGGATTTCCTATTAATTATGACACACAGGCTGGGCCCGGTAGCTCACACCTGTAATCCCAGCACTTTGGGAGGCCGAGGTGGGCGGATCACTTGAGGTCAGGAGTTCAAGACCAGTCTGGCCAACATGGTGAAACTCCATCTCTACTAAAAATACAAAAACATTAGCCGGGCATGGTGATGCACACCTGTAACCCCAGCTACTTGGGAGGCTGAGGCAGAAGAGTCACTTGAACCTGGTGGAGGTTGCAGTGAGCCAAGATTGTGCCACTGCACTCCAGCCTGGGCAACAGAGATCTGTCTTAAAAGAAAAAAAAAAAAAGGCTGGGCGCGGAGGCTCACGCCTGTAATCCTAGCACTTTGGGAGGCCAAGGCGGGTGGATCACCAGAGGTCGGGAGTTCGAGACCAGCCAGGCCAACATGGTGAAACCCTGTCTCTACTAAAAATACAAAATTAGCCGGGCTTGGTGGCACATGCCTGTAATCCCAGCTACTTGGGAGGCTGAGGCAGAAGAATTGTTTGAACCCGGGAGGCGGAGGTTAGAGTAGCCGAGATCGCGTGATTGCACTCCAGCCTGGGCAACAAGAGTGAAACTCTGTCTCAAAAAGAAAAAAAAAAATTATGACAAATAGAACTGGAAGAGAAATGAACAATTCAGATAAAACATTTATTATTAAATATCTAGTAGATACCAGGGGCACAGGAATAAATAAAACATGGTCCAAGGTAGGTTATATTTTAACACACACACACACAAACAAGTAGAACATGGTCAATAAACTCACAATCTAAATAAAGAGAAAAGCATAAAAACAAATAATTTTGTTTTTCTTTTTTTGAGATGGAGTCTCCTTCACCCAGGCTGGAGTGCACTGGCACGACCTCAGCTAACTGCAGCCTCTGCCTCCCGGGTTCAAGCGATTCTCATGCCTCAGCCTCCCAAGTAGCTGGGATTACAGGCACCTGCCACCTCGCCTGGGTGATTTTTGTATTTTTAGTAGAGAGAAAGGGTTTCATGTTGGCCAGGCTGGTCTCCAACTCCTGACCTCAAGTGATCCGCCAGCTTTGGCCACCTAAAGTGCTGGGATAACAGGTGTGAGCCACTGTGCCCAGCCAAAAACATAATTTCAGTATAACATGGTTAAGTGTTAAGCTTAAGAACCAATAGTATATAATGTAGAGTGAAGTCGGGGTTAGGAAAACCTTCCTGAAGGAGGTAACCTCTATGCTGAATTTTGAAGCAAGAATGAGTCAGATGAGGAAAGGTGGGAATGGTGTTTCAGGGAGAGAGAATAACACACTGCAAAGGCTCAGAAACCCAGAGTAACATCCTGCATCTAGGAATGGGCAGTTTGGTGGTACAAAGGCAGGGATGTGGAGATGAAGTTATAGAAGGTCAGCAGAAGGTGGTTATGGAGAGCAACACAAGTGAGGACCAGGACCTTCCTGGGAAGTGAAGGAGAGCTACGAAAGGGTTTACAAGAAAAGAGGCATTCAGATCTGTGTTTAGAGAGAAGGATGAGGTTGACCTGAAGGAGGGTCAAAGTGGATTAAAAGGGCCAGTAAGAGCTGGGCACAGTGGCTCATGCCTGTAATCCCAGCACTTTGGGAGGCCGAGGCGGGTGGATCATGAGGTCAGGAGATCGAGACCATCCTGGCTAACACAGTGAAACCCCGTCTCCACTAAAAATACAAAAAATTAGCCGGACGTGGTGGTGGGTGCCTGTAGTCTCAGCTACTCGGGAGGCTGAGGCAGGAGAATGGCGTGAATGCGGGAGGCAGAGGTTGCAGTGAGCAGACATCACGCCACTGCACTCTAGCCTGGGCGACAGAGCGAGACTTTGTCTCAAAAAAAAAAAAAAAAAAAAAAATTAAAAAAGGACCAGTAAGAGTGTGGTGTCCCATTGGCCAGGTGTGGCCATCCCAGCACCGGGAGTAATCCCAGCTCTTTGGGAGGCTGAGGTGGGGGGATAGCTTGAGTGCAGGAGTTTGAGACTAGCCTGGACAACACAGTGAGACCCTGTCCCTACAAGATTAAAAAATTAGCTGGGTAGGCCAGGCACGGCAGCTCACGCCTGTAATCCTAGCACTTTGGGAGGCTGAGGCAGGCGAATCACCTGAGGTAGGGAGTTTGAGACCAGCCTGACCAACATGGAGAAACCCTGTCTCTACTAAAAATACAAAAATTAGGCGGGGCGCGGTGGCTCATGCCTGTAATCCCAGCACTATGGGAGGCCGAGGTGGGCGGATCACAAGGTCAGGAGTTCGAGACCAGTCTGGCCAATATGGTAAAACCCCATCTCTACCAAAAAAATACAAAAATATTAGTCGGGCGTGGTGGCGCATGCCTGTAATCCCAGCTACTCAGGAGGCTGAGGCAGAATTACTTGGACCCAGGAGGCAGAGGTTGCAGCGAGCCACCAAGATCGCGCCACTGCACTCCAGCCTGGGTGACAGAGTGAGACTCAGTCTCAAAAAATATATAAAAAATACAAATACAAATACAAAAATTAGCCAGGCATTGTGGCAGGCGCCTGTAATCTCAGCTAATCTGGAGGCTGAGGCAGGAGAATTGTTTGAACCTGGGAGGCATAGGTTGCAGTGAGCCAAGATCATGCCACTGCATTCCAGCCTGGGCAACAGAGCAAGACTCCGTCTCAAAAAAAAAAAAAAAAATCAGCTGGGTATGATGGTATGCACCTGTAGTCCCAGTTACTTTGGAGGCCAAGGCAGGAGGACTGCTTGAGCCCAAGAGATCAAGGCTGCAGTGAGCGATAATCACACCACTACACTCCAGCCTGGGTGACAGAGAAAGACCCTGTTTCAAAAAGGAAAAAAAAAAAAAAAAAAAAGAGTGTAGTGCCCCAAGCAGTGGAGTGGAATCGAGAGCTATCAGCAGCAGAACTTCCATGTTGGGTGGAAGGAAGAATGAGGACAGCACCCCGTCCCTTGCACAGCTCAGCGGCAAGTGGTCAGGAGTGTAGCAAGAAGCACAGATTTGGGAAGCAGTGGAAAGAGTTCAGTTTTGGATGTGTGGGGTGCATGTAGACCATCCATGTGACATTTACTGTGGGTTACTAGATACAGAATCTGATGTCTGGGGAGGCTGAGACAGGAGAATCGCTTAAACCTGGGAGGCGGAGGTTGCAGTGAGCTGAGACTGTGCCACTGCACTCCAGCCTGGGCAAAAGAGCAAGACTCCATCTCAAAAAGAGAGAGAGAGGAAAAAATGAGGTTTATCTATGGGGCATAGTGGCTCATGCCTGTAATCCCAGCACTTTGGGAGGCCAAGGCGTGAGGACTACTTGAGTCCAGGAGTTCAAGACCAGCCTGGGCAACACAGAAAGACCCTATCTCTGCCAAACATTTTTTAAATTGAGTCAGACATGGTGGCATGTGCCTGTGATCCCAGCTACTTAGGAGGCTAGGGTGGGAGGATCTGCTTCAGTCCAAGAGGTTGAGGTTGCAGTGAGCGGTGATGGTACCACTATATTCCAGCCTGGGAGACAGAAATCCTGTCTGAAAAACAAAGCAAAACCAAACCAAACCAAAAAAAAATATTGTTTATTTTTCTTCACATAAGAGGAAAAGATTCCTCCACAAGGCTCTTCAGGATTTGCAGCTGTTCTCACCCAAATGCACAGGAAGTTCCACATGGCAACTAGGAAATAATGTTAAACAAAGGCATTTAGAACCAAGGTTCCTTTTCGCAGAGGCCACAGGATAGAACTACGGACTGTGGAATTTTGCAGACTTATTTCTTCTTTCAGGGAAAACACAACACCTCATGCAGTGAAGGACTGAAGCTCCTCTTGGGCTGGTATTCCTGAGGCAGAACACAGGTCCCTCACCCCGATGCCCACGACCACTCAGTAACAACATCTACCACCATTCGGAGGCAAGACAAACTGCATGAGTAACCCAGCACAGCCACTCAGATGTCACTTCTTCCTGGTGAAGAAGCAGAACCCTAGATTCACAAAATAAACAGTCATCTACAGGCACATGTACTGGGTATTTTTGTTTAAATTTTTGTTTAAATGAGGACCTAGTCTGGTCCTCAGGGAAAAACCTAAGGTTTATAAAAGAAAAGGCCTGGCTGGGCGCAGTGGCTCAGGCCTGTAATCCCAGCACTTTGGGAGGCTGAGGTGGGCGGATCACAAGGTCAAGAGTTTGAGACCAGCCTGACCAACATGGGTGAAACCCCGTCTCTACTAAAAATACAAAAATTAGCCCCGGACGTGATGGCACGCGCCTGTAATCCCAGCTGCTCAGGAGGCTGAGGTAGGAGAATCGCTTGAACCAGGGAGGCTGCAGTGAGCCGAGATCGCACCACTGTACTCCAGCCTGGGTGAGAGATCGAGACTGTCTCAAAAAAACAAAAAACAAAAGGTCTAACTTTTCGATTCATTTTTATTTCTTTTTTTTTTTTTGAGATGGAGTCTCGCTTTATCACCTAAGTTGGCGTGCAGTGGCACGATCTCAGCTCACTGCAACCTCCACTTCCCAGGTTCAAACAATTCTCGTGCCTCAGCCTCCCAAGTAGCTGGGACTACAGGCATGTGCCACCATGCTTGGTTAATTTTTGTATTTTTAGTAGAGACAGGGTTACAACACATTGGCCAGACTGGTCTTAAACTCCTGGCCTCAAGTGATCCGCCCACCTCCGCCTCCTAAAGTGTTGGAATTACAGGTGTGAGCCACTGCACCCGGCCTCACTTTTCACTTTAAACAAATAAAACCTACAGGGATCAAAGGTAAGTCAGCATCAGGGCGCAGTGGTTTACACTGTGATCCTAGCACTCTGGGAGGCCAAGGTGGGAGGATTACTTGAGCCCTGGAGTCTGAGACCAGCCAGGGCAATGTAGTGAGACCTCCATCTCTACAAAAAATTAGTCAGGCGTGGTGGCATGCACCTGTAGTCCCAGATACTCAGGAAGCTGAGGTGGAGGATAGCTTGAGCCAGGGAAGTCGAGGCTGCAGTGTGCTGTGTTTGTGCTATGGCACTCCAGCCTGGGCAACAGAGCAAGACCATGTCTCCAAAAAAAAAAAAAAAAATAGGCTGGGCATGGTGGCTCACGCCTGTAATCCTAGCACTTTGGGAGGCCAAGGCAGGTGGATTGCCTGAGCTCAGGAGTTTGAGCCAGCCTGGGCAACACGGTGAAACCCCGTCTCTACTAAAATACAAAAAAAATTAGCCAGGCGTGGTGGCATGAGCCTGCAGTCGCAGCTACTCAGGAGGCTGAGGCAGGAGAATTGCTTGAACCCAGGAGGCGGAGGTTGCAGTGAGCTGAGATCGCGCCACTGCACTCCAGCCTGGGCGATAGAGCGAAACTCCGTCTCTTAAAGAAAGAAAGAAAACAAAATAAAGTCAGTCGGCAATAAGAGAGTCAATGATTTTCCCTCTGATCTTCCTTCTGTCTTCCTGAGACATAGTTTCTCTCACATTGATTCCAATCAGAAACTCTGTAAAGATAGGCTGATGCGGGTACTCCACCATCCCAACTACAGATTGAAACTGGAGGATATTAGACCAAATTGGCCAAGAGAGGGGAAAAAAAAAAGAAAGTAGAGAAGAGAGGGTGCTGGCTGAGAGGTGGGGACAATGGGCAACAGCCCCCAGGTGATCACAGCTGCTCCACAGTCCCATCACATCTGTTAAACTCCCTCTCCACACTGTGGTCAGGTGAAAATGCAGACTCTATAACACGGGAGGTGGCTGGTAAAGCTCCTAGGAAGAAGAGCAGAGCCTTTTCCTGTTCCCAGCATCTCTTGTGTGTGCCCCTAGCCCAGAGATCACGGTAGGTGTAGGGATGGGCAAGGATGAGTAAGGAAGCTTCAGGAAGAGACTTCCCAGGAGTGTCACAGTATGTCATCTTGCAGAAAGTACCCAACTCTCTAGAGTCTGCCTCCAAAACTTAAACTCCCAGCCTGGTCCAAAGCACTCTTCAAAGAAGGCACGCACATTGGACAGAGTGTGGCAATGGGTATGAGCATTCAGCATTATCGTCCTCACTGACAATCTACAGAAATGACAGTCCAGGAGAGGTAAAGAGACTCGTCCAAAGCCACTCAGACGGTGGTGACCAAATATCCTGGACCCAAATATCCTAGTTCCCCATCTGGGGCTCCTTCTATCACTCCGGAAAGACTCCAGCAGTGCTGGGCCTCATCCAGTCAAGGCCTTGATCCTTCCCCATGCCACTGAGTTGGTGAACCCACAAAGCTTTCCTGAGGATCTTTCCTGAAGGGTCTGCTTTAGAAACCTCCATTCCAACTATAATCTGAGTCACACTGCTCACTGCTCTACTCCAGACTGCCTTTGATCACTACAGCTGTCAGACCCTTGAGGGAAGGGGCCATTCTCAGGTTTCCAGAACTCCCTTGGTACTTATCAAATTGCTGAACTCAGAGCAAATGAAATGTGGTCTGGCCGGGCGCAGTGGCTCACGCCTATAATCACAGCATTTTGGGAGGCCAAGGCAGGTGGATCACCTGAGGTAAGGAGTACAAGATCAGCCTGGCCAACATGGTGAAACCCATCTCTACTAAAAATACAAAAAAATTTCCTGGGCATGGTAGTGGGCACCTGTAATCCCAGCTACTCAGAAGCTGAGGCAGGAGAATCATTTGACCCTGGGAAGCAGAGGTTGCAGTAGGCTGAGATCATGCCACTGCACTCCAGCCTAAGCGACAGGGCAGCACTCCGTCTCAAGAAAATAAAAAGAAAGAAAAAGAAAAACAGGCAGGGCACAGTGGCTCATGCCTGGAATCCTAGCACTTTGGGAGGCCGAGGCAGGTGGATCACTTGAGGTCATGAGTTTGAAACCACCTGTCCAACATGGTGAAACCCCATCTCTACTAAAAATACAAAAAAATTAGCCAAGTGTGGTGGTGGACACCTGGAATCCCAGCTACTTGGGAGGCTGAGGCTGGAAAATCGCTTGAACCTGAGAGGCAGAGGTTGCAGTGAGCCGAGATCACGCCACTGCACTCCAGCCTGGGCAACAGAGCAGGACTCCATCTCAAAAAAATAAATAAATAAATAAAAGAAATGTGGGCTGGCACAGTGGCTCATGCCTGTAATCCCGGCATTTTGGGAGGCCAAGGCGGGCCGATCACGAGGACAGGAGATTGAGACCATCCTGGCTAACATGGTGAAACCCGGTCTCTACTAAAAATACAAAAAATTAGCCCGGTGTGGTGGCAGGCGCCTGTAGTCCCAGCTACTCAGGAGGCTGAGGCAGGAGAATGGCGTGAACCCGGGAGAAGGAGCTTGCAGTGAGCCGAGATTGCGCCACTGCACTCCAGCCTGGGCCATAGAGCGAGACTCGTCTCCAAAAAAAAAAAAAAAAAAAAAATGTGGTCTGGCTCTTGGATTTCTATTTGCTGCAAGTCAACAATTCTAGAACCTTAGAAATGTTGAAGAGGCAAGATCGGTGGTTAAACCATAGCCACACTCTTTGGACACCCTGTAAATATCCTCAACAATGAAGGAAGTCTGTTTGAGTTTTACAGATTCTTATCTGAATGCCAAAGTAAGTTTGTTCACAAGCTGCCAAACCTAGCCCCATTTCTGGGGAAAGCTAGGGGTCCCGGGGCAGGGAGCAAGGATGAATCCTGAAACAATTTCCTATCCATAGAGGCAGGGTCTGTGAATGTCTTCCAGGCAAGGAACCATAGGAACCTTGCCCTCTCCAAGCAAAGCTTTATAACCTGTCACCTGCAAATATCTCTATATTCTACTGACATGTTTTGAAAAACTGTCTACCGGCTGGGCGCAGCGGCTCACACCTGTAATCCCAGCACTTTGGGAGGCTGAGGCAGGCGGATCACGAGGTCAGGAGTTCAAGACCAGCCTGGCCAAGATGGTGAAACCCTGTCTCTACTCAAAATACAAAAATTAGTTGGGTGTGGTGGCACATGCCTGTAATCCCAGCTACTCAGGAGGCTGAGGCAGGGAACTGCTTGAACCCGGAAGGCAGAGGTTGCAGTGAGCTGAGATCGCGCCACTGCACTCCAGCCTGGGCAACAGAGCGAGACTCCATCTCCAAAAAAAAAAAAAAAGAAAGAAAGAAAAAGAAAGAAAAACTGTCTACTAAAATGAAGTAGGTAGTAATTTCTCAATAATTACAGAAATAAGGCTGGACGCAGTGGCACACAACTATAATCCCAACACTCTGGGGGCCAGGGCAGGAGGATCACTTGAGGCCAAGAGTTTGAAACCAGGCTGGGCAACATAACAAGACCTTGTCTCTACAAAAAAAAAAAAGTTTTTTCTTTTTTTTGAGACAGGGTCTCACTCTGTCACCCAGGCTGGAGCGCAGTGGCGCAATCTCGGCTCGCTGCAGCCTCCTCCTCCCAGGTTCAAGCGGTTCTCGTGCCTCAGCCCCCGAGTACCTAGGATGCCTGGCTAATCTTTGTATTTTCAGTAGAGACAGGGTTTCACCATGTTGCCCAGGCTTGTTCTCGAACTCTTGAGCCCAAGTGATCTGCCTGTCTTGGCCTCTCTACAAAAAATGTTTAAAAAATTAGCTGGGTGTGGCTGGGCGCGGTGGCTTACGCCTGTAATCCCAGCACTTTGGGAGTCTGAGCCAGGTGGATCATGAGGTCAAGAGTTCAAGACCAGCCTGGCCAACACAGTGAAACCCCGTCTCTACTAAAAAATACAAAAAAAATTAGCCGGGCGTGGTAGCGTGCACCTGTAGTCCCAGCTACTCGGGAGGCTGAGGCAGGAGAATGGCATGAACCCGGAAGGCAGAGCTTGCAATGAGCCAAGATGGCGCCACTACACTCCAGCCTGGGCAACAAAGCAAGACTCCGTCTCAAAAAAACAAAATTAGCTGGGTGTGATGCTGTGTGCCTGTAGTCCCAGCCACTCAGGAGGCTGAGGTGGGAGAATCACTTGAGCACGGGAAGGCAAGGTTGCAGTGAGCTATGATTATGCCACTGCACTCCAGCCTGGGCAACAGAGTGAGACCTCGCCATCATCAGAAATACAGACCCTGGCAATGTACCTGGGGTTCTCCTTCCAAAATCCCAACGTTCAACCCAGAAATATTTACTGAATTCCTGCTGTGGGTCAGGAACTCTGCCAGAGATTGCGACAAACAAAAAGAAGGCGGCCATAGTCTCTAATCTTAAGGAACTTACAGCCTGGATGGCTCCACACCAAGAGTCCCTTGATACATGACTCTTAGGATGCCCTGAGAGGCCATTTCAAGGCTGGCAGCTTGGAAAGAAAACTTTCTCCCAGCAAATGAAAACATCACATGTTTCCACCTTAGCATCACATCAGACACCATGGCAACAGAGGGCTGTACCAAGAATTAGCTCAGTGATGACCTAGCCAACACAAACCGGCTTAATGCTCCTTGAGTAAGATTCCTGGAAGGAAAGGGAGTTCAAATAAATAAGTCTCTCTCCAGCTCTCAACAAGCAGAACTGCTTCCCTTCTTCCAGAGCTGTACTTTTTCTCAAAAATTTTTCCCCATGCCAAGATACACAGAGAGAATGATAGAATGATACTATTGTATAACACCCGGGAGTCAGTGGAGACAGCTGTTCTCAGCTATCCTGAAGCTTAAGGGTCGATACTTTGGCACACCTATAGCCCATTCACATCATACAGCTGAGAAGCTGTGAAGAGGACCTAAGTTGCCCATATTACACACTCACACTTCCAAAGTAAAACAGAAGGCCAAACCAAAGTCTCACTCATTTAACTATGAACTTGTGATTATGATAGAGAACTCCAGCACCTACTTCTGTAGGGGCATTCTGTTCTAGATGCCAACCAGATGCCTGAGGTGAAGTGCAACTGGAGCTCAGTGTCAGATGCAAACAGGTTTCCTGAAGGCTGCACTTTTTCTAGCTCATTTATGCAACTTAACAAGCACAAAACTACAATTAGACCTAGACAATATGCTTATTCAGCAAACCCACCCTCTAGTGAATCAGCATTCCAAATCTCTTCTAGGGGTATGGCCAACTGAATCGACCCTGATTTAGAGGCACCATATTGCGGGAGGCTGAGGCAGGAGAATCGCTTGAACCCGGGAGGCAGAGGTTGCGGTGAGCCAAGATTGAGCCATTGCACTCCAGCCTGGGCAACAAGAGCAAAACTCCGTCTCAAAAAAAAAAAAAAAAAAAAAAAAGAAGCACACTATTGTCAGTTTTCCCCGATGACCAGAAATGACCTTGAGGAAATCACACAATACAAAGCAGCTTCCTACACACAACTAACCCTGAAGAACAAACACGCTTATTAAGACAAGACCTTCTAGCCGGTTGTGGTGGCTCATGCTTGTAATCCCAGCACTTTGGGAGTCCGAGGTGAGTGGATCACCTGAGGTCAGGAGTTTGAGACCAGCCTGAGCAATACGGTGAAACCTCGTCTCTACTAAAAATACAAAAATTAGCCAGGTGTGGTGGCAGGCATCTGTAGTCCCAGCTACTGAGGAGGCTGAGACAGGAGAATTGCTTGAACCTGGGAGGCGGAGGTTGTAGTGAGCCGAGCTCACGCCATTGCACTCCAGCCTGGCGACAGAGCGAGACATCATCTCAAAAAAAAAAAGAAAAGAAAAAAGAAGACAAGACCTTCTTTTGACAAGGGAAACTCTGGGAAGAGGAGCCATTAGTAATAAAAGTGGCTTCCATTAACTGAGTGCCAACTTTGCTAAGGATCTTATATGTACCATCTCACTCCTCTCTACAAGCACATGTAGTAGGCACGATGATTCCTATTTTGGAATAAGGAAATTAGGACTTAGAGAACCTCAAGATTTCAGAAAAGCCAGAAACTGAATCCAGGTCTTTCTGACACCAAAGCCCATGCTTCTAGGCATGAGACCACAACA